>NC_000023.11:17289003-17592033 GCF_000001405.40 Homo sapiens
ACTTGGCCTCTATAAAATATGTTGATTTTATTTTGGAAGATACTGTAGTAATTCTAGTTTTTATGAAATGAAAGTGGCTAGCAATAGGACTCCTTTCTTTCAATTTTCTCTGTCCCACTTTCCCCGCCCCATTTCTATACATGTTTCAGCCATGAAAATCATTTTTATTTCTTTAAAACAGCTTCACTGAGGTATAATAAAGGAAAAAAAGTATAAAAGTTACCTGTTTAAAGTGTATAATTCGATGGCCTTTAGCAAATATACAGAGTTGTGCAACCATTAATGCAATCCAGTTTTAGGAGATTTCTATCTGCATTACTCCACTCTCACAGTGCTATAAAGAAATATCCGAGACTGGGTAATTTATAAAGAAAAGAGATTTACTTCGTGCATGGTTCTGCAGGCTGTACAGGAAGCATGGCAGCATCTGCTTCTGGGGAGGCCTCAGGGAGCTTTTACTCATGGCAGAAGGCAAAGTGGGAGAGGCATCTTACATGGCAGGAGCAGGACCGAGAGAGAGAGGATAGATGCCACACACTTTTAAACAACCAGATCTCATGATAACTCTATCATGAGAACAGCACTAGGGGGATGGTGTTAAACCGTGAGAGACCACCCCCATGATTCAATCACCTCCCATAAGACCCCACCTCCAACACTGGGGATTTCAATTCAACATGAGATTTGGGTGGGGACACAGACTCAAACCATATCACCATCATACCCAGAGATCTCTTGTGCCATTTGCTGTCAGTCCCCATTCCCACTCTCAGTCCAAGGAAACCACTAATCTATCTTCTGTCTCTATAGGTTTGCCTGTTCTGGACATTTTATATAAATGGAATCATACAATATGGGAGGGTTTTTTTAAAAAAAAATAAAGACAATACTTAGGATAAAAATTTGCTAAAGACATAAACATGTTTACAAAAGTTGCTCTTCCTTTGAAAGGTTGATTCATGAGTATGAGCAAGATAACCTATCTTGGTTTGAGTTCTCTCAAAGAAGATGCCAAGGCAAGGACTTGAGGGTAGGTAGTTTATTTGGGAGGTAATCACAGGAAACAAAAGTGAGGAAGTGGGGAGAATGAGACACAGAGGGGAGAAAATACAAAACAAATAAAAAGCATACAGTGAGAATATTACCACTGTGGACAACTGGGGCTCAATTCCACTGAAGATTGCCTGAGAAACCACATGGTGTGTGCTTCTGCAGAAGCTAGGGTGTTTATCTGCCATGCTAGTTCACTAATGCTGTGTAACAAATTACCCTAAATGTAGCAGTTTAAAGCAACAATTAACATTTATACTCTCTCACTGTTTTAAGGGTCAGGAATTTGAGGTTGGATTAGTTGGATGGTTCTGGCTTGGGGGTCTCCCTTTAAGATTGCAGCAAGCTGTTGGCTGAGGCTGCAGTCAACTGAAGGCTTGACTGGGGTTGGAGGATCTGTTTCTGAGATGGCGCACTCACCTGGCTGACAACTCAGTTGCTAGCTGTTGAAGGAGGCCTCAGCTCTTTACCACATGGCCCTCTCTGTAAGGTTACTTGAGTGTCCTCACAATATGGCAGCTGGCTTCCCCCAGAGCAAGTGATCCAAAAGACAACAAGGTGGGAGCAGCAATGCTTTTTGTGATCCAGCCTTTAAAGTTGCACACCATTATTTCCTGCTATATTATATTGGTTGCAAAGGTCAGCCCTATTTTTTTGTGAGGAGGACTGCACAAGGGCATGAATACCACGAGGCAAGGATAATTGAGGTCGCTTTCAATCCCGAATACCATATCCATTAACTCCTGTTCTTCACTGGTTGAGGGTTATCCTGTGCAGGCTGATTAAGCTCCAGGAGGGACTGCTGGAAGCCTCAGGCAGAGGGTTAATAGGCGTTTGAGGTGAGAAGCCACCAACCTTCCAGGAATTATCTACTGTCGCTTCAGGTAAACTCAGAGATGGGCCTATAGGGGCTATGGGACAAAGCCTCACAAGCATCTTCCAGATGCCCCAAGGATGCCATTACTGAGACAATTTTTCAGGTCAGCCATTGATAATGAAAAGAGAAATCTTCCACAGCTCAGACTTATAGGTGGAACAAAATGGTAGGTCGTCAGTGAGGTATTTATACCTTTGGAATGCCTCAGTGAGGTATTTATACCTTTGGAATGCCCTCTAGGTGACTGCCACACCAGACTGAGCTTTGGATTTTTGTAAGCCCATTATCCCCAGAGAAACAGCTCCCAGAACACCAAAACCACCCTGCTCCTCATATTGCTACTGAGTATAAAATCACAGGCCAGTCCTGGGCAGAAGTCCAGCCACATTCTTGATATGTGGGAAGGGAGCTGGATTCAAAGACAGAAGTCAAGATTTAGAGCCTCAATATGGTGAAGGTCCCTCTCAAGGTAACCTGGGGTAGCAGGAAATGATGACATACCAATGCTTGGAAACACTGCCAAGCACTGGATTTAAATCACTGACATCAATGGGCTCCATCACTCATGCCGCTGAAATCTGCTATCCTATAAAGGATCAAAAGCAGGGGGAGATAGGGGAAGGTAGGAACAGGATAACAGAGAGAGGAGAGGAAACAGGCCTATAACTGAGTTAGGCCCCTTGCTGAATGGCCAAAGCTAGAGGAACCATATGTCCTGCCTGGTCCAGGACAATTCTGGTTTAACCTGTTGTTCTGGAATAGTTATCTATAGCACCTCCTCCTACTCTCAAAAGCATCTAGGTTAGGGTGGTAAATTACATATTTATCTTACTCATAGCACACTGTACTGTCCCAAACATAATCTTTCTCATAATCAGTTATATATGTTTACTGTCTGTCTTGTCTGCTTAGCTGTGATTTCTGGGTGGATAGGGACCACGTCTAACTTTTACACTACTCTATCTGAAGTATTGGCATTTGTGAAGTGCTCAATATATACTTTGCTTACTTATTGAATGCATGAATGAGTGAATGAGTGACTGAATCAATGAATGGATACACTAGCTCTGTTTAAAAAGATGTGGTATGATTGGAATGAACTGAGGGGAAGGAAGGGGGAAGTCATTAAGTCTAAAATTCCAAGGGGAGCCATAGGAAGTGTGTTTTAAATCCCCAGGTCAAGGCTTTATTCAAATGTATTCCTTTTATTTAGTTCCAGCAGCTCTGGGGCCAGATGGTGTGTGCTCACAAATAGAGCTGCTGCTGGTGAAAAGTACGGGGCTGTGAAATGTTCAGAAAAGCCCCGAGTGTGAGTCAGCAGGCTTTGCATCTCTGCTCTCTAAGGGTCTGCTCTGTCAGCAAGTGGTTCTAAAAGCCAAGAAATTGTGTTTTCTGTCGCATGGGACTGTAATGCACATCTTCTGTATTATTTCCTTTTTAGGGAGAGGGACCCAAGCATTTTGCCACCAAATAAGGACCATTTATGGACTACTCAGTCACATTTGCTGAGAGCTAGCTGGGGCTGCCACGTGATTCTAAGCATAAACTTTAGCCCATCTCACAGAGCCAAGAGTGCAGGCACAGTGTTCATGAGATCAGAAAAAAAAATGAGAAATGAAAGTTGAAGCCAGATTTCTGCATAAACTGCTATATGGTGGCTAATTTAGAGGGGAAACTTCAATATCTTTAGTGGTAAGGTTTGATTTACCATCCCAGCTTGTCCAAGGACATTAAAAACTCCTAAGCATTTGGGTCTTAAATTCCCCAACAGAAGTTGCTATTATTATTTTTCGTTTAGATTTTAGAAATAGAGTGAGGACACTTCATAAGTCATAATACCTGGCTTTTCTTTCTTATTCTGCCATTAGGTTGTTGTTTAGCAACCTACTTAACATTTTTTTTTGTTAGATGTTTTTCTTCTAAAGTGGGAATCACTATGCTGACTACATCATTATAACACTAATGCCCTGTACATTATTATTATAAATATTGATAAAATATTCACATCCTCCCATTCCAGTCCTTTCCAAGCATAATTCCAGAACACACCCTTCAAAAGTCCCCCCAAAATTAGAAAATTTCACAGCAAACTGTCTGATACCTAGTACCTACTAGAATACACATAATTATAGTACAATAGCAACAGGCTAAGGAAGTAGATAGTAAGTAGTCACATTATAGTTGAAAGGCAGAAGATAGATAGAATTTAAATAGTCAAGCAGGAGAAAGGGCCTTCCAAGAAGGAGAACAACATTGGTAAAGTCATGGAGCAGGGGCTGGCAAACTGCAGCCTGCAAACCAGATCCAGCCTGCCATGATTTTGTAAATAAAGTTTTATTGGGACACAGACATGCTCATTCATCTATGTATTGCCTATGGCTGTTTTCATGCTATAGCAGTAGAGTTGGGTAATTGTGACAGAGACTGTATGGCCCCCAAAGACTAAAATATTTACTATTTAGCCCTTTTATAGAAAAAGTTTTGTAAGTCTTAACACAGACCATGGTGGAAGTGGAGTCTAGGATTTTTCCTGATCAGAATGGGGTTTCAGAGAATGTGAGTTTGAACAGAATGGATGGGGCCAGGTGACAGAGATCTTCAAAGCCATTGTGGTAGGAAGCAGGGAGCAGGCTCATGGGGAGTGGACATTGCTTTTCTCACCCTGCAGTAAATCAGTCTCAGTCCCAGATACTGAGAATATAGAGGAATGGAAATTGCTTAAATTTATTGACTATGTCTATCCTATCTGTCAATCCATCCATCTATTCATCTGTCCACTGAGCATATATTTATTTATTCTTACAGAATCATGTTGTTACTCAAATAAAACATGGTAACTGTAGGGAAAAATATTTTGAAAAATACAAATGAGGCCCGCCCCTGCAAAGTAGAAAACCACCCGTAATCCAACTAACCATAGATAAAACCACTGTTAAATTTCAGTGTGTGTCCTTTTAATCTTTTTTATTGCAAAGAAAAAGAAGTTTTGGTTAGGTGCATACTATATGCCAGGCAGTATGCTAAGCATTGAGGATACAAAATGGTGTAAGCCAATAGCAAAGACAAGGAATCAACCTAGATGCCCATCAACAGTGAACTGAATGAAGTAAATGTGGTATATATGCACCATGGAAGACTGTGTAACCATAAAAAGGAACAAAATCATGTTCTTTACAGCAACATGAGTGGAGCTGGAGGCCATTATCCAAAGGGAATTAATGCAGGAACAAAAAACCAAATACTGCATGTTCTCACTTATAAGTGGGAGCTAAACATTGAGTACCTGTGGACACAAAGAAGGGAACAAGAGACACCAGGTCCTACTTGAGGGTGGAGGATGGAAGGAGGTGAGGATCAAAAAGCTACCTATCAGGTTATGTTCATTACCTAGGTGACAAAATAACATGTATAACAAACCACTGAGATTTGTGATTTACCCATGTAAAGTACATGTGTGAAATCTGCACATATACTTCCTGAACCTAAACTAAAAGATGGAAAGAAAAAAATAAAATAAAATAAATGGCGTAAGCTTGGCCTCAACCTCAAGAATGAAGAGCAATGACTGAAATTGCTGAAGTATAGGGTGAGAAGTATAATAATAGCTGCCTGCAGAGATAAAAGGAAAGCAGGGCAGAAGGAGTGATCACCTTTTCCTGGCCTGTTATATTCAGTGTGAGTCTTAGAAGGTGTCTGTGAGTCAGCTAGGTGGCCAGGAACATTCCAGACAGAGGGGAAAGTAACTGGTGTTTCCCATGTGCCTGTTAGGTACCCAAGAGTTTTACTGGCAATGTCTCATGTAGCCATCGAAACTACTCTGGGCAATGGGTATTATCACTCTCACTTTACAGATGAGAACTTGAAACTCTCAGAGGTAAGGCATTTGCCCAGGGCCATTCAGATAGCTTGAGGTGGAGGCAGTATTTGAGCTCAGAGCTGTTCCCCATGCTTTTCCCAGTTTATCATGCAACCTCCCCATTATAAACAAAGTCATGGTGGCCACTTTCACTGGTTTTATTTAAGAAATATTTATTGAGCATCCACTATGTACCCAATAAAGAATACATTGACTGTATTCTCAAGAAGCGCTTTAAGAACCCTCACGAGTGTGTGTGTGTGTGTGTGTGTGTGTGTGTGTGTGTGTGTGTGTGTGAAATAATAATTTCTTCCCTCCTTGGTTGTAGGGCTCTTGACCCGTTCTTGGAGGATGTGGACCAAGCATGTTGCATTGTGTGCCCCCTAGAGAAGCCATACTAATTGGGTGATTTTAGAACCCCCAAAATGGAGATGGAGGTTGCCAATCATTCATTAAGTCAGTCAACCAATTACCAGCTTCGGTGGGGTTGAGCTCTGTGTATGAAGTGGACAAGGTGACAGGAAAGTAACATTCTTCCATAATTGCCACTTTCAAAAGAAATGGCTGCCTAATCGTGGACAGAAGACATAGGCCAGGCTCGACAATCAGTGCTGTAGGAGTTCTAGGGAAGGGGACTTATGGTGGACTGAAGAGACTGGGGAATGCTTCCTAGAGCAGTGATATTTCAAACATCTCTTATCATGGCTGGCTAGATAGCAAGCATGAAGAGGAGAGGAGAGGTTAAAGTCTCACTTCCAAAAACCCGGGAGGACCACCTGTCGAGTACTATGTTAACTATTTGGGTGATGGGTTCACTAGAAGCCCAAACCTCGCCATTATGCAATATACCTGTATAAAAGCCCTGCACATGTACTCCCTGAACCTAGAATTAAAAATAAGATAAAATAAAAATTAAAAACCCAGGAGATGCTTTAACCTCCAAATTCCACTGGGAAGGGTGTGTGAAAGTTGGAGGGTGGGGATGTGTCTCACTCTCCCTTTTTCTGGAACACACACAAAGCCACCCACAGAGTTAGTAAGTTGCACCATAAAATATGGCATGGCCATAAATGAAATTACAAAGGAATCGCTTCCAAAGGCTTCACCTTGAAACCTTAACTTCTACATTGAGAGCACACCATTTATTACCACTGCTGCTGGGAAAAGGAGCTGTTAGTGTAATACAGAGAAGAGAAGACAGGCAGGCTAAGGAGCAGAAAATGGTAAGATTTATTGTGGGAATAAAACCCTGAGCAAATTGCCTCTTGTTAAATGTGGGTGTTGGGACCATTGTCAAAGCAGCTGACTCCAGGCAAACACAATGGTCTTGCTGGAAAATTCTCTTCACTGCTCTGCACCTCTCTTTCTCTCTTTGTATGATGTCATGGTAAGTGATCTGATAAGAAAGGATTAGTGAGCAGGAAGATACTTTTTTTCCCTTTAGGTTCCTTGGTCCAACTGTCCCTTTACCACTTTATGCATGACTTCTTACTCAGGTGGCCTTCTAATCTACATTCAACAGAACTCTTGTGAGGGCTTTCCATGGGGCAGCAACTGGGTAGGGGACACAGTGATGAATAACAGTGTTCTGGTCCTTACCTTAAGAGATCTACCTGAGCTTGACCTCTGGACCTTCTTATGTCTGGGAGGATGTGCAACCAGTCAAGCGAATCTTGGCATCAACAACCTGAAGCCCCATAAGATCCTGGCTTCTCCTATTTTTGGAAGCATTAAAGTTCAAGATTCTAGCCTAGCCAGAGAGCCTAGGGTTCTCCTCTGACTTCTTGTCAACTATAAGCTCTTAACACTGGGTAAATGATACAAACTAACAAGACTGGCACTGTCCAATAAAACTTTCTGCAATGATGGAAATGTTCTGTATTTTCACCGTCCAATATAATAGACAGTAGCCACAGGTGGCTATTGAACACTTGAAATGTGGCCAGTTGGAACTGGGATGAGCTGCAAGTGGAAAATATACTTTGAATTTCAAAGCCTAAGTACCCTCATCCTGAATAATGCAAAACATCTCAGTAATAATTTGTATGTTGATTCCATGTTAAAAGTATAATCATGTGGGTATACTGAGTTAGATATGCTACTAAAATTAATTTCACCTGTTTCATTTTACTTTTAAATATGCTACTAGAAAATTTTATATTATATATGTGGCTTGTATTATATTTCTGTTGAACACCACTGTTCTAAACCTTGGTTTAGAGGGGCTAGACCAGAGATTGGAAAAGTGAACTTATCTCAAAATTGCTATAATTTTCCCCACACCTGACCCATTGTGAGTTGACTACCGGACAGTGGGAACTGTGGTCAAGATGCTGTCAGTGCCCCACCCACAGCCTCTCAGCACTTGCCATTCTAGAACATGCTGAAGTCATCCTATTTCAAGAACTTACAGCTCTTCCCCTTACAGTTCTTGATCAGCCTGCAGGAGGGGAGCCCAGCAATGCCTCCAAATTGACAAATGGGATCTAATTAAACTAAAAAGCTTCTGCACAGCAAAATAAACTATCATCAGAGTGAACAGGCAACCTACAGAATGGGAGAACATTTTTGCAATCTACACATCTGACAAAGGGCTAATATCCAGAATCTACAAAGAACTTAAACAAACTTACAAGAAAAAAACAAACAACACCATCAAAAAGTGGGCAAAGGATATGAACAGACATTTCTCAAAAGAAGACATTTATGCGGCCAACCAACATATGAAAGAAAAAGCTCATCATCACTGACTATTAGAGAAATGCAAATCAAAACCACAATGAAATACCATCTCATGCCAGTTAGAAAGGCGATCATTAAAAAGTCAGAAAACAACAGATGCTGGATAGGATGTGGAGAAATAGGAACGCTTTTACACCATTGGTGGGAGTGTAAATTAGTTCAACCATTGTGGAAGACAGTGTGGTGATTCCTCAAGGATCTCGAACCAGAAATACCATTTGACCCAGCCATCCCATTACTGGGTATATACCCAAAGGATTATAAATTATTCTGCTATAAAGACACATGCACATGTATGTTTATTGTGGCACTATTCACAATAGCAAAGACTTGGAACCAACCCAAATGCCCATCAATGATAGAGTGGATAAAGAAAATGTGGCACATATACACCATGGAATACTATGCAGCCATAAAAAATGATGTGTTTGGCTGGGCACGGTGGCTCACGCCTGTAATCCCAGCACTTTGGGAGGCCGATGTGGGCAGATCACGAGGTCAAGAGATCAAGACCATCCTGGCCAACATGGTGAAACCCTGTCACTACTAAAAATACAAAAAATTCATTGGGCATGGTGGCACATGCCTGTAGTCCCAGCTACTTGGGAGGCTGAGGCAGGAGAATCATTTGAACCCACAGGCAGAGGCTGCAGTGAGCTGAGATTGCGCCACTGCACTCCAGCCTGGTGACAGAGTAAGACTCTGTCAAAAAAAAAAAAAAGAATTCACGTCCTTTGCAGGGACATGGATGAAGCTGGAAACCGTCATTCTCAGCAAACTAACACAAGAACGGAAAACCAAACACCGCAGGTTCTCACTCATAAGTGGGAGTTGAATGATGAGAACACATGGACACAGGGAGGGGAACATCACACACAGGGGCCTGTCTGGGGGTGGGGGGCTAGGGAAGGGATAGCATTAGGAGAAATACCTAATGTAGATGACTGGTTGATGGGTGCAGCAAACCACCATGGCACGTGCATACCTATGTAACAAAACTGCACATTCTGCACATGTACTCCAGAACTTAAAGTATAATAATTAAAAAAAGGAACTCTCGGCATATAATAAATGAAAGTTGGAGGATAAATATCCCAGTTTCCATGCCCCTCAAATGGCACACTCTAAGATATTTCCTACACAGTTTTTTAGAGTTCCCCAGCAGGGTTGAGCCTCAGCAACCCACAGTGGTACTGTGCACAACAATACTCCCTTTATTGGCTTCCTTTCCTTCCCTATTTCACTTCCCCATTCCTCTATAAGTGCTTCCTGGGGTCACCTCCTAAATAAGCTACTGCACTCCCATTCTTTTCTTAGGGTCTGCATCTGGGTGAACTCAACCTAAAATAGCCAATTAACTAGCCCTGAAAGGTAATGATGTTTAGAGGCACTGTCCCAGGAGCCTTTGAATGGCTTCTCCTGTTTTATCAGTTCATCAGGATCTCTTGCACATTAACCAACAAGTAGATTGCTTTGTGTTGTTCTCGAGTTTGTCCTATCCCACAGAACTGCAGACATAATTACTTGGCACTCTCTCCTTGCCCTCCCAAACATACCACCTCACATGAGTTGGCATTTTCAGCTACATTTTGCCTGTATTAATGACTTCTATTTTAATACTAGTTTCCAACCTCAATTTTCATCAGACAGAGCTCCTGGTTTCATTTTCTCCTAATCGTAATAAGATGCCGCGAGACATCTTAAACATGATGGGTCCTGGGTGGGTGTAAATTGTTTGCTGCTGTTGAAGACACGCTGGGAGAGAATCTTCCGGGATCTGAAAGGAAATTGTTCCAGATGTCAGAAATCCAGCGCCAAAAAAATAAAAATAAGCTCCAGTTACTAAACTGATTAGGGTCTGGTATTTCAGAAATAAGAGAGCCTTCAGGATGAACAAAATGTGAAATCTCTGGAAGTGGTCCAGAGATTCAGCAAATATATGGTTTAGGAGTATTCTGGAAGCTGGAAGATGGCTTGTGGCCAATTAAAGAATCATTTTCTTATGTCACATGAGAGATTAGAATCCTAGAAGAGCAGGAAGAGATCTTGAGAATGCTCTTATCCACCCTTCACTCTCTAATTTTATGAGTGAGAAAAACGAAAGCCCAGAGAGGTGAAATGATGAGCCTACACACGCACTGATAATGAGCTGAAACTAAAACCAAGACCGGTTCCTTTTTTACAATCCCAAAGCATTATCCCCTAGTCTATACAGAAAAAACAATGATTCCAGACCAACAACCATTGCTTCCACCCCATAACCAGGGAGGACTGGAGAGTCAGGACATCCAAGGGAAAGACTAGAATTCTCAGAGCCATCTCTTGGCTGTGCAAAATGATGGAAACCACATTTGGTAGCTCCTCCGGGAGGGTACCCAGGGTCTATCTAGAGGGCTGGCCTGTGAAATACACTGCATTAAAAATAATCCAGCTGGGCACGGTGGCTCGTGCCTGTAATCCCAGCATTTTGGGAGGCCAAGGCGGGTAGATCACTTGAGGTCAAGGGTTTGAGACCAGCCTGGCCAACATGGTGAAACCCTGCCACTACTAAAAATACAAAAATTAGCTGGGCATGGTGGCATGCACCTGTAATCCCAGTTACTTGGGAGGCTGAGGCAGAAGAATTGCTTGAACCCAGGAGGTGGAGGTTGCAGTGAGCCAAGATCGCATCACTGCTCTCCAGCCTGGCAACAGAGTGAGACTTCATTAAAAAAAAAAAAAAAAAAAAAAAAGAAGTTCAATATGGTGAAACAGCATGAGAACCAGAAGAGTATTTCTGGTACACCCTTATGATCTTATGATGCTGGGCTCTGTGCTAGGCCCCCAAGGATCTGAATCTGTTGTAGACTTGTGCTCTCCTCTGAAGTTGTTTCTAACTGAAATGGTGGAGACAAGGCAGACAATAAGCCTATTTAAAATATATAAAGGTGATTACCAAGTCTCTTTCACCACAACACTCATAAGCTCTTCAGGATTAGAGACTATATTTTTATTGATTAATTCACAAATGTAATCAACCAATTTACTGAGTGCCTACTATAAGTCACTAGGAATGGGAAGGGGTGCTACATGAAATACAAGGTGGAACAAAAGCTGTCTCAAGCCCTCGAGTGGCTTCTTCCCACCTCATCAGAATACAAATCCAAGTCCTTATAATCTTCTGTAAGATCTGTCCTGATTGCAAAATGCTTTACTATCCCTCTGGTATGTTGACATTCATAGTCTCTGGTTGGAGATATTGAAGACTGTTGCATGAGAAGACTAGTTTCATTCAGTCAGTTTTATTTATTCATGTGTTCATTTATTCAACACAGATTTATTAGTTATCACCTCCACATCAGGGCCTGTGCTGAACACTGGGTCATTCTTGGAAAATAATGTTTACCCGTTCTCATGAAGTTTGTAGTTTATAGAGAGGAAATCAAGCAATAAACAGGTTGGAAAATGCCTAAATGACAACACATTGTGATACACTCTGAAGAAAAAAAACAAGACCTAGGAAAAAGAATAGTGGAGGAAAGCTAATTTATGTTCAGAGTCAGAAAAGGCATCTCTTGCAGAAGTAACATTTAAATTAAAGCTCTAAAGAGGCAGATTAGTCAGCTAGGGGAAGAGGTCAATGAGTTTTTTCAGGTAGACAGAATAGATTGCCAGGGAGGTTCCGAAGCTGGTACACTGATAGCCGTCTACCCTACCCTTGAGCTTTGGACACACCCTACATTGAGCATCCTTGTGGACCACTCCACCCTCAGGAAACTAGTTGAGGTAGGTGTGTGAAAGGGGAAAGCATCTCTCAAGGTACAATCAATTCAACAAACAAGAGTTCTGGGAGAAGTTATAGAGAATGAGCACATGAGGTTGTCTCCCCTACACACACACACACACACACACACACACACACACACACACACACCCCTTCAAACTTGGACAGACTTCGATGGCACCAAGTAAGATACACTCTTGTTTCTACTGGGGACACAATATGTGAGCCAGAAAAATCAGAATAAATTATCTTGGCTTTCTTCCTTGTCTTCTTTAGGATTTTATCCCAGCAAAGCCTGACCTCTGTTCTGTACACATTGAACTTAGAAGGCTTTCCCACTTGTCAGTTGAACTTGAAGTATCTGAAGCTGTACTTTCCTTGTCTGTAATATGGGTACATTATAATTGCCCTATTTCTTCACAACAAATTTTATGCAAAAGTTTTAGAAAATATGAAGCATTGTAAAAATACATAACATTTTAAAAGAGATTTTATTTTTTATGTTACTTGTGTCTTTAATTTAATTTTTTCCCATAAGTTACTACTGGGGTACAGGTGGTATTTGGTTACATGAGTAAGTTCTTTAGTGGTGATTTGTGAGATTTTGGTGCACCCATCACCCGTGGTGCATACATTTCACCATATTTGTAGTCTTTTATCCCTAGCCCCCTTCCCACTCTTCCCCTCAAGTCCCCACAGTCCATTGTATCATTCTTATGCCTTTGCATCCTTATAGCTTAGCTCCCACATATCAGTGAGAACATACGATGATTGATTTTTCCATTCCTGAGTTACTTCACTTAGAATTATAATCTCCAGTCTCACTTAGGTCGCTGTGAATGCTGTTAATTCATTCCTTTTTATGGCTGAGTAATATTCCATTTTATATATATTTCACAGTTTCTTTATCCACTTATTGATTGATGGGCATTTGGATTGCTTCCACAATTTTGCAATTGTGAATTGTGCTGCTATAAACATGGGTGGGCAAGTATCTTTTTCATATAATGACTTATTTTCTTCTGGGTAGATACCCAGTAGTGGGTTTGCTGGATCAAATGGTAGTTCTGCTTTTAGTTATTTAAGGAATCTCCACACTGTTTTCCATAGTGGCTGTACTAGTTTACATTCCCACCAGCAGTGTAGAAGTGTTCCCTGATTGCTGCATCCACACCAACATCTACTGTTTTTTGATTTTTGATTATGGCCATTCTTGCAGGAGTAAGGTGGTATTGCACTGTAGTTTTGATTTGCATTTCCCTGATCATTAGTGATGTTGAGCATTTTTTCATATGTTTATTGACCATTTGTATATCTTCTTTTGAGAATTGTCTATTCATATCCTTAGCCCACTTTTTGATGGGATTGTTTGTTTTTTTCTCACTGATTTGAGTTTGTTGTAAATTCTAGATATTAGTCCTTTGTCAGATGTATAGATTGTGAAGATTTTCTCCCACTCTGTGGGTTTTCTGTTTACTCTGCTGACTATTCCTTTTGCCGTGCAAAAGCTCTTTAGTTTAATTAAGTCCCAACTATTTATCTTTGTTTTTATTGTGTTTGTTTTGGGGTTGTTGGTCATGAAATCCTTGCCTAAGCCAATGTCTAGAAGGGTTTCTCCAATGTTATCTTTTAGAATTTTTATAGTTTCAGGTCTTAGATTTAAGTCCTTAATCCATCTTGAGTTGATTTTTGTATAAGGTGAGAGATAAAGATCCAGTTTCATTCTCCTACATGTGGCTAGCCAATTATCCCAGCACCATTTGTTGAAAAGGGTGTCCTTTCCCCACTTTATGTTTTTGTTTGTTTTGTTGAAGATCAGTTGGCTGTAAGTATTTGGGTTTATTTCTGGGTTCTCTATTCTGTTCCATTGGTCTATGTGCCTATTTTTATACCAGTGCCATGCTGTTTTGGTGACTATGGCCTTATAGTTTGAAATCAGGTAGTGTAATGCTTCTAGGTTTGTTCTTTTTCCTTAGCCTTGCTTTGGCTATACGGGCTCTTTTTTGGTTCCATGTGAATTTTAGAATTGTTTTTTCTAATTCTGTGAAGAATGATGGTGGTATTTTGATGGGGATTTGCATTGAATTTCTAGATTGCTTTTGGCAGTATGGTCATTTTCACAATATTGATTCTACCCATCCATGAACATGAGATGTGTTTCCATATTTTTGTGTTGTCTATGATTTCTTTCCACAGTGTTTTGTAGTTTTCCTTGTAGAGGTCTTTTGACTCCTTGGTTAGGTATATTCCTAAGTATTCTTTTTTTTTCCAGCTATTGTAAAAGGGATTGAGTTCTTGATTTGATTCTCTGCTTGGATGCTGTTGGTGTATAGAAGAGCTACTGATTTGTGTACATTAATCTTGTATCTGGAAACTTTGCTGAATTCTTTTATCAGTTCTAGGAGCTTTCTGGAGGGGTCTTTAGAGTTTTCAAGGTAAATGATCATGTCGTCAGCAAACAGTGACAGTCTGACTTCCTCTTTACCAATTTGGATGTCCTTTATTTCTTTCTCTTGTCTGATTGCTTTGGCTAGGACTTCCAGTACTATGTTGAAGAGGAGTGGTGAGAGTGGGCATCCTTGTCTTGTTCCTGTTCCTAGAGGGAATGCTTTCAACTTTTCCCCATTCAGTATTATGTTGTCTGTAGGTTTGTCATAGATGGCTTTTATTATATTGAGGTATGTCTGTCATATGCTGATTTTTCTGAGAGTTTTAATCATAAATGGATGCAAGATTTTGTTGAATGCTTTCTGCATCTATTGAGATGATCATGTGCTTTTTGTTTTTAATTCTGTTTATATGGTGTATCACATTTATTGACTTGTCTATGTTAAGCCATCCCTGCATCCCTGGTATGAAACCCACTTAATTATGGTGGATTATCTTTTTGATATGTTGTTGGATTTGGTTAGCTAGTATTTTGTTAAGGATTTTAGCATCTATGTTCATCGAGGATATTGGTCTGTAGTTTTCATTTTTGATTATGTCCTTTCCTGGTTTTGGTATTAGGGTGATGCTTGCTTCATAGAATGAGTTAGGGAGGGTTCCTTCTTTCTCTATCTTGTGGAATAGTGTCAAAAAGATTGGTACCAATTCTACTTTGAGTGTCTGGTAGAATTCTGCTGTGAATCCATCTGGTCCTGGACTTTTTTTTTGTTGGTAATTTTTAAATTACCATTTCAATCTTGCTGCTTGTTATTGGTCTGTTGGAGGTATCTAATTCTTCTTGATTTAAGCGAGGAGGGTTGTATTTTTCCAGGAATTTATCCATCTCTTCTAGATTTTCTAGCTTATGTGTGTAAAGGTGTTCATAGTAGCTTTGAATTATTTCTTGTATTTCAGTGGTGTCAGTTGTAATAGCTCCTGTTTCTTTTTTTTTTTTTGAGACAGAGTCTTGCTCTGTTGCCCAGGCTGGAGTGCAGTGGCATGATCTCGGCTCATTGCAACCTCTGCCTCCCAGGTTCAAGTGATTCTCCTGCCTCAGCCTCCTGAGTAGCTGGGATTACAGGCAACCGCCACCACACCCAGCTAATTTTTGTATTTTTAGTGGGGTTGGGGTTTTGCCGCGTTGGCCAGGCTGCTCTTGAACTCCTGACCTCAAGTGATCCACCCGCCTCAGCCTCCCAAAGTGCTGGGATGACAGGCGTGAGCCACTGTTCCTGGCCCTGTTTAATTTCTTAATGAGGTTATTTGTATTTTCTCTTTTCTTTTCTTGGTTAATCTTGCTAATAATCTGTCAATTTTATTTATCTTTTCAAAGAACCAGCTTCTCATTTATCTTTTGTATTTTTTGTTTGTTTGTTTCAATTTCATTTAGTTCTGCTCTGCTCCTGGTTATTTCCTTTCTTCTGCTTGGTTTAGGTTTGGTTTGTTCTTGTTTCTCTAGTTCCTTGAGGTGTGACCTTAGAGTGTCAGTTTGTGCTCTTTCAGTCTTTTTGATGTAGGAATTTAGGGCTATGAACTTTCCTCTTAGCACTGCCTTTGCTGTATCCCAGAAGTTTTGATAGTTTGTGTCATTATTGCCATTCAGTTTGAAGAATTTTTTAATTTCCACCTTGATTTAGTTTTTGACCCAATGCTCATTCAGGAGCAGGTTATTTAATTTCCATGTATTTGCATGGTTTTGAAGGTTCCTTTTGGAGTTGATTTACAGTTTTATTCTACTGTGATCTGAGAGAATGCTTGATATAATTTCAATTTTCTTAAATTTATTGAGGCTTGCTTTATGGCCTATCATGTGGTCTAACTTGGAGAAAGTTCCATGCACTGTGGAATAGAATGCGTATTTGCAGTTGTTGGATGAAATGTTCTGTATATATCTGTTAAGTCCATTTGTTCCAAGGTATAGTTTAAATGCATTGTTTCTTTGTTGACTTTCTGTCTTGATGACCTGTCTAGTGCTGTCAGTGGAGTATGAAGTCTCCCACTATTATTGTGTTGCTGTCTATCTCATTTCTTCAGTCTATTAGTAATTGTTTTATAAATTTGGGAGCTCCAGTGTTAGGTGCATATATGTTTAGAATTGTGATATTTTCCTGTTGGACAAGGCATTTTACCATTGTATAGTGTCCCTCTTTGTCTCTTTTAACTGCTGTTGCTTTAAAGTTTGTTTTGTCTGATATAAGAATAGCTACCCCTGCTCGCTTTTGGTGTCCATTTGGATGAAACGTCTTTTTCCATCTCTTTACTTTAAGTTTATGTGAGTCTTTATTTGTTAGGTGAGTCTCCTGAAGGCAGCAGATGGTTGGTGAGTTCTTATCTACTCTGTGGTTCCGTATCTTTTAGGTGGAGCATTTAGGCCATTTACCTTCAATGTTAGTATTGAGATGTGAGGTACCATTCCATTCATCATGCTATTTGTTGCCTGCGTTCTTTGTTTTTTGTTTTTGTTTTTGCTTTTTAACTTGTATTTTTATTTTATAGGTCCTGTCTGGTTTATACTTTAAAGAGTTTCTGTTTTGATGTATTTCCAGGATTTGTTTCAAGATTTAGAGCTCCTTTTAGCAGTTCTTGTAGTGGCGACTTGGTTGTGGCAAATTTTCTCAGCATTTGTTTGTCTGAAAAAGACTGTATCTTTCCTTCATATATGATGCTTAGTTTCACTGGCTACAAAATTCTCGGCTGATAATTGTTTTGTTTGAGGAGGCCAAAGATAGGGCCCCAAATCCCTTCTAGCTTGTGGGGTTTCTGCTGAGAAATCTGCTGTTAATCTGATAGATTTTCCTTTATAGGTTACCTGGTGCTTCTGTCTCACAGCTCTTAAGATTCTTTCCTTTGTCTTTGAATAACCTGATGACAATGTGCCTAGGTGATGATTTTTTTGTGATGAATTTCCCAGGTGTTCTTTGTGCTTCTTGTATTTTGATGTCTAGGTCTGTAGCAAGGCCAAGGAAGTTTTCCTCGACTATTCCCCCAAATATGTTTTCCAAGCTTTTAGACTTCTCTTCTTCCTCAAGAACACCGATTATTCTTGGGTTTGGTCATTTAACATAATCCCAGACTTCTTGGAGGGTTTTTTTTCATATTTTCTTATTCTTTTTTTCTTTTTCTTGTTGGATTGGGATAATTTCACGACCTTTTTTTCTTCGAGCCCTGAATTTCTTTCTTCTACTTGTTCAATTCTATTGTTGAGACTTTCCAGAGCATTTTGCGTTTCTATAAGTGTGTCCAATGTTTCTTGAATTTTTTATTGTTTTTTCTTTAAGCTATCTGTTTCCTTGAATATTTCTCCCTTCACTTTTTTATTGTTTTTTGGATTTCCTTGCATTGGGCTTTGCCTTTCTCTGGTGCCTCCCTGATTAGCTTAATATCTAACATCCTGAATGATTTATCAGGTAAATCAGGGATTTCTTCTTGGTTTGGATCCATTGCTGGTGAACTAGTGTGATTTTTTGGGGGTATAAAAGAGCCTTGTTTTGTCATATTACCAGAGCTGGTTTTCTGGTTCCTTCTCATTTGGGTAGGCTCTGTCAGAGGGAAGATCTAGGTCTGAAGGCTGTTGTTCAGATTCTTTTGTCCCACAGGATATTCCCTTGATCTAGTATTCTCTCCCTTTTCCTATGGACGTGGCTTCCTGTGAGCCAAACTGCAGTGATTGTTGTCTCTCTTCTGGGTCTAGCCACCTGGCAAGTCTACCTGGCTCTGGGCTGGTACTGGGGGTTGTCTGCAGAGTCCTGTGATGTGAACTGTCTATGGGTCTCTCAGCCATGGATATCAGCAACTGTTCCAGTCGAGGTGGCAGGGGGTGTGCAATGGACTCTGTGAGGGTTCTTAGTTTTGGTGGTTTAATGCTCTATTTTTGTGCTGGTTGGCCTCCCAGTGGTAGGTGGGGCCCTAGATCTCCCAAGATTATATGCCCTTTGTTTTCAGCTACCAGGGTGGGTAGGGAAGTACCATCAGTTGAAGGCAGGGCTAGGTGTGTCTGAGCTCAGACTCTCCTTGGGTGGGCCTTGCTGCAGCTGCTGTGGGGGATGGGGGTGAGATTCCCAGGTCAATGGAGTTGTGTACCTAGGAAGATTATGGCTGTCTCTGCTGAATCACGCAGGTTGTCAGGGAAGTGGGGGAAAGCCGGCAATCACAGGTCTCACCCAGCTGCTCCCATGCAAACCGAAGGGCTGGTCTCACTCCCACCATGGCCCCTCTAACGGCCCCGAGTCGGCTTCCAGGCGGTGGGCAAGCCGGGCTTGAGAACTTGCCCCAGGCTACCCACCTTCCAGCTGTGAAAGAAAAGGGCTTGGTTCTTCCCCGGCCTGTGGAGTCTACACACTGGATACATGCCCTGAGTTCTGGCCAGGAGGCTTCTTGCCCCATTCAAATTGTTACAAAGTTCAGCTGGAGATTTCCTTCTCCCTGTGGTGTTTCCCCACCCCCTGCTCCTCTGGCCGCCCTCCCAATGGATCCCTATGGTACCAGGCAGGAATGGCCTGCTTGGGGACCCAGCAAGCTCCCAGGGCCTTCCTCTACTTCCTCTATCCCTGTATTTCATTTGGCTCTCTAAATTTACTCAGTTCCAGGTAAGGTTGAAAACTTCTCCTGCAAACAGACCTTCAGTTTCTCCAGTGTGGGTGTGTGTCGGGAGAGGAGTCTCTCCCTTTCCCAGTTCCACAGTTGGGGTACTCACAGTATTTGGGGGGTCCTGCAGGAGCAGTCCACTTCCTTCAGAGGGTCTGTGAGTCCTCTCTGGATTGCTGGTTTGTTCTTGCAGTTGATCTGGCACCAAAATTCACAATGTGAGCCTCCACACACTGCTCTGTCCATCCGAGTCGGAGCTGCAATCTAGATCTGCCTCCCATCTGCCATGATCATCAGTTTATTTTTTTAGGGCAGTTTTAGGTTCGCAGCAAAATTGAGTGGAATGTACAGAGATTTTCCATATGCCCACTGCCTCTACAGTGGCACAGCCTCCCCCATTATCACCATCTCCCACTAGAGTGGTACATTTGTTACCATCGATGAACCTACATTGACACACCATTATCACCCAAAGTCCACAGTTGACATTAGGGTTCATTCTTGGTGTTGCATATTCCATAGACTTTGAGCATTATAAAAATATAGTAGTAATAATTGTGCTGATCATTCTTCAGCCCCCTATCCCAAGATGCATGCTCTATCCTTCTTTGCTCTGATCCGTGCCAGGAGAGGCAGACTGCATCACCCACGCTCCCCTGCCAGCTGATTTCTAATTGGATTTAGCCAATGAGAGGGCCCAGCAGGTGATAAAGAAGGCAGTAAGAGAGAAAGTTTAGAATATTTCTTTTCCCTGGTCTCTCCGTTTCAGCACTCCATCTCTGGTGAGAGCTGGGTCCCTTCATAACAACATATCCTGATAGGCGGCCCCTTTTCTATGGCCTAAGCTCTCACTGGGATCCAGTGACACTATTTCCTCCCTGTCTCCTTTAGCACACGTAAGATACTGGTCGCTCATCATAGTTTCTTGGTGTTTTAATATCCCTTGTTGGTTCCTTTACCTTGCTCATAAAGTAATCTTTTCATTCAAGTCTCTTCATTTGAACCATCTGGGCTGAGTTCTTTTTCTTGTTGGAACCTTGATTCATATCAACATAACAACAGCAGCAGCCATAATAACTCAACAACAACTTTGTTGAATGCTTACAATGTGCCAGGTGCTATGCTAATCTCTTCAAAAGCATTGGCTGTATTAAGGGATAATTGTCAAAGAAAGTATAATCATGACTTTCATACAGATGTAAAGTGAACACATGTTGATAAAGACTCTCTCTTTGACGAAACTTTAGACAGGCTCCTCTGAACCTTCTTTTCAACTAGGCCTCATTCTTGGGCCTTGTATTCAGCCTGCCTAGCCCAGTTTTAGCAAGAATCTTGCTAAGTCAGTTTAGTGAGAATCTCCCCCTCCTTGAAATCTGATTACTTTTGATATCTGATCAAATTCCTCATTCTCCACCTTTGATGTCTGATCACCCTGGCCTGCCTTCAGCAAGAATCCTGTTAAGTAGGATTAGTAAAAATCCCCCTACCGTTGATGTTTCCTCTCAGTAATTTTCCATCCACTGACTCCCCAACCGCAACTCTGCTCATTGGCTACAAATCCCCATCTGTATTTGTTGTATTCGGAGTTGAGCCTGACCTCTCTTCCCTATTGTGATAGTCTTGATGAATGTCTCAATAGGCCTGAATAGTCTTCCTTACCATTTTAGCAAGTATCAGAATAATTTTTCTTTAACAGTTATGGTGACTTATGAGTGAAACAGGATCAGAGTCATCATTGGATCCTTAAGCCTCTCACCAGGACCCCAAGTAAAGATAGATTGGAGATTCATTGGTAGTCCAACTCCTGAGCTAATGCTCTGAATACCAGTACACTGAAGCAGGGTATGGACCAATTTTGAATTCTTAAGATTCTGAATATACTCTCCGAGGCTAGGATAGAATTTCAGCATTTTTTATTTGAAAGGCACCTCCTGAGCTGGAAGGTCTTCTTGGCTCCTTGTTTCAAGTAGATATTCACTCCCTGACTCTTGGGCTGAAAGTCCTTCTTTCTGGCTCTTTGTTTCAAGTGGGGATTTATTACCTGATTCCTGTGCTGAAAATTTTTTGTTGGCTCTTTGTGAAGTCTCTCTGTGCCTTTTATTTGATCTTGCTTCTCCCATAGGAATGTCTGAAACCCCCCTTCTGGAATTCCTGTTGACTATATGCTCCACTAATAGGGTACTTTTTCTGCCCACTTTCTTTCTCGTTGGCATGATTTTACTAAGAATAATCTAGAACTTCAATGCCTTCCCCAAACTAGCTCTTGTAAGACCTCTCCCTTCCCATCACCTCTGCTTCTCCTTCCCCCTTTTACCACCTTAAGTCTTCAATTCAGTACCCTTGAGTCCCTTCATGCCTTTATCTCTTCTATCCCTCTGTTCACTCCCTGCCAGACTTTTCCTATCCCACTCCAGCCCCTCAATTCTCTATTGTCACTTGAACTTTAGCCCTCCTACCTCCCATTGTGGGGATCTCAATGGACTCAGGGACTCCTAATGGCAACTACCTAAGGCTAAAAAGAAAAACAGAGTAATTGGAAACAGACTGGATATTTTATTCACTCAGATGGATTTTGGAAACACCCAGACAGCCACTTGGTATTTGCAAAAGATCCCTCACCTAAAATTTGGTCCACAGCCTCCATAATATTACATATCAGGGCAAAAGAAAATCTTAATAATCTCCTCTGCAAATATTGGCAAAAAGCATTAGCCTCATATTGAGCAGGTAACCTTAACTTTTTTCATCTGACAGAAGCACAATTCAGATAAAAATATAAAGTGGAGCAAAGACAAGAGCCAACTATTTTATATAAATTAGTGAGTTTATGTATGTATGTATGTATTTATTTATTTATTGAGACAGAGTCTTGCTCTGTTGCCCAGGCTGGAGTACAGTGGCATGATCTTGGCTCACTGCAACCTCTGCTTCCCAGGTTCAAGAGATTCTCCTGCCTCAGCCTCCTGAGTAGCTGGGGCGACAGACGTGCACCACTATGCCTGGCTAATTTTTGTATTTTCAGTAGAGGTGGGGTTTCGCCATGTTGGCCAGGCTGATCTCAAACTTCTGACTTCAAGTGATCCACCTGCCTCGGCCTCCCAAAGTGCTGGGATTACAGGCATGAGCCACCGTGCCCAGCCAAATTAGTGAGTTTATATTACTGTATTTTTACCTGACTCATGGTTAAAATTTTAGAATGGAAGCTAGAAGGCTTCTATTTGTGTCTGTTTATATGTTCATTTAAGTATGTAAATGTGTATATGTGATAGTTTCCTACATCCAGATGGTATTACCAAGTTAATTCACAAAATCCCATAAAGAAGTGCTATTCAAATTGGCTTACATATACATAAGCACTTACATAAATTAAATATTTCTAAAACTCCCAGAAATATAGAACTAACCCAAATATTTTTCAAGTGCATACAGTTTAGGTAAATCTTTGGCAAATAAGACTAGTGTGATACTGGTTTCATAAAAACAGATATGTCTTCTAAATTATCATTATTTATAATATGAATATACATTTGTATTCTACTTGGGTTTACTACTCAAATAAGGTAATATTACCTCTGCCAAATGATTAAAATTATAAATATTATAAATTCAAACTAAACAAATGTATGAGTAAAGATGCACGAAAATGAATTTCTTGATATCCATTACTTCATGTATATCAACAGCAGCAGTAAAACAAAAAACTCATGTACTTTTTTTTTAGGTTTTTGCTTTTTGATACTTGCCTAATATGCATGTGCTATAAAAATATTTATCAGGGAAGTAACTTGAGATGATGGCTAGCTTTGTTTAATGTCTTAAGAAAATTTTTATGAACAATCCAAGCATAATTGTTAAGACCATTTGTATTAAGTTGATGTAAGTAGAATGAAAGTTGGACAATAAGGACAAAGGGAAACTGTATGCAAAGCCTGCAAGGTATGTAGGATATATATTTGTTAAGGGAAAAAGAATAATTTTGTCCTAAAGTATAAAGAGGAAAATGTAGGACAGAAATTGAATGGATATAAAAAATTGTAGAAAGAGAGTGATGTTAGCAAGATGGAGGAATAGGAATTCCTGGCCCTTGTATTGCCACAGAAATACCAATTCAACAATTATCCACAGAATAAAATACCTTTATGGTAGTCCAGAGTCCAGTTGACAGGCTCTAGTACCTTAGTGGAGAACACAATCAGAGAATGCCCACACTAAAAAGGGTAAGAAGAATATTTTCACTTTACCTGCGTTATCTTTCTCCCAAGATGGCACAATTCAGGGCCAAGAGAGACCCACCCTCAGCCTGTGATTTTTCCTAAGGGGGAAAGAGAAGGTGACGTGAACATTCAGCTTCCCTAGTCCTTGAGGGTGCTGCCCAGAATGCTTCTCTCTCTCCTCACCCAGAATGCTGAGGGAACCAGTATGACTAGATTGCCTGGGGGCAGCCAAGAACAAAATAAAGGGACAGGTTCTCAAACAAACTGACAAGCAGATTTCAACAACCAGCCTGCAGACCCTGCCAGCCAGCCTGTGGACCCCACTGGTCATCCCATTCACAGACTCCAGCAGCAAACTAGCCCACAGACTTTGGTAGTCAGCTTGCACATGCCCCCATAAATGGTGCCTCATGTGCCCTCACAGATGGCATCCAGAAGCTGGCATGGATCTCTGCAGCTGGCATGGATCTCTGCAGCTGGCTCAACTGCAGAATTTGGAGAAGGTTCACAACCTTGTGATTGATTATTCTGGGAGGAGGGACAGAATTGGAGCTTGCACCCATTGTTCCAACATCTTGGTGCACTGATCTTGGGAAAAGAATTAAACAGCTCTCAGAACCTGGCATGGCTCTGCAGGATTGAGAGAAGACCTAAAATCCTAAGACTTCTCCTCTAGGAAGGAGCAAGAAGAGTGGAGCAGGTGCATCCATAGAAAAGTGCTGAGAGACACCCAGAATCTCTAGCAGGGTTGACTGGTAAGGGTCTTTCCCTAATGAAGCCAGTTCATAAAGATTAAAAGAGGTGACTGCTTCTTCAAATGTGCAGACACCAACACAAAGCCACAAGGAACATGAAGAATTGGAAAAAACATAACACCAACAGAGAACCAAATAAAAATTTAGTGACTGACCTCAAAGAAATGTAGATCTACACATTTTCTGACAAAGGATTCAAACTAATCATCTTAAAGAAGCTCAGTGATCTACAAGAGAACACAGAAAAGTAAATGAAGTCAGAAAAACAATACATGAACAAAGGAGAAGTTAAAGAGATAGAAATCATAAAGAATCAAATAGAAATTCTGGAATAAAATGACGGAACTGAAAATTCAATAGAGAACATCACACATATACTTGGTTGAACAGAAGAAAGAATCAATGAACTCGAAGACAGATCATTTGAAATTATCCAGTCAGAGGAACAAAGAAAAAAGAATGAAAAAAAAAAAGAGTGAAGAAAGCCTATGGAACTTATGGAATACCATCAAGTGAACTAATATAGACATTATGGCAATTCCAGAAGTAAAGAAGGAAGAGAAAAAGGCAAAAGCTTATTTTTAAAAGTAATGGATGAGAGCTTCCCAAATCTGAGGAGAAAAATGAACATCCAGATTCATGAAACCCAAAGAACCCTAAAATATTGAACTTAAAGAGGTCTACACTGAGATGCATTATAATTAAATTGTCAAAACTCAAAGACAAAGGAAGAATTTTGAAAGCAGCAAGAGAAAAACGACTTGTTACTTACAAAGGAGCCTCCATAAGACTATCAGCAGACTTCTCAGCAGAAACTTTGCAGGACAGGAGAGAGTGGATTGACATATTCAAAGAGCCAACAGGAAAAAAACCTGGCCAACCAAGACTACTATACCTGACAAAACTGTCCTTCAAAAATGAGGAAGAGACAAAGATTTCCCTAGAAAAACAAAAACTGATGAAGTTTATCACCAGTAGACCTGCCTTACAAGAAATGCTAAAGAGAGTAAAGGGAGTTCTTTGAGTTGGAATGAAAGAACACTAAAGAGAAACATGAAAGCAAATGCAAGCATATCTCTCACTGGTAAAAGTAAATATATAGACAAATATAGATTAATGTAATATCCCTGTGTTGTTCAAGGTAGACTATATATTACTACAAAGAAATCAAATCAAAAGAAAGATGGCAAAAGAAAAAGAGAGGAACAAAAGAATCACAAAACTGACAGAAGACAAATAATGAAATGGCAATAATAAGTCTTTACCTATGAATAATTGCTTTAAATGTATATGGATTAAAGTCATCAATAAAAAGATATGGCCAGGTGCAGTGATATGCATCTGTAGTCCCAGCTACTCAGGAGACTGAGCTAGGAGGATTGTTTAAGCCCAGGAGTTCAAGTCCAGTCTGTGCAACATAGTAAAACCCAATCTCTAAAAAAAAAAAAAAAAAGATATGGAGTATCTGAATGGATAAGAAACAAGTTCCAAGTATAGGATATCTGCAAAAGACTCACTTTAGATTTAAGGATGCACATAGGCTGAAAGTGAAGGGATTGAATAAGATATTCCATATAAATGGTAACCAAGAAGGTTTAAGTGGCTATACTTAGTTAGACATTAAGTCAAAAAATGTCACAAGAGACAAAGAAACTTATACAATGATAAAAGGTCCATTTGACAAGAAGATATAACAATTATAAATAAATATGCACCCAACATCAGAGCACCAAAATATATAATGCAAGCATTGACAAATCTGAAGGAAGAAATAGATAGTAATACAATAATAGTAGGAGACTTCAATACCCCACTTTTATTTTTATTTATTATTATTATTATTATTGAGACATGGTCTCACTCTGTCACCCAGGCTGTAGTGGAGTGGCGTGATCACGGTTCACTACAGCCTCGACCTCCTGGGCTCAAGTAGTCCTCCCACCTCAGCCTCCTGAGTAGCTGTGGCCACAGGCATGCACCATCACATTCAGCTAATTTTTAATTTTTTTGTTGAGACGGGGTGCTACTTTTAATAAATAATAGATCACTCAGACAGAAAATCAATAAGGAAATAGCAGACATGAACAACAGTATAGACCAAATAGACAGACCTAACAGACATATACAGATCATTTCACCCAATAGCAGCAGACTATACATTCTGAAGCACTCGTGGAATGTTCTGCAGGACAGATCATATGCTAGGTCACAAAACAAGTCTTAACAAATTTAAGAAGATTGAAATCATTTCAAGTATCTTTTCTGACCACAATGGAATGAAAGTAGAAATCAATAACAAAAGAAAAACAGCACAATTTAAAAATAAACGGATATTAAACATTTTTAAACAACCATTGGGTCAAAAAAGAAATCAAAGGAAAATATCTGAAGATCAATGAAAATGAAAACATAGCATAACAAAACTTATGGGATGCAGTAAAAGTAGTACTAAGAGGGAATTTTATACTGGTAAATGCCTACATTAAAAAAGAAGACCTCAAATAAACAACCTAACTTTACACCTCAAGGAACTAGAAAAAGAAGAGCAAACTAAGTCTAAAGTTAGCAGAAAGAGGAAATAACAAAGATTAGAGAGAAATAAATGAAATAGAGAATAGAAAAACAATAGAAAATTTGATGAAACTAAAGGTTGGTTTTTTGAAAAGACAAAATTGACAAAACTTTAGCTAGTCTAAGAAAAAAAGAGAGGACTCAAATAATTAAAATCAGAAATTAAAGAGAAGACATTGCAATGGAAGCCATAGAAATAAAAAGATCATAAGTGATGATTATGAACAATTATACACCGACAAACTGGATAATCTAGAAGAAATAGATAAACTCCCAGAAATATAAAACCTACTAAGACTAAATCAAGAAAAAATAGTAATTCTTAACAGACCAATGACAAATGAGATTGAATCAGTAATCAAAAAACCACTCAGGAAATTAAAGCCCAGAATCTGGTGGCTTCACAAGTCAATTCTATCAAACATTTAAAGAAGAATTAACATCAATTCTTTCTAAACTCTTCCAAAAATAGAACAGAGAACCCTTCCAAACTCATTTCACGAGGTCAGCATCTGCCTGATATGAAAGCCACACAAAGACATCACAAGAAAAGGAAACTATAGGCCATTATCCTTGATGAACATATATGCAAAAATCCTCTACAAAATATTAGCAAACAGAATTCAACAGCATATTAAAAGGATCATTTACTATGACCAAGTGAGACTTGTCCCCTGGGATGAAGGGATTGTTCAATATATGCAAATCTATCAATGTGATACACTGCATTAACAGAATGAAGGATAAAATTACATGATCATTTCAGTAGATGCAGAAAAAGCATTTGGCAAAATTTAACACCATTTTATATAAAAACTTTCAATAAATTAAGTGTAGAAAGAACTTACCTATCACAATAAAGGCCACATATGAAAAGCTCACAGCTAACATCATATTCAATGGTGAAAAACTAAAAACTTTTCCTCTAAGATTTGGAGAAAGACATGGATGCCTGCTCTTACCACTTCTATTCAACATAGTACTGGAAGGCCTAGGCAGAGAAATTAGGCAGGAAAAATAAATAAAAGGCATCTGTATTAATCTGTTCTCATGCTGCAAATAAAGATATACCTGAGACTTGGTAATTTATAAAGGAAAGTGGCTTAATTGACTCACAATTCAGCATGGCTGGGGAGGCCACACAATCATGGCAGAAGGTGAAGGAAGAGCAAAAGCACGTGTTACATGGCAGCAGGCAAGAATGTGTGCAGGAGAATTCCTCTTTATAAAGCCATCAGATCTTGTGAGACTTATTCACTATCATGAGAACAGCACAGGAAACCACCCCCCACCATGATGTAATAACCTCCCACAGGGTCCCTCCCACAACATGTGGGGATTATAGGAGCTACAATTCAAGATGAGATTTGGGTGGGGACACAGCCAAACCATATCAGCATCCAAATTGGAAAGGAAGAAGTAAAATTACCTCTGTTTGCAGATGACATAATCTTATATGTAGAAAACCCTAAAGACACCTAAAAAAAACCCCAGAACTAATGACCAAATTCAGAAGAGTTCCACAATACAAAATCAATGTACAAAAATCAGTTGCATTCCTATGTACTTACAATGAATTATCTATAAAGAAAGATAAGAAATCAATACTGTTTACAATATCATCAAAAAGAATAAAATACTTAGGAACAAACTTAACCAAAGAAGTGAAAGACTTACACACTGAAAACTCTAAGACATTAATGAAAGAAATTAAAACAGATATTAGTAAATGGAAAGATATTCTGTGTTCATGCATTGGAATAATTAATATTGTTAAAATGTCTGTACTACCCAAAGTCATATAAACAGAGAGTAACATGGTGCTTGCCAGGGTATTGGTGAAGAAGGAAATGTGAAGGTATTGGTCAAAGGGTTCACAGTTTCAGTTATACAGAATGAATAAGTCCTAGAGATCTACTGTACAGCATAGTGCTTATATTTTACAATACTATGTTGTACATTTTAAAATTTTCTAAGGGGAAGTCTCTTATGTTAAGTGTTCTTATCACATGAAAAAGATGATAAAGATGGTGGAGGAAACTTTTGAAGGTGATGGATAGGCTGATGGCATAGATTGTGCTGATGGTTTCACAGTTGAATGCCTATATGTAAACTCATCAAGTTGTATATATTAAATATGTACAGCTTTCTGTGTGTCAATAATACCTCAATAAAGTGGCTAAAAAAGTTGTAGAAAGCTTACAGAAAAGGAATCTTGGAAAAGGAATCAAATGTGGTCAAAGTTAGCTAACATCATTTATTTATAAGGTTTTTAATGAAATGAACTTCAGGCCAGGCATGGTGGCTCATGCCTGTAACCCCAGCACTTTGGGAGGCTGAGTTGGGCAGATCACCTGAGGTCGGGAGTTCGAGACCAGCTTGACCAATATGGAGAAACCCTGTCTCTACTAAAATGACAAAATTAGCCGGGCATGGTGGAGCCTGCCTATAATCCCAGCTACTCAGGAGGCTGAAGCAGGAGAATTGCTTGAACCCGGGAGGTGGAGGTTGCGGTGAGCCAAGATCACGCCATTGCACTCCAGTCTGGGCACCAAGAGCAAAACTCCGTCTCAAAATAAATAAATAAAAATAAATAAAAATAAAGAAAGAAATGAACTTCAATATCAAAAGTACACTGATACAGTTTGGTTTTATCTCTGTTAAAAATGACAAAGTATTCTTGGATTGCTGATCTGCTCTTAATAAGAGATTATAAAAGGTTTTTCTTTACCTTTTAAGTAACCCACCTAGATAAAAAAGAATCTGTGCTTTATGTTAATCATTATCATGTTCTTGATTATTTAAGAGGACTGAGTCTTTTTTACTTTTTTTTTTTTTTTTTTGAGATGGAGTCTTGCTCTGTCGCCCAAGCTGGAGTGCAGTGGTGTGATCTCGGCTCACTGCAACCTCCACCTCCTGAGTTCAAGCGATTCTCCTGCCTCAGCCTCCCCAGTAGCTGGGATTATAGCTGCCCACCACCATGCCCAGCTAATTTTTGTGTTTTTAGTAGAGACAAGGTTTCACCATGTTGGCCAGGCTGACTCCTGACCTCGTGATCCACCCGCCTAGGACTCCCAAAGTGCTGGGATTACAGGCATGAGCCACCGTGCTCTGCCTTCTTTTTACTTTTTAAAAGAGCTAAGGTTTTTCTACAATTATGTTACCTCCTATGGTTATTTTTGAAATCTTTGATGTTATTTTGGTTTAATAAGTAACTAAATATTGTTTCACAGTGACATAGAATCCCACTTAGCCAAGTGTTTAAATCTTTTGACATCTTTAACAACTTCCCCTTGGTTTTTTTTTTTATTATACTTTAAGTTTTAGGGTACATGTGCACATTGTGCAGGTTAGTTACATATGTATACATGTGCCATGCTGGTGCGCTGCACCCACTAACTCGTCATCTAGCATTAGGTATATCTCCCAATGCTATCCCTCCCCCTTCCCCCCACCCCACCGCAGTCCCCAGAGTGTGATATTCCCCTTCCCGTGTCCATGTGATCTCATTGTTCAATTCCCACCTATGAGTGAGAATATGCAGTGTTTGGTTTTTTGTTCTTGCGATAGTTTACTGAGAATGATGATTTCCAATTTCATCCATGTCCCTACAAAGGACATGAACTCATCATTTTTTATGGCTGCATAGTATTCCATGGTGTATATGTGCCACATTTTCTTAATCCAGTCTATCGTTGTTGGACATTTGGGTTGGTTCCAAGTCTTTGCTATTGTGAATAATGCCGCAATAAACATACGTGTGCATGTGTCTTTATAGCAGCATGATTTATAGTCCTTTGGGTATATACCCAGTAATGGGATGGCTGGGTCAAATGGTATTTCTAGTTCTAGATCCCTGAGGAATCGCCACACTGACTTCCACAATGGTTGAACTAGTTTACAGTCCCACCAACAGTGTAAAAGTGTTCCTATTTCTCCACATCCTCTCCAGCACCTGTTGTTTCCTGACTTTTTAATGATTGCCATTCTAACTGGTGTGAGATGGTATCTCATTGTGGTTTTGATTTGCATTTCTCTGATGGCCAGTGATGATGAGCATTTTTTCATGTGTTTTTTGGCTGCATAAATGTCTTCTTTTGAGAAGTGTCTGTTCATGTCCTTCGCCCACTTTTTGATGGGGTTGTTTGTTTTTTTCTTGTAAATTTGTTTGAGTTCATTGTAGATTCTGGATATTAGCCCTTTGTCAGATGAGTAGGTTGCGAAAATTTTCTCCCATTTTGTAGGTGGCCTGTTCACTCTGATGGTAGTTTCTTTTGCTGTGCAGAAGCTCTTTAGTTTAATTAGATCCCATTTGTCAATTTTGTCTTTTGTTGCCATTGCTTTTGGTGTTTTGGACATGAAGTCCTTGCCCATGCCTATGTCCTGAATGGTAATGCCTAGGTTTTCTTCTAGGGTTTTTATGGTTTTAAGTCTAACATTTAAGTCTTTAATCCATCTTGAATGGATTTTTGTATAAGGTGTAAGGAAGGGATCCAGTTTCAGCTTTCTACATATGGCTAGCCAGTTTTCCCAGCACCATTTATTAAATAGGGAATCCTTTCCCCATTGCTTGTTTTTCTCAGGTTTGTCAAAGATCAGATAGTTGTAGATATGCGGCGTTATTTCTGAGGGCTCTGTTCTGTTCCATTGATCTAGATCTCTGTTTTGGTACCAGTACCATGCTGTTTTGGTTACTGTAGCCTTGTAGTATAGTTTGAAGTCAGGTAGTGTGATGCCTCCAGCTTTGTTCTTTTGGCTTAGGATTGCCTTGGCGATGTGGGCTCTTTTTTGGTTCCATATGAACTTTAAAGTAGTTTTTTCCAATTCTGTGAAGAAAGTCATTGGTAGCTTTATGGGGATGGCATTGAATCTGTAAATTACCTTGGGCAGTATGGCCATTTTTTTTTTTTTTTTGAGATGGAGTTTTGCTCCTGTTGCCCAGGCTGGAGTGCAATAGCGTGATCTTGGCTCACTGCAACCTCTGCCTCCCGGGTTCAAGCGATTCTTCTGCCTCAGCCTCCCAAGTAGCTGGGATTACAGGTGCCCACCACCACACCTGGCTAATTTTTGTGTTTTTAGTAGAGACAGGGTTTCACCACGTTGGCCAGGCTGGTCTTGAACTCCTGACCTTAGGTGATCCTCATGTCTCAGCCTCCCAACACGCTGGAATTACAGGCATGAGCCACCACACCCGGCTGACCCAAATCAATTCTAAGTTAAATTTTACTGATCTCAAACTGACTTTGAGTTTTCCCAAAGGACCCTGGGAAAATCCTAAAGGATTTGTTCACCTTGTAAAAATAAATTTTTTTAAAAATTTAGGTTTACTTAATATGTTGAACTGCATAAAAAGCATTGTCAATTAAGAAGAGATGCTTAGTCTTCCCTAGGTAATATTAGCATGAGTAAATCTTTTTTTTTTTTTTTTTTTTTTTGAGACAGAGTCTTGCTCTGTCGTCTGGGCTGGAGTGCAGTGGTGCAATCTCAGCTCACTGCAAGCTCCACCTCCCAGGTTCATGCCATTCTCCTGCCTCAGCCTCCCGAGTAGCTGGGAATACAGGTGTCTGCCACCATGCCCGGCTAATTTTTTTGTATTTTTAGTAGAGACGGGGTTTCACCGTGTTATCCAGGATGGTCTCGATCTCCTGACCTCGTGATCCACCCGCCTCAGCCTCCCAAAGTGCTGAGATTACAGGCGTGAGCCACTATGCCCGGCCAAGGAAATCTTATTAATATAAGTATGCCAGAAATTGTATAAACTTCCTAGCAACTTGTGAATATCCTTGCTGTCCATGATATGTGCTGGTATAATGTTATGAGTCATTATTCTGGTTCTTATTTTAAAATGTTGTATGCCACAGAAATAACCAAATTTCCTTGTCAAATGAACTCTCGTCAGATCTTTAACCATTGCTCTTTTAATTCTTTTGTCCTCCACAGATAGTTTTTGTTTTACTCTTATTTTTCTCTGAAAGCACATTGCTCTTTTAATTCTTTTGTCCTCCACAGATAGTTTTCGTTTTACTCTTATTTTTCTCTGAAAGCATTTACAATCACCTACAAGCCAGAGTGCCTCATCTTCAACAAAAAGTGACTGTCCCATAGACCCATGGAAAGGACTATGACAGGCATTCTAGGGTACAATCTTCTGATGGCATTGCTTAAATAACTTTGAGACCATACCACTGGACAGAGGAAGGAGTTCCAGATCTCCAGTAGAGAAACTAGTGGGTTCATAAAATTGCTAACCCAAGATCAAGTAGAGTGAGAATTAATTACATGAGACTGAATAAACTGACAAAGAAGGATTATGATTTTTATGACTTTTATTTGGAATATTGCTGGTTCTCTAACATTCTATTTTCTGAATATAAGGAACCCCTTTCCCTTTGCTCTTAAGATATCTATAACTCAACAATTTATAAGATTATACTTTTATAAACAGAAATGAAATATTTATCTTTTCTTCCTGCCTAGTCTCTTCATAATTTGGAAACTAAGTGTTCCTCTTCCCATAATAATATAATTATTCACATGAGTTCAATAAGAAACTGTTCTTCTTGTAACAGGACACAATTGGAAAAATTAGTTATATTGTCAAGGCTTTGACTGGAATGTCACATTTGAGAATGATGCATAGAATCAGATATGAACCGACAGTTTTAAGGAACTCAGGTTGACTTTATGGAACCAATGCTTACAAAGCCCTCTTGGAAAAACCAGCCTGTTACCTGGCTTATAATTCTCCCAATTTTACAGATAAGTAATCAATGGCACTTCCTGGCAGTCCCAAGAACCTTAGGGCATTTTAGGGGACTTGAGAATAAAGGAATTCACCTAAACCTATAGATATTGCAGGTGAAGTCTGAGGTGAATTCTTGGCTTGGTTTCCTACCCTCAAGAGGGTTTTTGTTTGTTTGTTTGTTTTTTGTTTTTTTTTTTAGAGATGGAGTCTCTCTCTGTTGCCCAGGCTGGAGTGCAATGGCTCAATCTCGGCTCACTGCAAGCTCCGCCTCCCGGATTCACGCCATTCTCCTGCCTCAGCCTCCCGAGTAGCTGAGTAGCTGGGACCACAGGCGCCCGCCGCCACGCCCGGCTAATTTTTTGTATTTTTAGTAGAGACGGGGTTTCACCGTGTTAGCCAGGATGGTCTCGATCTCCTGACCTCATGATCCGCCCGCCTCGGCCTCCCAAAGTGCTTGGATTACAGGCGTGAGCCACCGTGCCTGGCCAAGAGGTTTTAAAAAGTCTAATCGGAGATGCCTTATGAAAAACAGGTCTAGGTAGTCAATGATCATTCTTGCTGCACCTACATAAACAATAAGGACAAACCTAAGGAAGCCAGACTTGTTTTGTAAACAAGAATAACCTTATTTGCTTATCTTTGATCAAAAATAGGGGATGACTATAGAGAGAAATTTTATATTTCAGTGGAAAATCATAGCACACCCTTTTGGATTATCAGACTCTAATCCTGCTCATTGTCTTTGAGACCTTGTTATCTACTTGTAAATTGGACTGGCTCTTGCCATCTTGCCTATGTTGACAGTTATTACCACCAGTTTTCCTTCCTTCCTTCCTCTCTTTCCCTCTTTCTCTCTTTCTTTCTTTCTTTCTTTCTTCTTTCTTTCTTTCTCTTTCTTTCTTTCTTTCTTTCTTTTTTTCGTTCTTTTCTTTCTTTCTTTCTTCTCTGTCTCTTTCTCTCTCTGTCTTTTTCTCTTTCTTTCTTTCTTGGGTCTGGCACTGCCACCCACTGGAGTGTAGTGGCATGATCTTGGCTCACTGCAATTTCCCCATCCCCCGGCTAAGGCAATCCTCCCACCTCAGTCTCCCAAGTGGCTGGAACCACAGGCACACACCACCATGCCCAGCTACTTTTTTGTAATTTTGGTAGAGATGAGGGTCTCGCCATGTTGCCCAGCCTGGTTTCGAACTCCTGAACTCAAGGGATCCACCCGCCTCAGCCTCCCAAAGTGCTGGCATTACAGGTGTGATGCTACCAATTTCCAATTCTTTCTAGTTTCCTCCAATATCTGGCTACAACTCTCCAACTTAACATTTTCAATTTTTCTCCCACTCTCCTGACTTGGCACCACTGAGAGCTAAAACCCGATTGCCAAGAACTTTATTGGGACTCTAGGTTGTTTGTAGCTGATTTCCCCCAGGACTTAAAGAAGCCTTGCAAACTGAAGCTAGACAATGAGGAACTTTCATGCCTGGAGCTGCTGCTGTGTAGGCCACTCAGGATGCTTAGAACTCAACATCTAGAAATCTCCTTGATTGACTGCTGTTAATACCAAATCTAACAGATGATTCAGCTTGACCCTAAAGAACAAAAGGCAGCCAAATGAGAAATGGACTTATATTGTTCAAAGGAAAAATGAGTCTCTCTTCTTTTAGCAAGAATATTACTAAGTCAGTTTAACATGAATCCCCCCACCATTAATATCCGATTATCTGGGCTTACCTTTAGCAAGAATCCTAAGTAAATTTAGCAAGAATCCTCCTTCCCTTGATGTCTCTTCTTAGTAATTTTTATCCACTGATTCCCACTCACTCTGCTTGTTGGTTATAAATACCCAGTTGTCTTTGTTGTATTCAGAGTTGAGTCTGGCCTCTCTCTCCTATTATGATAGTATTACAGGAAAGGGGTCCTGATCCAGACCCCAAGAGAGGGTTCTTGGATCTCACACAAGAAAGAATTCAGGGTGAGTCCACAGTGCAAAGTAAAAGCAAGTTTATTAAGAAAGTAGTGGGCCGGGCATGGTGGCTCACGCCTGTAATCCCAGCACTTTGGGAGGCCGAGGCGGGCGGATCACAAGATCAGGAGATCGAGACCATCCTGGCTAACGCGGTGAAACCCCGTCTCTACTAAAAATACAAAAAATTAGCCGGGCGTCGTGGCGGGCCCCTGTGGTCCCAGCTACTCAGCTACTCGGGAGGCTGAGGCAGGAGAATGGCGTGAACCCGGGAGGCGGAGCTTGCAGTGAGCCGAGATTGCGCCACTGCACTCCAGCCTGGGAGACAGAGCCAGACTCTGTCTCAAAAAAATAAAAAAAAAAAAGAAAGTAAAGTAGTGAAAGCACAGCTACTCCATAGACAGAGATAGACAGAGTAGGACATTCCTGAAAGTAAAAGGAGGAATGCGCCAACCCTAGGTACAATGCATTTATATATGAGGAGATGTGCTCTGCTACAAGGGTTTGTGACGAAGGATTAATTTTCTTAATTACTATATTTTGCAAGAATCAATATTATTATCTTTAAAGCAAAATTAGGAATGCCTTTGTTTTCCAGATATCGGGATATCTGGACACTCTCAAATCTGGGTCTGTTTAGTAAACATTATTAATTTGTTCCCTTAACCTTAAACATCTAGAGGCTAGGAATGCCTGATTTTCTGAGAACGCAGCCCAGCAAGTCCCAGCCTCATTTTCCTAGCCCTCACTCAAGATGGAGTCGCTCTGGTTCAACCGCCTCTGACAATTGCTGACACGTATTGCAATAGTCCTGAATAAAGTCATCCTTACCATTATAACAAGTGTCAGAATTTTTTTTCTTAATAATGTTAAAGATTTAACTCATTAGTAAGGGAACTGGTAACATGTTACAACCAGTTGAAGGGAGAGTCAAAGAACAAACAAGTTTATAGATCAGAAATATTGAAATGAATATGCAAATTGAGGCAAAATTGGTCTCTTCTACAGTGGGGGAAGGAAATAATTTAAACCTCTACTGGACAAATTATAGAATTTACATGTCTATGGACACAAATTATTTTGCAAATACAGAGTTGTAAATTAGCTCAATGGCAATGAAAGGCTAGAATCATATAACCAGAAAAGTTGTGCTCTAGATTACTGATCATGGGCCAAATGCAGTCCATTGCCTGTTTTTGGAAATAAAATTTTATTGGACACGTTCACTTGTGTATTGTCTATTGTGTATTGGCTGGTTTCATTAAGTTGAGTAGTTGCAGCATTGGCCATATAGCTCACAAAGCCTAAAATATTTACTACCTGGCTTTTTACAGAAAAGATTTCCCTTTACCTCTGTGCATAATTTTCCACTATTTTTTTTCCCCCTACTAATAAGGAACTTTACAAAAAGGAAACTAAGACCAGTAAGTGGAGAACCAGAACTCTAACCCAGGTCAGTCTGATTCTATCATTTGTGTCATGATCAGTGAGCAATTTAGCTAGCTCTAGTAACAAAAAACAATCCTGAGGCTTGTTATAAAGCTCCAAGCATTTCAACTCTTTAGAAATTATTTCATCTTTAAGAAAGAAAATGTCGTCTTTAAAAAGGTATGGGTGCATGTGCATGTATTTGTGTATGTGTGTGTGGAGGGGTGGGATTTAGGAAAGGAGTGACTGCTTTGTTAGCTAATTAGCAAAATTTTACTTTTATTTCTTGGTCTAAAACTACTTTCACAAAAGCAAATGAATTAAATTGCAGCACATTTGTTCTAGACAGGACTCCAGTTATACAGCATCGAGCAAGGAATTGAGCCAGAAACTGAAAATTATTTCAATTTTGTAGCATTTTTCTTTTAACATTTGCTCCTTCTGAATCTGTCCAGTACCACAGCTCTCTCTATACTCAGTGCAAGTTCACTTTGGTTTTTGCTTCTTAAAATAGTTAACTCTTTCCTCCTTCCCACTTTTTACACCTTTTTTCTATTTTAAGGCAGTTGAAAGTTCTAGTCTCTGAAAAGGATTATGTAGGTTAATTAGCATTAAAAAGCCCCGTCTTGGCCTGGCGTGGTGACTCACGCCTGTAATGCCAGCACTTTGGGAGGCCGAGGGGGGCAGATCACAAGGTCAGGAGATCGAGGCCATCCTGGCTAACATGGTGAAACCCTGTCTCTACTAAAAACACAAAAAATTAGCCAGGCGTGGTGGCACATGCCTGTAGTCCCAGCTACTTGGGAGGCTGAGGCAGGAGAATTGCTTGAACCTGGGAGGCAGAGGTTGCAGTGAGCCAAGATTGAGCCACTGCACTCCAGCCTGGGTGATGGAGTGAGACACTGTCAAAAAAAAAAAAAAAAAAAAAACAAAAACCCTTCTTTTAGTATTTAAAATCTCTAAATACCACCCCCACTATCCATCCCTCCCCTATTTTTTGAATAGGAAGTTAAGATGAAACACTCCAGGGATAAGAGAAAGTTCTGAGATCAAGCCCAGCCCAGTCTATTCTCCAGTCATCTGTGGTAATCATGTCTTTAGTATCAGGTTGCATTGGAAATCTTTGTTAAATCTTTTTTTGTACATGCTCATAAATAATGCTTCTCGGAGTATCACTAATAGTCACAAGACACAGTGGTGAATTTCAATGACTGAACTGCCATGGAGAAAATGAGTAGACTGTTAATAGGATCACTCTGGAATAATAGCTAAATTATTAAACTGTAGTGTGGTGGGTGTCACTTCCTTAGTGTGGCAAATTAGATTTGAAGGTGCAAGTGTGAACGTCTCAGGAATATTCCATTGCACAGCCCTTTGGAGTGATTCTAAACTTTTCTGTAGCCTTCTCTCCTTTACCAGAGGTCATGATTATTTTTATTTTCCATTGGCTTTTATTAATAAAGGATGTAGCTGACAGTATCAGTTTTCTGCCATATCCTCTCTGTATCCACCTCTACACCAAAAGGTCTTTATTGCAAATACCTGCAATGCTTTGCCGGAGGAAATTTTCTAGCCCTAGGAGCATCTAGGACTGCCCTCAGGGCAAGCCCAAAGGGTTGAAGAATTAATCCTTCAAAAAGCTACCCTCATCCAATGATGGATGTGAGTTGGTGGATCAATACACAGCTTCCCCACTCCTCGGTTGGAGTACCTATGAGGTACAGTAACTCAGGGGTGTGGGGCAGCCATGGCCTCTGGGAGTTCCCCAGCAGGACTGAGCTCCAATTGTCCCTCATGTTTGATAATGCTCCCTGTATTGGCTGCCTCCCCTTTCTGTCTCATTTCACCTGCTGTTTCTTGCTCCCAAAGGAACGACTTGCATTCACATCCTTGTCTTAGGTTCTGCCTCCAGGGTAACCCACATAAAGACAGACAGTGAATATAAAGATTTTTCTTCACCAATTTATCATGCAGCAAAGGAGAACACTGTACTTCACTTTCATAGAGCAGCCTTGCTGTCTCAGTCCGTCTGGGCTGCTATAACAGAATACCATGGACTGGGTGGCCTAAACAACAAACATTTATTTCTCACAGTCCTGGAGACTGGAAAGTCCAAGACATAACACCAGCAGATTCTGGGTCTGGTGAGGGCCTGCTTCCTGGTTCATAGATAGCCGTCTTCTTGCTGAGTCCTCACATGGTAGAAAGAGCAAGGGAGCTCTCTGGGGGCACTAATCCCTTTCATGAAGGCTCTGCCCACATAACCTAATCACTTCTGAAAACTACCTCCTAATACCATCATTTTGGGGATTAAGATTTTAACATATAAATTTTGGGGGGACACAAACATTTAGTCCATAACATTTCCAAAGTCCTTTGCTCCTACAGGAAGGTAGCATGTTGCAGCGGGAGAGCCATGGGCTGTGGGGTTAGATTCAACCTTGAGTTCAAATCCTGCTTTAGTCACTGACTGGCTGTTTGACCTGTGTGACCTTGCTCAAGTTATTTTGCCCCAGTGAACCTCAGGTTCCCCATTTATTAAAAAAAAGAGATAATGATACCTCCCTCCAGAATTGCAAAAGAATGAACTATGTAATGTATATCAACAGCTCAGTACAAGTGCTTGGCATGTAGTAGCAACCCAAGAAATGTCAGTTTCTTGACCTCCAATAAGTTTCTCCTCAATCACTACCAGTAGAATGCAATGTTCTTGTCCTTGTAGCATTTCTCATGGGAGAATAAAGCAGATACCCAGAGTGAGAATATATCAAGATACCAAGCTTCATGTTATTGCAAACAATAGTAAAGATAACTGTAAAGAAAACCTTGTCTAGCTACAATGTTTTTCCGGTCTATCTTTTATTTTGAAAAAAGTTTCTAACATTACAGAAATAAACTGGATTGTACTAATATTCCATTCTTGTCATTCCATGTATAAATAACTGGATGGTAAAAGTGACATTTAATCTGCCTTCAGTCATACCCTCCATTCACCCACAGGGCGCCTGTTGCCTTCCTGCTGCTATCTATTGTCCTCTGGCCTTCCACTTTCCACCTGCTCTCCTTTCTCCTCAGTTGTCTGGAGCCTGCAGTTTTTGGCTTTCACCACTACCAGTGACCAAAGACCTTACCACTCAAAGTCCAGCTCCCTAGATCACTGGACGTGGAGACAGGCATGATTAAAGGAGACACACAAAGCACTAAGCATAAAAGGAAAACAATTGATACCTTCTGATTATACTTAAATGAAGAACTTCTGTTTGACAAAAGACACTATAAGGAAAAGAAAAAGCTTCTATTTCTGTAGGGAATACTAAAAAATAAAAATAAAATAAAAAAAGAAAGAAAGAGAAAAATCAAGCCATAAAGAGAAAGAAGACATTTTCATCTCCTATACTCAATAAAGGGCATTTATCTAGAACATATGAAGCACTCCTATAAATTAAGAAAGAAATAGAAACCCCGTAGAAAAATAAGCAAGAATTGAACATAAACCATACAAGATATCCAAATGATCAATAAACATAATAAGACATACTCAACCTCATTACTAATCAGAAAAAGGCAAATTAAATTCTTCACTATGTACCAAATAGATTGGCAAAAATTAAAACATCTCACATTACCAAGTATAACCTAGGATGTGGAGCAACTGAAACTCTCATACACTGGTGATAGGAATGTCAATTGGCACCATCAATTTGGGAAACAATTTGACATTTGCTGTCAAAGTTGAAGATACTTATACCTAATACCCCCACAATACATACTGTGTAATTCCATTTACATAGCTTTTGAAAACAGAAAAAAAAAACAGTCCATAATTTATGGATGCATACTTATGTGGCAAAAGAAATAAAAATAAAAATAAAACACTGAAAGGAAGTTATTATCATAAAGTCAGGGAAATTTTTACCTCTAGGGAGGAGGGAGGGGTCTGTGATGAGCCAGGAGTACAGAGGGGTCTAGTGAAGGGGTTGGCAAAGTTCTATTTCTTGACCTGGATAGTAGTTACAAGAGTGTTTGTTCTACAATAATTCACAATGCTGCATGTTTGTGTTTCATATACTTGTCTATATGTGTGATCTATTTCATTATAAGAAAGTAAAAAAACTTCCTCAAAGTCTACCCTGAGAAACATTGGTTATGAGATTTTAATATACCTTACAAAAAGAGTTCCATGATCAAACACATTTTGGAAGCGCTGAAGTAAATGAAGACCAACAAGACTTTAATATGTCAAGGTATACTGTGAAATTCCCAGAGGAGTAAAGAGTGTACTGTGACTTGTAAGACCACAGAACCCATTTTCTAAGGGACCTCTTACAGAGCACACACTTAGGAAAAGTAGGTGGAAAACAACATCATAGAACAAGTCCCTGTTTCATGAGCCATTTGAGCTTGTCCAACCAAAGGCTTCAAGAGCCTTATGCAAAACAAAATGCCAAGTAGCAAGTAGCAAACAAATGAAGTTTTAGGTGGTGCTGAATTGGAGGCCCTTACTATTCTTAAAATCCTTATCATTTCAAGTGTCTACTCAGTTGATTCCAAACACTGAGTGGTGAGAGGTCAGTCCATACCCATACCCCTGCATAATAAATCTGGCCCATAGCCTTACTTATCTCTCTAGCTATATTTGTTCTAGTTTTCATAGTGACCATGTTGATAACTGTTTTTCTGTGGGTGGATGGGCCATTCCATATTTGCTCACTTCCTGCTATTTTATGTCGATTTCAATCACAGCTGTTTATAAGTAAAATCATTCTGACGGAATCCATCATCTGCTCTGATGCTGTTGATACAATTCTGTTCTCACTGGGACATGATATCAGTTAGCTCTCACTGTGTAACAAACCACCCCAAATCTAGTGGCTTAAAACAACAACAACAACAATAATCCTGTGGTCTGACAATTTGGGTTGGGCTCTGATGGATGAGTCTTCTGCTGGTCTCAGCTGGGTGATACTCATGTGCCTGCAGGCAGCTGCTGGGTCAGCAAGGATATTGGCTGGGTGTTAGCTGAGGCAGCCATTTGAGTTCCAGCCATGGATCTCTCTCATCAGCCATCAGGCAGCCCTGGATGGGCTTGTTTACGTGGCAGCTTTCACAAAAGTCCCAAGAATAACAAGAGAGGGATGGCTTTAATGTGGCAAGTGCTTTTCAAATCTTTGTTTTCATCACATTTGTTATTGTCCTATTGGCCAAAAAAATCATATGGCCAAACAGTATAGAGTCAGTATAGAAGGAGACTACCTAAGGACAAGGGTACAGAAGACTTGAACAAATTGGGGGCCATTACTGCAACAATCTCCCAAAGGGACTTCTGGTACCATAACCATTAATTGTCAAAAGTATATCTCAAACCGAGCTGACTTATGGTAGCCTCTGATACTAGTCAAGTTCACCACTCAGTTGTATTTTTAAAAACAAATGTGTTCATCATTCTTTTGAAGGAATGATCTGAATAGAAAATGCTGATTTAAATGGAGGTGTATTAGGGCTCTCCAGAGGGACAGGACTAGTAGGACATATGTATATATGAACAGGATTTTATTAAGGAGTATTGACTCACAGGATCACAAGGTGAGGTCCCACAATATGCTGTCTACAAGCTGAGGAGCAAGGAAGCCAGTCCGAGTCCCAAAACCTCAAAAGTACGGAAGCCAACAGTGCAGCCTTCAGTCTGTGGCCAAAGGCCCAAGAGCCCCTGGCAAACCACTGGTGTAAGTCCAAGCGTCCAAAAGCTGAAAAACTTGGAGTCTGATGTTTGGCAGCAGGAAGCATCCAGCACAGGAGAAAGATGAAAGCTGGGAGACTTTGCCAGTCTAGTCCTTCCATGTTCTTCTGCCTCCTTTATCCTAGCCATGCTGGCAGCTGATTGTTTTGTGCCCACCCAGATTGAAGGTGAGTCTGCCTCTCCCAGTCCACCAACTCAAATGTTAATCTCCTTTGGCAACGCCCTCAGACACACCCAGGAACAACACTTTGCATCCTTCAATCCAATCATGTTGACCTCAATATTAACCATCACAAGAGGTTTATTTCATTTACAAAGATATGAAGAAATGTAAACAATTTCCCCTAAGGAAAGTGAGCAAGGTGATTATTCAAGGAAAATTTTATTTATAACCTAAAAAACAGAGGAATTCTAGCAGATATAGATTTTCATTACATTGCATTTGTTATAGAAATACAAAAGCTATGACCTTTCCTTTGGTTTGTTCTTTTTATTTAACAAAATCTGTTTGTCGTGTGTGATTGTTTTTTAACATGACTCTGTCCTGTTTACGGTTTAACCGTTGCAGGCTTCAAATTATTAATCCAAGACTGGATATATTAACTCTGTCTGTTGGAAGAGAAGAAACTTACCACGTTGGGTAATTATGATTGTAGGAAGGCAATAATGAAAAGGCAGACCAGGCCCAGGCCTGCTTTCTGTTGTCTTCAGGCATTGACAGTCTATGGCTGTGGCCATGCTGAGTTGGAATGGGACTCACATCTCCAAGTCACAACAGTATCTGGAGGCAATTTCTCTCAGGAAATGGCAAGGATCATCAGGTGACTCCAGATGGGATCATCAATCTTGATTCCCTTTGACCACCTAAGGCCACTATCTTGTATCATGACCACAATAAAAGACTGTCACCAAGAATTTTATGTTCCCAGTCCTGTCTTCCACAGTAAAGATCTCCTATATTTTTGCTTTGAATGACATTGAGCTCTATAGGTAATTTAGAACTTGAAAAAAAAAAAAAATAGAACTTGGTGGAGTCATAGTTTTTAAACTTTTTATTGATGAGATGATAATGATGATGATGAACATGATAGAGAGTAGCAGCTCTTGCCAAGTTCTTGACAAGAGTCATATCATTTAATCTTTATAACCACCTTCTTGTCTCTATTTGACACACAAAAAAATCACAGGAACCAAGAGAGTGATTTGCCCAAGGACCCATTACTTATAAATGGTGGCTCTGAGATTTGAACTTAAATATAATCTGACTCTAAAGTTCTACTCTTAACTACTCAGCCACATCACCCCCGTTAAGAACTTTCTGGATATGTCTGAACATCATCATCATCATCTAGACTTTTGTTGGGCATGCTGTTTGTAGTGTATACAGAACTGTGCTGGATGAGTGGTATAAAAATGCCTCTTGCACAACGGAATGTAGGATAAACAATCTTATAAATAGCTCTCTCTAGTTAGCTGTCTTGATGAATGGGGAAAATATAAATTATAAGAACTTGTCAATTGGCAAACCTGCTTTTAATTAGAGGCTTAGCACCCTCCGCCCCCTTTAATAAATTCCTGCGTAATAGTTGATAACAAGCAGTGAAATTGAACCATTTGAGTTCTAGCACATCTTCTCTATCATATCCACTCCAACATTTTATTGTTCAGTGAAATCATATAAAGTTAGGAAACTCAAGAAAGACCAGGGAGCATCCTGGATATCTCACAGCTGTAACTTTCAGAAACCAAATCATTGAGAAATTACCTTTCAGATTAGGTATGGCTTTGTCTCTTGAGTCATGCTAGTTAAAAGCACAGACTCAGAAAATAGATTGTTTGGGATCAACCACAGATCTGTCATTTCACCAGCTGCATGAGCTTGTACAAATTACTTAACTCTCTGGGCCTCAATTTTTTGAACCAGAGAAATGGAGTGATAACAGTACACTCTGCAACTGAATTAGCATGGGGATTGAGATAATATATGTAAAACACGTAGTGACTAGCACAAAGTAAGTACTATTTAAGTGTTAGCTATTGCTATAACTATTGTGCTAAACAGCTGAAATCAGGTAGAGACTTTCTTTTTTCTACTTAAAAAATTTTTAATAGAAAAAGCTATTCTTTTTTCTGATTTTAAAAGTAATGCATCTTCTTTGTAAAAGTTCAGAAAATGCAGAGTTACTAAAAATTGCTTTAAACTTTTAAGTATCGAAATTCTATTATCCTGGTGTCTTAGTTTGTTCAAGTGATAACAAAATACTTTAGACTGAGTAATTATAAACAAAAGAAACTTGTTGCTCACAGTTCTGGAGGCTGGAAGTCCAAGATCAAGGTGCCAGAAGATTCAGTGTCTGGTGAGAACCTATTTCTCATAGAGGACACCTTCTGTGTACTCAGATGATGGAAGGGCAAAAGGGCGCTGTCAAGCTTTATTTGTAAGGGCACTAATTCCACTCATGAGGGTTCTGCTGTCACGACCTAATCACTTCCCAACAGCCTCACTTCTTAATACCATCACATTGGGGATTAGATGTCAACACAAATTTTGAAGGGACAAAAACATTCAGACCACAGCACCTGAGAGAATATATCAAATCATTTAGAACTCAGTGGCTTGAAGCAAAAATCAATGATTACCTGATGGCTCTGTGCATTGGCAATTTGGGCTAGGCTCAATGTATCTCTGCAGTCTTCTAGAGGCTTGGCTGGGGCTGGATGGTTGAGGACCACTTCACTCACCAGCTGACAGTTGGCCAGGGCACCTCAGTGTTCCTCTAGTCATGTTGTGATCTTGTAGTTGCAAGTGCAGCAGCAGAGGCAAAGCTCCAAAACAGAAACCCTTTTCAGGCCTCCACTAGTACATCTGCAAATGTTCCTTTGACGAAGCGAGTTACATGGCTAAGCACAGGATCAACAGGTCAAGACAATAGACTTCACCTTTGAATGGGAGGAGTGCCAAAGTCACATTCTGAAGGTACAGGCATACAGAGATAGAAATAATTAGTGGCCATTTTTTGCAACTCACCACAGCCAAATACTGTTAAAAACTATATACATATGTGTGTGTACATATATATATGCAGCACATACCAACACATGAAAAATACACACCCAAATGAAATCATATGAAACATGATGTTTTGTAACTTGTTTTTTTCCCATTAATTACATACTGGGGACATTTTAATGTTCTCACTTTAAGGTGTGCATAATTTCCCAATGTTTAGTTTTATCATGACAGATTTAACCAAAGTCTCTTGCGTGACTTTTAGGTTGTTTCCAATTTTATGATAAACTTCTATGTACATACATTTTTATACATTTTTCTCATTAGTTCTTTGGTATACATATTTGAACTTCTGATATGTAGTCAGAATACTCCACAGAAAGATTGTATTCAGAGACGATATTTAAAATACTTAACCACAGAATGGATACTAACCTTAGCATTGAGCAAAGTCCTGGAGGTAATCTTTTAGTTGCTGAACTCTGGAGAGGTCCAGGTCCTGTGGGAGAGAGCTAGGCAGCTGGGGTAGTGGGTAGTGGTGGGATAAGTTATTTACCTTTATAACCATACTGAATATTAGTCACAGAGCAATGTGTGGAAATCTCTTTTTCCCATCACCATCTCCAACCTGAGATTTTGTCTACTTTTTTCATCTTTGCTAATCTGATCCATGATAATGATGAAAATAATACCATATTTTATTTTGTATTTTCCTAGTGAGAACATTTTTTAAGTTTCATCACCATTTGTATTGAGTTGGTGTTGTTGCTTTTAATGAATTGTTTGTTTATGTCTTCTGCCTATTTTTCTTTGAGATGTTAATTTTTTAATTAAAAAGCTAGTATTTATTGATGCCTTACTACGTGCCTAAGCCCTTATAAGACATACCTATTTTAATATTCACTATGACCCTATAAAGTTATCATTATTCCTATTTTAGAGATGAGAAAACAAAGGCAGAGGTTCAGTATTGTGCTGGAGTCAGGATTCCAACCGAGACAGTGGGAGTCCCTAACTCAGGTTCCTTATCCTTCTGCTCTTTTCTGTTGCCTCTGCAGTATTTACTGGTAAGAACTTTTTACATAGGTATATGTAAAAAAAAAAATTATGAGATGCCTCAAACTGTGTCATACATGTTGCACATTTTCCCTAGTTTGTCATGCTTCTTTTAACTTTCCTTACTGTATTGCTTACTGTACAAGAGTTTAAGCATTTTATGGGAACACTTTAAACTTCAATAAGAAGTTCACAAAACTACTTAATGTGGTCAAATATTTCAAGCTTTTTTCTTAATGGATTCTGCCTTGAACATCATTCTCAGATGTTACTCATGTGGAGAGTATAAAAATATTCACCTGTATTTTCTTCTAAGATAGTGAACTTCAGAATTATCTGAATTAACAAAGTACTTAGGTTCTTACACCCTGCCTCAGACCTACTGAACCAGAATCTCTACAATAAGGACTAGATGTGTATGTTTTTAAAAAGATACCAAAACGTCTAGTCCTAAAGGACTGGTATACATACATTTACCTCTTCTTATTCCCCAAAGCACATGAAATCGGCTGAAGAAATAATAAATTAAGAATATATCTACAAAATCAATTCCAGATGGGTTAAAAGCTTAGTTGTAAAATCCCAAACTTAACTTTTAGAAGCACACATAGGAGAATAGTTGTGTTAGTAAGGTTTCTCTAGAGAAACAGAACCAATAAGAGATACTTATGTGTGTGTGTGTGTGTGTGTGTGTGTGTATACATTTACATATACACACATACATATATGTATATATATTATAATATATACATATATGAGAGAGACAGAGAGAGGGATTTATTTTAAGGAATTGGCTCACACAGTTGTGGGGGCTGGCAAATCTGAAATCATCAGAGCAGGCCAGCAGGGGAAATTCTGGCAGGAGTTGATGTTGCAGTCTTGAGTCCAAAGGCAGTCTGGAGGCAGAATTCCTTCCTCACTGGGGGACCTCAGCCTTTTTTTCTCTTAAGGCCTTCAACTGTTTGGACAAGGCTTGCCCCCATTATGGAGAGTAATCTGCTTTATAAAGTCTACTGATGTAAATGTTAGTCATATTCAAAAAACCACCTTCACAGTAATATCTAGACTGGTGTTTGGCCAAACAACTGGACACTATAGCCTAGCCAAGTCGGCACATAAAAATTAACATTCACAATATCTTTTTGATCCTGTGGTAGGGAACAATTTGTTAAATGAGACACACACATACACACACACTGAAGGATTTGATAAATGGTTTGAACAGGAAAAAAAGTGTTGCGTTTTCTTTCTTTCTTTCTTTTTTCCAAGATGGAGTCTTGCTCTGTCGCCAGAGCTGGAGTGCAATGGCGCGATTTCGGCTCACTGCAACTTCCACCTCCTGGGTTCAAGCAATTCTCCTGCCTCAGCCTCCCAAGTAGCTGGGATTACAGAAATGTGCCACCACGCCTGGCTAATTTTTGTATTATTAGTAGAGACAGGGTTTCACCATGTTGGCCAGGCTGGTCTCAAATTCCTGACTTCATGATCCGCCCACCTCGGCCTCCCAAAGTGCTGGGATTACAGGTGTGAGCCACCGCGCCCAGCCAAGTGTTGCATTTTCTGACCTTGTATAGTTCTTCCCCCTCATTTGAGATGTCCCGAGTAGACCAGAATCCACATTAGATAATATACTTCATGGGATTATCACGACTTGCTTCCTTGCCAAAGAGCTATTTTTTTCTTTCATTTCTGTAATGCCTGATAAACACCAAGAAACATAGTACAAGAACATAAAAGAGACAAGTGTGTTTTAATTTAGGTATCCACAAACCTAGATATTAGCTGTGGTACCACAGTATACCAAGCCAAAATACCAAACGATGGATTTATTGTTGCCTTAATTGAAAACAAGCCTGATGTATTTTGTAAAATTCAACCTCAAAACACAACTCACCAGACGTGATATGGAATGCTTTTTATGCCGAACTAAAAAACAAAATGCTACTCAGTACAGTGGACTTGAAAATTATCTTGCTATTAATAGATCTCCCGAATGGCTGTGATCTGTTGGATTTAATACATTCAGGTTTTGGCAGCTGCTGAGGACTGAAAACAAGCCGTTCCATACGTTATTACTTAATAAAGAAACTAGGTCACAAAATAGCCCTTTGGTGAATTTTTTAAAAAGATTTTGAATAGCCCACTTCCATCTTTGAAAACTCCTTGTCACCAAGTACGCTTGGCAAAGCAGCAATGTGATTAGCAGCTTCCTTATCTGAAACTGTGTTAAATTGAGAGCAACTTGGGTGTGCTGTTACTTTCATCTCTTCATTTGGCACAGATGCCTCAAACATGGTGTACCCACAACAAATATTTGCTCAATAGAAAAACATCCCTCTCTTTCCTTTTGTATTTTGAGGGCCTGACACTGACCCACTGATTCAAATGTTTGAATTGGTCACCTTTAGGAACACATTCTCATGGGACAGGTAAAAACTTTTTCAAGAGTTTAAGGTAGCACTGATCTGCTCTGCTAGGCTCAAAATGTTTTTTAAATGTTTAATTGCAAGACATTTCCACCCACTGGTCCCTTTAAAAACAAACTTTTTTTAAAAAGAGATTTTTTTAAAAACTAGTGTATTTTAAGCTTTGGTTTTTTATTTCAAAACAATACTTGTTTTGAGTTGGATTCCCCAGTAGTGGCCTCTGACATGAAGATTCAAAAAATCCAGTAAGGGAATGTGAGCAGAAAGGGGAGAGTGCCCAGAAGGTGAGATACCCAGCAACGTCCGGAAGAGGCGGACAGCCCTACTCTGGGGGCAGTGTAAGTCCTTATCAGGGAACAAGACAGCTAGACTATTTGTAGACCCTCTCCGCACCAACACCATGATAATTAATGGATCCGGACTCCCTGCATCATGGACTCCCAGGCACTTCTGGCAACCTGATGACTGTCCTCCAACATAGAGATGCAGATGTCAGCTGTGTGTGGAGCACAGGGGGACAGGTGAGGATGAAGATGGTAAAGGGCTCCAAGGGGACATATGCAGACATCGGATAGCATCTGCCTCACTACTCCTCAAGGGATCATTTGTGAAGGTCTCCTCTACAAATGAAGAGGAAGCCCAGGATGAGGGGAAGGAGGTACTACATAGGTAATGTAAGATTTGAGGCAGGCAGCCATATTTTCTTTGATGTCCCTCCCGCTAAGTTGAGTCAATAGAAAAGAAGTTACAGAGGAGTTTGGCTTGAAGATGGGTGACTTCAAGTATATGATACTTCCTTCATGAAGGCAACTGTACCAATAGATCCCAAAGGCTGGGGAGGTTGGTGGACAGTGAGAAGGTCTGGAAATCAAGAGCAGAAAATCAATCCTGAAAGGGATGCTTGGGTCAAAGATTGAAAAATTAGCTCAAGCTAGGGCTTCACTGAGAAGAAGGGGATTGGAGGAAAAAACTGCAACTGGAATGACCATTATTATAATACAGTTATAAAGCTATATTGTACAACATATACAATAGTGCAATATGCAAATAATTTAAATAATTGCAGTACTCAGTATCCACATTTCAAGTACTCAATAGGCATGTGTAGCTAGTGGCTACTATATTGGACAGCAAAGCTCTAGGACATTCCATCACCACAAAAAGTTCTGTTAGACAGTGTTCATGTAGAGCTTATTGAACATATTAAGAGTTGAGATGTAATGGCCTCACTTTCATCCCAAACTCTTGTTACCTCCGTCTTCATATTCAGCTTATAATAAGTCAAATGTAGCCACTGGGATTTCACTGAAAAATTTGGAGAAGCAAATTGAAGATGAATAGTACAGAAACATTTTTAAAACTTTCTGTCAGGAGCTACTTTTCTTAAATGACATTTGATTTCTTAGGTCTAACCTGAGTTTTTAGAAGTGAAATGTTAACTCAAAATTAGTAGAAATTGAGCTTCAGATGAACTATTAGAACAATCAGAGTCATCTTCACTTTCTTTTTAGATTGCTGTTTTCCATTATTGATTTGTTTGTGTACTTGTTACTCTTTATAAGGGAAAGGAACAAAATGTGATCTTAAGAAGGAGGAGACAAGAAACCATACAGGAGTAGAAGTGCCAGGATCCAACTTTGTCACTCTCTCCTCCACTATGATCTCCACATGGCCGGAGGATAGGACTTAGCTGCTGGGAGAAATTCCCTCCAGACCAAGTGACCCAGTAGAATTTGGGCATGGTATTTGCACCATCTTCAGATCTGCTGCTGCTTTCATTCACATCCAGGAACATTTGTAAATTGTGGATTGCCTCCTGGACCACTAGTAAAAGTCCAGGGTTGAGGAGGTCCTGTGTTATCATTGATCATCTTTTTTCCAAAGTTGAATTTTAGCTTGTCTTAATTTGGGGATCCACAGAAGACCCTGACACAAGGATTCAAGTGCAAATAGTTTATTCATGGGTGATCCCAGGAAAGACTGGTAGAGGGGGTGGTGGGGAAGAGAGAAGAAAAGGAAGGAAGCCAATAAAGGATACACTATCAAGCAAATTTCAAAGTAGAAACTCTGGGATCCAATGCCTCAGAGTTATCCCACTGAAAGGCAAGAGAGCTTGGGCATTTATCCATCATCTCCCAATGGCCACTGATTGAGGGATGCTGGAGAGTAGGGTACAGGAGCACTTTGGGCCTACTGTATGCAAGAGAAGAGAAAGCCCTCAGGTGGAGAAATGCAGGTTTGGTCACTCAGGCCGACATGCAGGGAAATAGCAATTAATGTGAGATACAGGTGCAGCCTCTACAATCTGCGACATGATTTATTTTTACTTTTAAGCAGGCAATATAGACCAAAGCTTCTTAGAGTACAGCCCATCCGTGTCCCAGTAGGGCTGACCCACTGGCACAGAGAAGATAATGAATTACTGCCAAATGCAAAAACAAAAGAACCTTTAATGAACAATGCAGCCTTTGGTCAAAACATCTTAAATAGTTGAGAGTGAGGATGAAGCCTTTGGTATTAAAGGCCTCTGAATTGAAAGAGTGGGGAAAAAGTGTTCTGGCTTTCACACCAAAGAAGACATCAAAAAATTTATTTTAACCACTTGCCAGAGGATACATCGGCTGCTTGTGGATTCTGGAATTTTTGAAAGAGAATTATCAAAACTTTCTGCTGAGTCTGATGAAGCCAAGCTGGGGCACCTGTGGGCCAGGAATAAGTATATATATGTATTTATTTATATTATATAGATGCATATATATATATATATATATATATATATATATATATATATATATGTTAGTTGCATCTGTGCCATTGTTTATCTGTTTGCAAAACATGCCATATGTTGACAGCCAGACATATGTTCAGCTATATGGAAGATCAGTCAAAGAGAAAGAAGAGCTGAAGCAGCAAAAAAAGAGAGGTAGAAGGAAATATATGAAAGAGAGGAAAACAAACTCTTGTGACTTTGGCTAGATGGTGAATTCCTTGAGCATAAGGGATATGTTTGGGTCATCCTTAATCCTCATTGCCTACAGTTGTGCTGGGTACATGAGCGATGTTTAGTGTACCCTGAGGATGAAAAGAGGTAGCATGTGTAGGGTGGTTAGACCCATGTCTCCTACATACATAATGCATGACAAGTGTAAATTGAATTAATGAAGGAGAAGCTGTTTAGAGCTAAAAAGACTCTTGAAATTTCTTTATATCAGTCTCTTTCTTTTACACATAAAACTTAATTTTGGAGGTGTACTGTGGCAGGTTGGGACTGATTCTGATCCCATTCTGTATCCTTTTCATCATTACATGGAAGGAATATAAGAAGAAAAAATTGAATAAAACTTTAAAATGTAGCCAGTCAGGGATCATTTTGTAGTGCAGTCCCTGAGCTGCCTGTGGTATCTGCAGGAAGATTTTGCCTGTCTTTGACCGTTTGCTGTTCCATGCACATTCTTAAATCTGCTTATCAAGTTTTACAAAACAAACAAGTAGAAACATTATTATTTTTATTGAAATTACATTGAATTTGTGGACTTAAAGAGAACCAACACTTTCATATGTTGACTCTTCTGATTCATTTTGATAAACAATTCCTTCATTTATTTAAGTCTTCATTAATTTTTGTAAACAAAATTTTGTAAATTTTTTAGTGGAGATCTTGGACATATTTTGTTAACATTACCTTGGATCTTTGGTATTTTTTTGATGCTATTCTAAATGGTATGTTTTAAATTTTTCATTTTCTGTTTGTTGTTGGTATAGAGAAGTGCAATTGATTTTTAAATGTACTGTATATCCAGCAACTTTGCTAAACTCTCTTACTTCTAATTAATTACCTGTAGATTATTCTGGATTTTCTTATGCATACAATCACACCATCTGCAAGTCATGATGGTTTTCTTTCTTTCTTATTTTTAATTGTTTTTCCTTTTCATGACTTTTGCACTGCCCAGAGCTCTCAGAACAATGTCGAATAGAAAATATCCTAATAAGCACACATGACTTATTTCTAATATCAGAGAGAATACCCTCAAGGTGATGGGTACATGAGTATTAATTTAACCATTTCTGCACTTTGTATATGTTTGAGAAATTGATTAATAACAAAAAAGTTATTTCTAAGGGAAATCTTTCAACACTTCATTGTTAAGGATGATGTTTGCTGAAGGTTTTTGGTAGATACTCTATCAGATTGAGGATGTTTTCTTCTGTATCTAATTTGCTAAAATCTTTTTTTTTATTTTTTATTTTTTTATTTTTTATTTTTTATACATATTTTTATTTATTTATTTTTTATTATTATACTTTAAGTTCTATGGTACATGTGCACATTGTGCAGGTTACATATGTATACATGTGCCATGCTGGTGCGCTGCACCCACTAACTCGTCATCTAGCATTAGGTATATCTCCCAATGCTATCCCTCCCCGCTCCCCCCACCCCACAACAGTCCCCAGAGTGTGATATTCCCCTTCCTGTGTCCATGTGATCTCATTGTTCAATTCCCACCTATGAGTGAGAATATGCGGTGTTTGGTTTTTTGTTCTTGCGATAGTTTACTGAGAATGATGATTTCCAATTTCATCCATGTCCCTACAAAGGACATGAACTCATCATTTTTTATGGCTGCATAGTATTCCATGGTGTATATGTGCCACATTTTCTTAATCCAGTCTATCATTGTTGGACATTTGGGTTGGTTCCAAGTCTTTGCTATCGTGAATAATGCCGCAATAAACATACGTGTGCATGTGTCTTTATAGCAGCATGATTTATAATCCTTTGGGTATATACCCAGTAATGGGATGGCTGGGTCAAATGGTATTTCCAGTTCTAGATCCCTGAGGAATCACCACACTGACTTCCACAATGGTTGAACTAGTTTACAGTCCCACCAACAGTGTAAAAGTGTTCCTATTTCTCCACATCCTCTCCAGCACCTGTTGTTTCCTGACTTTTTAATGATTGCCATTCTAACTGGTGTGAGATGGTATCTCATTGTGGTTTTGATTTGCATTTCTCTGATGGCCAGTGATGATGAGCATTTTTTCATGTGTTTTTTGGCTGCATAAATGTCTTCTTTTGAGAAGTGTCTGTTCATGTCCTTTGCCTACTTTTTGATGGGGTTGTTTGTTTTTTTCTTGTAAATTTGTTGGAGTTCATTGTAGATTCTGGATATTAGCCCTTTGTCAGATGAGTAGGTTGTGAAAATTTTCTCCCATTTTGTAGGTTGCCTGTTCACTCTGATGGTAGTTTCTTTTGCTGTGCAGAAGCTCTTTAGTTTAATTAGATCCCATTTGTCAATTTTGTCTTTTGCTGCCATTGCTTTTGGTGTTTTAGACATGAAGTCCTTGCCCATGCCTATGTCCTGAATGCTAATGCCTAGGTTTTCTTCTAGGGTTTTTATGGTGTTAGGTCTAACATTTAAGTCTTTAATCCATCTTGAATTGATTTTTGTGTAAGGTGTAAGGAAGGGATCCAGTTTCAGCTTTCTACATATGGCTAGCCAGTTTTCCCAGCACCATTTATTAAATAGGGAATCCTTTCCCCATTGCTTGTTTTTCTCAGGTTTGTCAAAGATCAGATAGTTGTAGATATGCGGCGTTATTTCTGAGGGCTCTGTTCTGTTCCATTGATCTATATCTCTGTTTTGGTACCAGTACCATACTGTTTTGGTTACTGTAGCCTTGTAGTATAGTTTGAAGTCAGGTAGTGTGATGCCTCCAGCTTTGTTCTTTTGGCTTAGGATTGACTTGGCCATGCGGGCTCTTTTTTGGTTCCATATGAACTTTAAAGTAGTTTTTTCCAATTCTGTGAAGAAAGTCATTGGTAGCTTGATGGGGATGGCATTGAATCTATAAATTACCTTGGGCAGTATGGCCATTTTCACGATATTGATTCTTCCTACCCATGAGCATGGAATGTTCTTCCATTTGTTTGTATCCTCTTTTATTTCCTTGAGCAGTGGTTTGTAGTTCTCCTTGAAGAGGTCCTTCACATCCCTTGTAAGTTGGATTCCTAGGTATTTTATTCTCTTTGAAGCAATTGTGAATGGGAGTTCACTCATAATTTGGCTCTCTGTTTGTCTGTTGTTGGTGTATAAGAATGCTTGTGATTTTTGTACATTGATTTTGTATCCTGAGACTTTGCTGAAGTTGCTTATCAGCTTAAGGAGATTTTGGGCTGAGACAATGGGGTTTTCTAGATAAACAATCATGTCGTCTGCAAACAGGGACAATTTGACTTCCTCTTTTCCTAATTGAATACCCTTTATTTCCTTCTCCTGCCTAATTGCCCTGGCCAGAACTTCCAACACTATGTTGAATAAGAGTGGTGAGAGAGGGCATCCCTGTCTTGTGCCAGTTTTCAAAGGGAATGCTTCCAGTTTTTGCCCATTCAGTATGATATTGGCTGTGGGTTTGTCATAGATAGCTCTTATTATTTTGAAATACATCCCATCAATACCTAATTTATTGAGAGTTTTTAGCATGAAGGGTTGTTGAATTTTGTCAAAGGCTTTTTCTGCATCTATTGAGATAATCATGTGGTTTTTGTCTTTGGCTCTGTTTATATGCTGGATTACATTTATTGATTTGCATATATTGAACCAGCCTTGCATCCCAGGGATGAAGCCCACTTGATCATGGTGGATAAGCTTTTTGATGTGCTGCTGGATTCGGTTTGCCAGTATTTTATTGAGGATTTTTGCATCAATGTTCATCAAGGATATTGGTCTAAGATTCTCTTTTTTTGTTGTGTCTCTGCCTGGCTTTGGTATCAGAATGATGCTGGCCTCATAAAATGAGTTAGGGAGGATTCCCTCTTTTTCTATTGATTGGAATAGTTTCAGAAGGAATGGTACCAGTTCCTGCTTGTACCTCTGGTAGAATTCGGCTGTGAATCCATCTGGTCCTGGACTCTTTTTGGTTGGTAAGCTATTGATTATTGCCACAATTTCGGATCCTGTTATTGGTCTATTCAGAGATTCAACTTCTTCCTGGTTTAGTCTTGGGAGAGTGTATGTGTCGAGGAATTTATCCATTTCTTCTAGATTTTCTAGTTTATTTGCGTAGAGGTGTTTGTAGTATTCTCTGATGGTAGTTTGTATTTCTGTGGGATCGGTGGTGATATCCCCTTTATCATTTTTTATTGCGTCTATTTGATTCCTCTTTTTTTCTTTATTAGTCTTGCTAGCAGTCTATCAATTTTGTTGATCCTTTCAAAAAACCAGCAGCTGGATTAATTAATTTTTTGAAGGATTTTTTGTGTCTCTATTTCCTTCAGTTCTGCTCTGATTTTAGTTATTTCTTGCCTTCTGCTAGCTTTTGAATGTGTTTGCTCTTGCTTTTCTAGTTCTTTTAATTGTGATGTTAGGGTGTCAATTTTGGACCTTTCCTGCTTTCTCTTGTGGGCATTTAGTGCTATAAATTTCCCTCTACACACTGCTTTGAATGTGTCCCAGAGATTCTGGTATGTTGTGTCTTTGTTCTCGTTGGTTTCAAAGAACATCTTTATTTCTGCCTTCATTTCGTTATGTACCCAGTAGTCATTCAGGAGCAGGTTGTTCAGTTTCCATGTAGTTGAGCAGTTTTGAGTGAGTTTCTTAATCCTGAGTTCTAGTTTGATTGCACTGTGGTCTGAGAGATAGTTTGTTATAATTTCTGTTCTTTTACATTTGCTGAGGAGAGCTTTACTTCCAAGTATGTGGTCAATTTTGGAATAGGTGTGGTGTGGTGCTGAAAAAAATGTATATTCTGTTGACTTGGGGTGGAGAGTTCTGTAGATGTCTATTAGGTCCGCTTGGTGCAGAGCTGAGTTCAATTCCTGGGTATCCTTGTTGACTTTCTGTCTCGTTGATCTGTCTAATGTTGACAGTGGGGTGTTAAAGTCTCCCATTATTAATGTATGGGAGTCTAAGTCTCTTTGTAGGTCACTCAGGACTTGCTTTATGAATCTTGGTGCTCCTGTATTGGGTGCATATATATTTAGGATAGTTAGCTCTTCTTGTTGAATTGATCCCTTTACCATTATGTAATGGCCTTCTTTGTCTCTTTTGATCTTTGTTGGTTTAAAGTCTGTTTTATCAGAGACTAGGATTGCAACCCCTGCCTTCTTTTGTTTTCCATTTGCTTGGTAGATCTTCCTCCATCCTTTTATTTTGAGCCTATGTGTGTCTCTGCACGTGAGATGGGTTTCCTGAATACAGCACACTGATGGGTCTTGACTCTTTATCCAATTTGCCAGTCTGTGTCTTTTAATTGGAGCATTTAGTCCATTTACGTTTAAAGTTAATATTGTTATGTGTGAATTTGATCCTGTCATTATGATGTTAGCTGGTTATTTTGCTCGTTAGTTGATGCAGTTTCTTCCTAGTCTCGATGGTCTTTACATTTTGGCATGATTTTGCAGCGGCTGGTACCGGTTGTTGCTTTCCATATTTAGCACTTCCTTCAGGAGCTCTTTTAGGGCAGGCCTGGTGGTGACAAAATCTCTCAGCATTTGCTTGTCTGTAAAGTATTTTATTTCTCCTTCGCTTATGAAGCTTAGTTTGGCTGGATATGAAATTCTGAGTTGAAAATTCTTTTCTTTAAGAATGTTGAATATTGGCCCCCACTCTCTTCTGGCTTGTAGGGTTTCTGCTGAGAGATCCGCTGTTAGTCTGATGGGCTTCCCTTTGAGGGTAACCCGACCTTTCTCTCTGGCTGCCCTTAACATTTTTTCCTTCATTTCAACTTTGGTGAATCTGACAATTATGTGTCTTGGAGTTGCTCTTCTTGAGGAGTATCTTTGTGGCGTTCTCTGTATTTCCTGAATCTGAACATTGGCCTGCCTTGCTAGATTGGGGAAGTTCTCCTGGATAATATCCTGCAGCGTGTTTTCCAACTTGGTTCCATTCTCCCCATCACTTTCAGGTACACCAATCAGACGTAGATTTGGTCTTTTCACATAGTCCCATATTTCTTGGAGGCTTTGCTCATTTCTTTTTATTCTTTTTTCTGTAAACTTCCCTTCTTGCTTCATTTCATTCATTTCATCTTCCATTGCTGATACCCTTTCTTCCAGTTGATTGCATCGGCTCCTGAGGCTTCTGCATTCTTCTCGTAGTTCTCGAGCCTTGGTTTTCAGCTCCATCAGCTCCTTTAAGCACTTCTCTGTGTTGGTTATTGTAGTTATACATTCTTCTAAATTTTTTTTCAAAGTTTTCAACTTCTTTGCCTTTGGTTTGAATGTCCTCCCGTAGCTCAGAGTAATTTGATCGTCTGAAGCCTCCTTCTCTCAGCTCGTCAAAGTCATTGTCCATCCAGCTTTGTTCCGTTGCTGGTGAGGAACTGCGTTCCTTTGGAGGAGGAGAGGCGCTTTGCTTTTTAGAGTTTCCAGTTTTTCTGTTCTGTTTTTTCCCCATCTTTGTGGTTTTATCTACTTTTGATCTTTGATGATGGTGATGTACAGATGGGTTTTTGGTGTGGATGTCCTTTCTGTTTGTTAGTTTTCCTTCTAATAGACAGGACCCTCAGCTTCAGGTCTGTTGGAATACCCTGCCGTGTTAGGTGTCAATGTGCCCCTGCTGGGGGGTGCCTCCCAGTTAGGTTGCTCGGGGGTCAGGGGTCAGGGACCCACTTCAGGAGGCAGTCTGCCCGTTCTCAGATCTCCAGCTGTGTGCTGGGAGAACCACTGCTCTCTTCAAAGCTGTCAGACAGGGACATTTAAGTCTGCAGAGGTTACTGCTGTCTTTTTGTTTGTCTGTGCCCTGTGCCCAGAGGTGGAGCCTACAGAGGCAGGCAGGCCTCCTTGAGCTGTAGTGGGCTCCACCCAGTTCGAGCTTCCCGGCTGCTTTGTTTACCTAATCAAGCCTGGGCAATGGCGGGCGCCCCGCCCCCAGCCTCGCTGCCGCCTTGCAGTTTGATCTCAGACTGCTGTGCTAGCAATCAGCGAGACTCCGAGACTCCGTGGGCGTAGGACCCTCTGAGCCAGGGGCGGGATATAGTCTCGTGGTGCTCCGTGTTTTAAGCCCGTTGGAAAAGCGCAGTATTCGGGTGGGAGTGACCCAATTTTCCAGGTGCCGTCCATCACCCCTTTCTTTGACTAGGAAAGGGAACTCCCTGACCCCTTGCGCTTCCCGAGTGAGGCAATGCCTCGCCCTGCTTCGGCTCGCGCACGGTGCGTGCACCCACTGACCTGCGCCCACTGTCTGGCACTCCCTAGTGAGATGAACCTGGTACCTTAGATGGAAATGCAGAAATCACCGGTCTTCTGCGTCGCTCACGCTGGGAGCTATAGACCAGAGCTGTTCCTATTCGGCCATCTTGGCTCTTTGCTAAAATCTTAAATCATGAATAGAAGCTGTACAAATAAAGTTTATATTGGCATCAACTGAAATGAGCATATGATTTCCACCCTTTTGTTGGTTATTGTAACAAATTGCATTGATTTATTTGCTAATGTTCAAGCAGCCTTGCATTCCTAGGATAATGCCAACTTTGTTATTAGTTCTGTATTTTGTTAATATTTCATTAAGGATTTTTACATCCACCCCATTCTGTCCTTGTGTTTTGCTGCCTAGGTTATACCAGGATTAGATAATAAGTTGGGGTTTCCTCCCTTTTCTATTATCTGGAGAAGTTTAAGATTAAGAGCTACGGCCAGGTGCGGTGGCTCATGCCTGTAATCCCAGCACTTTGGGAGGCGGAGGTGGGTGGATCACAAGGTCAAGAGATCAAGACCATCCTGGCCAACGTGGTGAAACCCCGTCTCTACTAAAAATACAAAAATTAGCTGGGTGTGGTGGCTTGTGCCTGTAGTCCCAGATACTTGGGAGGCTGAGGCAGGAGAATTGCTTGAACTCAGGTGGCAGAGGTTGCAGTGAGCCGAGATCATGCCATTGCACTCCAGCCTGGTGACAGAGCAAGACTCCATCAAAAAAAAAAAAAAAAAAAAAAAAGATTAAGAGCTACTTCTTTCTTAATTGTTTGGTTGAACTAATCAATAAAGCCATGTACATCTGGGATTTTCTTTATTGGAAGGTTTTTATGCATTAAATTCATTTTGTGCTCTTCTCCACCAAGCTTTTCTATTCTTTATCATGTAATTTTGATAAGTTGTCTTTATATAGGGATTGTCAATTTTATCTAAATTTTCTTTTGAGTAATATAAAATATTTATAATGTCAACTTATCATTTTAGTATCTATATGAGTTTTTCAGTCCTGACTTTGATAATTTATCTGTCTCTTATTTTTCAAGATTAGACTAACCAGAAGTTTATCAATTTTATTAGCCTTTTAAATAAAATCAAGTTTTGGCTTTGTTAATCCTCTGTAATATATATTTGTTTTCTATTTCAATATTTTTCTTTTTTATTATTTTTGTCTACTTTCATTGGATTTATCTTGCTATTCTTTTTCTAACATACTAAAGTGAATATTTAGCTCATTAATATTAATGTTGTTTTATGCATTTTAAGGCTATACAATCCCCTCTAAGCACTACATTTGTTGCATCTCTCATGTTTTGATATGTAATATTTTTTTCATACAGTTCAAAATAATTTCTACCAGAGTAAAAAGTTATTTGAGAACAGGATGTTCACATCATCTCCAACTATCACACTACAGATTACTTATTAATTACAAAGTGAGAAAAGTACCTTGTGGCTCCTTGATATTTCACCTAACCTAGTGATCAAACTTGGCATCATCAAAAATGGGATAAACAAATTCTATGTCTCCTGATGTGAGGCAGTGGGAAGCATACAGCATTAACTATGTAGTTTTCTCACCAAAAATGTTTAAGCTAAACCTGATAATGAGGAAACAATCAGACATGGGGTATTCTATAAGAAAATCAGCATGGACTCTTCAAAAATGTTGATGTCATGAGAGACCATAAAATAAAACAAAGAAAAGAGGATTATTCTAGATGAAAGGAGCTAAAGAGCCATAACAACAGAAAATAATGCATGATCTTTAATTGGTCCTGAATACAAAAACAAACAAACACAGCTATAAATAATATTATTGGAACAATTGAAGAAATTTGAAAATATTCTGCAGTAAATAGTATTATAGCAATTCTAATTTTCTTGGGGCAGTAAGGATATTGTGGTTATATAGGGGAGCATCTTTATTTTTATAGAATATATAGTAAAGTAACATGGTGTCTGCAATTTTTTTAAACAGGCCATACACACACATATAGAAAGAAAGAAAAATAGTGTGGCAAAATGCTAACAACTCATGATTCTAAGTGAAGTGTATTCAAGTGTTTTTGTATTACTTCAAATTCTCTATGATTTTGAAATTTTTCAAAATAAGAAGTTGGGAAAATATTTTGTAAATTTTAGTGTAATTTCTTTTTTGAACCCATGAGTTACTTAGAAGGGAATCTCAATCTTTACAGATTTCTGATCACTTTTTGTTATTTATTTTTAAAATATTTTCCTTTCAATCTGAGAACATATTTTTCAAGACTTTAATTTTTTGAAATTGGTTGAAACTTGTTTTGTGGCCCAGTATATAGTCAATTTTTGTAAATGTTCAATGTGTACTAGGAAATAAAAGTGTATTTTGCAGGTGTTGGATGGAGTATTCTATAGATGCCCATTAGATCAAATTTGTTAGCTATTTTGTTCAGTTCTGTATTTTTACTGATTCTTGTCTGGTAACTGTCAGTTATTGGGAGAGGGATGTTATAATTTCTCACTATGATTGTGGAAATTACCTATTTCTCCTTGTGGTGTTGTTAATTTTGCTGTATGTATTTTGAAGCCATGCAATTTGCATATCAACTTAAAAGTTATTATATCATCCTGGTAAATTTTATCTGTATTATTACAAGGAATGTTGACTTTAAAGTCCATTTAGTCTGATATGGATGAAGCTATGCCTGAATTCTTTTTGTTTGTGTTTGGATGGTATATATCTTACCATCATTTTACTTTCAATTGTTCCATTTTCTTTTGTTTCTGATGATTTCTTATAAGCAGCATTTAGTTGGATTTTTTGTTTTTAATCTATTTATTTCAACCTATCTATATCTAAGTATATTTAAATAAAATTTCTAAATCCAAAAGATATTACTGTTTTATACAAAGTTCATTTACATGTAGCCACATATTTATCATTTTCATAGTTCTCTTTTTCTGCCTTTTTAACATTTGATCTTGTTTCATTTTCTTTTTTCCTTCTGCCTAAAGAGCTTCATTTAATGCTTTTTAGCATTCTTTAGCATTGATTTGCTCATAGATAACTCTCAATTTTTGCCTGAAATAATATTTATTTTGCATGTTTTATTGAAGAATATTCTCACCAGATATGGAATTCTAAGTTGTCAGTCATTTATTTTCAGTACATTGGATATATTAATCATCTGTTTTCTGCTTTCTACTCTTGTTGTTGAAAAGTCAGCTGTCAGTCTCACTACTGTTTCTTTTAAAAGTATCTGTCTTTTTCTCTGATTTCCTTTAAAAGTTGGTCTTTGCCTTTAGTTTTCTGCAATTTAACTATGATCTGTCTAGGCTGGATTTTATACATAAAATCGTCTGTTTTTCTGTCTTCTCTCCTTTGGGAATTCCAATAAACATAATGTGGACCTTCTCATTCTGTCCTTTGTAATCTCACTCTTCTATAGTTTCCTCCCTTTGGTCTCCCCCTGTCTTAATCTGGATAATTTCTTGTGATCCTTCTTCCCATCCACTGATTCTCTCCTCAGCTGCTGATAAAGCTGTCAATTGAGTTGTTAATTTTGATCATTTTATTTTTCAGCTCTAAAATTTGTATTTTCTCTTTGAAGTTGGCTTTGTCATGTTTCATATTGTCTCTTTCTTGCTGAAATTTTCATGCTTGGCTTTTATGTTCTTCAATATAATAAGTGGTAATTTTACAGTTTGTATCTAACAATTCTATATATGTCACCCATCTGTTACTTTTTTCTATCATCCGCTGTTTTCAATTACCCTTAGCCATGCTATCTTGTTTCCTCATGTCCCTGGTTATATTTTATTGTGTGCTGGATATTGTATATAAAAGATTATTTGTATCAATTATTTGTTACCTAGGATGATGCTACTTTCTTCTGGAAAAGATTTGCTTTTGCTTTTGCTGGATCCTGGAGGTGAGAGCAGTCTAGTATCACCTTTACTCAAAGTCAAAGGTTGGGATTTTTAGAGCCCCCGGATGATGGCAAAACCAAGCAGCAAATCCTGTAAAGGCTCATTTACTTCCTTTTCATTCTTCCTCAAAGGGTGCAGACTTCAAGATCTCAGTGAAAAGAGAGGTGCTTTACCTGGGTTCCCACATTTTGTGGGCCAGATTTTAACTTTTATCCTCTAGTCCCATGAAGCTGTCGAAAGTGCATCTCAGTGGTCTCCCTTCCAAATCAGAAAAAGCCCCTAGGACAGAAGTTGCTCTGAGAGCTTTTCTTAACTTTTAAGGTTACTGTCCTTTTCTGGATCTTAGTCTGATTGTTGCTCACCATCTCATAGCTCCTAGATGATTTTTAAGATGTTTCATATATTTTGTGCAGGTGAGTAATGTAATTGTCTCTCTGCTCCAAACCCATCTGTTATAGACTGAGTTGTGTCCAAGCCCCCTCCACCCTCCACCCGCACAACCACACACACACAAATTCCCATGTTGAAGCCTTAGCCCCCAATGTGATTGTATTTGGAGACAGGGCCTGTAAAGAGGGAATTAAGGTTAAATGAGGTGATAAGAGTGGTACCCTAATCCAACAGGACTCATGTCCTTATAAGAAGAAGAGTCTCTAGGGATGTGCATACACAGAGGAAAGGCCATGAGAGGACACAAAAGGAAATCAGCTGCAAGCCAGAGAGAAAGGTCTCAGAAGAAACCAAGCTGACTGACACTTTGATCTTGGACTTCCAGCCTCCAGGATTGTGAGAAATAAATTTCTGTTGCTTAACCCACCCAGTCTGTGGTATTTTGTTATAGCAAGACTGATACAACACTCTTCTATAATACTCCATCCTGTGATGTTGGGTCAGGAACTGTGCAAACCCATTTTTTCTTTCCAAGCTGGCTACCTAGGGGGCACTAGAGGAGATTGGAAGGCGGGAGATGGAGGAAAGGACGTTCTCCTTCCTGTCTGCTCCGTGTTCCTGTGAGCATCACACCAGAAGTATGGCTCCTTGACAGTGGCAGTTAAATCTAGTTTGCAATTTTCTAACACCTTCATTGCCACCCTTCCCCACCACCACTCCCCCATGAGATACCAGCACCACTGGTTGATGTCACTTCCTGAGAGGTCTGGGTCTCAGCCCAGTGGGACCCTCCTCCAAGCTTCTAAGTTTTTATAATTCCTGTATGTCTTTCCTTTGCTTCCCAGCCCCAGGAGTTGTAGCGGCCTGCAGCAGATGTTACCTTTGTAATAACTTAGTGTTCTCGTTTTGCGTTTTCCATTACCTGGTTAATAACTTCATACCTAGTTGACAATTCTTTATGTTAAATTATCTTCATTAAAATGGGTGATTTCTGTCTCTTCATTAGATTTTCATTGATTCATATTTCGTTAGTGTTTTATGTGTCTTCTGTGAGAGTGTTGGTCAAAATTGATGTTCTCCCATTAGCAAAATTAGAAGCTCCTGCCAAATGTTATTATTATGTTATTCAAACAATGGTTGCATTCGTTGCATCATCACTAAGGCCAAACCATGTAGTTTTTGCCCCAAGATAGATGATGGGGAAGTCCTATTTTTAAATGTGTCATTATCCTCTTTCATGGGGGGCGGATCTTTCAGCTTTGTTAGGAGAGATGTACACCTCTGGTCTCATATTGGGCTGTTCCCCTTTCAGACTGGACACAATGAAAGGTGGCCTGGCCTGCAGTTTAAAGGTTTGTGAAGAGCAGCTGATATGGTCACTCAATTTGAGACATCACCAGCACACATCATTACTGCATTTTGACTCAGGCTGAAGATGGCTTACTAACCACCTTGGCTTTTTAGACTTACAATGATGTGTCTGAAAAGGATCTTGCCTATCATCTGGTCCAATGCCCTCCATTCCTAAGTGAAGAAACTCAATCTGGAGGTCCTATGGCCTAATTAATACAAATCAGGAGTAGGACCCAGAATTGCTGACACTATTCCAGTTCTCCTTTCCTTCTTGGCTTTAGTTTCTTATGTGCCCACATGCCCATCCACCTCCGGCCTATCTTATGCTTTGTCTTCTGCTGTCCACCTTTCTAGTCCCCTTGTCTCCCTCAACCCTAATGCATACTGTGCTTCAGCTAAGCATCATCATTCATTCTTCCCTGAGCACAACACTGATGGTCTTTCTTCTGGACCTTTGTTCCCACTGTTTCCTCTGCCTAAGATTCCCTTCCCCCTAATCAAACTGTTAAAATCCCCACCCATCTTCAGGGTCAGTGTAAATGCAATCTCTGTCATGCATCTTTCCCTGGAATACAAAGCTGGAAATAATTTCTCCATCCTCTGTGTTGCTATGACACTCCGTATTTCTGTTGGAACATCCATTAGTTGTACCTTTTTTATAGTTGTTTATTCTCATTTTTTCTCTATAAAATTATCATCCACCTGCATGCAGAGATTCTTTCATCTTTGACCCTCCTCAGTGCCTATCACAGAAGCTTCCATAGAGTAATAATAATAATTGCTATTAAGCCCCATGTTTAAAGTTTTACGTGGATTCTCCCAATAACCCTATGAAGTCAATGCCATTATTAGTCTCATTTTACACATGAAGAACCTGAGACACAGAGAGATTAAGAAACTTGCCTAAGATAACACAACTGGGGATTCTGTCTCAGGGCTGCTAATGCCAAAGTTCAAGCTCTTATCTACAGTGCTGCACTTCCTTCTAAGGACTATGTGGGGACCTGAATCTATTTTATTGTTATTAAACACTGAAAAGATAATTTGTACTTGGAAAGTATTAAATACTTGAATCTATAAAATTAGTTGTTCTCCAAGTGAGGAAGAAAAAACGAAAACACTAAATAAAGGTTAAGATCCCTCAAATTTTTCTCAGTAAAAAGTGAAATGCACTTCAAATTATTTAAAATTTCTGATCTCCTCTCTCTATTTCGAGAGTAAAGTGTAAGTCCTCTCCCAGAAAAGAATGATTTTATAAAGTGTAATGTGGTTTATGAAACCTTTAAAATGTATGGAAGGAAAGAGAACAACACGAGTCATTATTATTAGTTGGCTTAAATGTTATGAGAACTCTTGTGGGTGAATAAGGGCTGGCATCACTTCAGGAGTCTGCCATTCTTGGATGGGTGTGGGATTATTGTGCTTTATTTTTATCACCTCAAGTGGGACAAAACTAACTACAGCAGTGTCAGTTCTGTAGGATACTAGATATTAGTATAGGGCTCATTTTCCTTACTGAACCCCCAAACCACTTGGTAGTTGAGGGGATTTTAAATGCAAGGATACATAACCAACCATTCCTCAGAACAAGGCCTTCTAAAACATTTGGACCTGAAAAGAAACCCAAGGAGTTAGGTCACAGTTGGCCGGAGTTACTATTATATTTTACTTGGAGGAACTACAACAAGGAAGTGATGGGTTAGCAGCAAGGTGGGACACAGTTTCGTGTTTACCTGAGAGGCTGCGTGGTGAAGTGTTCAAGCCTAAGGAAGCTTTGACAGCGGACAGACAGACCCCAGACCGCCCATCTGGGCCTGCCATTTAATAGCTCAGTGACATCGGCTAAGTTACCTAGACTGTAAGCTGCACTTTCATCCTGAGTCAAATGGGGATAATGATACTCATCTTAAAAGGTTGTTATGATGACTTAATAGCACAGTGTGGCTTCCCAGACCTGAGTAATTCCTATATTACCATATCTGTCAGGGTAATTTTGAGGAAAATTTAGGAAAGGGATCTGTTAAAAAAGTGTGGGCAGGGCTCAAGGGAACCAGCTGAGGGACAGTGCAGGACCCAAGGTTAGCAATTGCGGGGAGCTATTATCATGCCAGGCCTGAAGGGGGCAAGAGGAGAAAACACACACAGGACTGGGGAGCTGTTTAGAGAAGGCTTCAGGACAATGGCCATCAATGAAGGGCCCAGTCAGCCTGCAACGGTCCAGCTGGAGAGGAAGGAGGGAACCGAGCATGTACCTCAGCCTCACTCTCCGCCTACCTGCCATCTCCTGCTGGGGCCTCCCATTGGCTGAGGCCAGCAAAATGCCAGAAGCAAGGGAGTTGATGATATGGTCCATGTCAGTTAGCTTCCTGGTAGAGGACAGAGGGAAGGAGGCAGACAGAGGTGGGTGCAGAGGGGCAAATGGAACCTATCACTCCACTGCCTTGATTAATGTTTGCTCATTTCCCTTTTAAAATAAAATTTCCTTTTATTAACTGAAATAAATTTGCTTTCTAAAAGAGACTTCTTAAACCTCATCCTAAGCAATGATATCCATGAAATCATAGGTTGGATGTGCTAGTTTTTTTCCTTATAATATAGAGTAAAATCAATATTAAAATGGAAAGTGTGCACATATGTACTACATTTTGGGAAGTTTGGTCTCAGTTCAGAGCTTGGAACATAGTAAATACTCAAGACAGTGGTCATTTCTGTTGCCGGAAATTGCAGATGAACATGCAGAGGAACACATTGTGCATATTCAAGCTAACTTTAAAAAACGTATGTTACTATTACTAACATGATGTTTTCCCAATGCATTTTCTAACTATATATTGCTAATTTATAGAAAAACATGATATAAGTGAGTTTTGTGTATTTTTAAAATAACTGGTCCATCTTAATAAATTTGATTATTTGGTCCATTGATTTTCCATTAGATTCTTTTGGTTTCTCCAGCCAAACAAGCACATCATTTGGGAATGCTGATAAGTTTTTCCTCTTATTGCTGTTTAATGATGTCTTATCATAGTAGCTAGAACCTATAGGGCAATGTTGAACAACAATGGAACAACAATGGTGGTATCTGGAATTCTTTGTTTCTTCCTTACTTCAGTGGAAATGCTTCTAGCTTTTTGTTGTTTGATGTTTTTAGTAACATTAAACATGATGTTGGCTATTGGCTTATGAAAGATATTTTTTATCTTGTTAAGGCAGTGTTTTTATATTTCTGGTTGATGAAGAATTATTATCAGAACGGGCATTGTGTTTTACCAAATACTTTCTTTTTTCTTCTTTCTAAATATTTTTTATTTCAATAGCTGTTGGGGTACAAAAGGTTTTTGGTTACGTGGATGAATTTTATAGTGGTGAATTCTGAGATTTTAGTGCACCCGTCACTCAAGTAGTGTACATTGTACCCAATATGTAGTATTTTTTATCCCTCACCTCCCCCTTCTGAGTCTCCAAGGCCCATTATATCATTCTGTATGCCTTTGCGTACTCATGGCTTAGCTCCCACTTATAAGTGAGAACATACAATTTTTGGTTTTACATTCCTGAGTTATTTCACTTAGAATATTGGCCTCCAGCTCCATCCAAGTTGCTGCAAAAGACATTATTTCATTCATTTTTAGGGCTGAGTAGTATTCCATGGTCATATATATATATATATATATATATATATATATATATATATATATATAAGACCTATCAATAGTAGGTCTTATTCATTCTTTCTATTTTCTTTTGTACCCAGTAACCATCCCCACCTCCCCCTCAACCCCCCACTACCCTTTCCAGCCTCTGGTAACCATTCTTCTACTCTCTATGTCCCATGTTCAGGATTTTGAGGAACTAAACATGTACATAAAATTCAAGTACATAGTTTTCTGTGGTTCATAAGCATGATGATTGGGTTTTCATGCTTATGTGTGAGATGTGCCTCCCTCAAACCTTGTTACGACATTGGCACATTACCCATCTGATGTGAAAAAAATTACATACTATTTACTCTGATGAAGAATAAGGATGTAAGAGCCTATTAGTAAAATTGTATGTTGTGTGTAGAATAACGTTTAAAATAATGTTATATGACAAATAACTGTAGTTGCAGGTTCTCAATAAAATAGAAACATCCTTCACTGGTATGCAGGCTATTGAGTCACTATTTTACCTCCAGCACTTTAGTAGTTTCTCAAAGAATGAAGGGACCGAAAGTTAGAAGATTCTGTCTCAGCTGTTCTTGCCCTTTCAGAATAGAATTCCAGGCAGAGATTAATTTGGGCCTTGAAAATCTTTCTACTTTTTTTCTACTTCAGAATCAGACTTTTCTTTTTCTGTACCTACTTAGAGTAGGTAAGTTTATCCTAGTATGAGCAAAGACAACTAAGTAAGTAAGTAACAAACCAAAATGTAGCATAAAGGAGTTGCATGTATGTGTGTGATGCACACATATGCATGGAAGGGATGTACTTTACATTTGTTTTTTGTTGTTGTTGTCATTTTTTTTTTAATTTTAGTAGAGACGAGGTCTCACTATGTTGCCCAGGTTGGTCTTGAACTCCTTGGCTTAAGCGATCCTCCTGCATAGGCCTCCCAAAATGCTAGGACTGCAGACATGAGCCACCATGCCTGGCCACCTTTGTAATCTGCATAAATCTGGGTCACCCTAATGTTCACCTCCGCTTAGTGCATATTCAGAAGATACACTGCTCTAACAATCCAAAATAATTGAAAACCTATTTAAATTGTTTACAGCAGTATCCACAAAATGTAAAGAGGGAATTCCATTCATAGCACTCAGCCAAATTCCTCTTCACTCACCTTTCATCATAACTTCATCATCACAACTATTGCGTTATGAGGAAAGCCCCATTTCTTTTCAATCTCTTTTCTCTTCCTTGAAGTTACGTACTCTCGACCCTTCCCATTGCAAACCAATCAAACTCTTTTCAGTTCAAGCCCTCACCCATTGGCCAGATATGTATGTTAAGGCCCAATAACTATTAGGCAAAGGCAAAATCCTTACTAGGCAGAGTTTTTATTTTGTTTTGTTTTCCTATAATACATGCAGAAACAAAATTTCCAGGCAACCTTTAAACGTCTGCTTACCAAGGCCTTTAATTTTCCCCCTCCAGTAAATATTTCACCATGTTCTAATGTGATAGATTCTAAATCCCCTCCACCTCCATCAGTGAAATTATAGAACAGCCAATAAACGACAAGGGGTCAAAAGCAGGGAGACCTGGGTAGTCCAGGACCTAGCAAAGGAATTCTGCAAGTAATGGAGTGTTGCATTTGTTGGCAAAAACATGGTCACAAAAAGTACCGTCTCTTCTACTTGGCCTGGTTCCCTCGAAGCTGAAGTTTCCCAAAAAGTATTACTAAAGTCTCAAGAAAGAGCTACAGGAAGAACAAGGTGCATAAGGTGTCTCTCTGCTTCTTGGAGCTGGACGGTTTCCAAGGGCTGAGATACATCTAGATGGAGGAGGGGGCCCTGACTGCCTTGGGCTGTTTCTGTCCCTGCCTTTGCCCCTGCCCATGCCCCTCAGTCTCTAAAGCCCAGACACCCCCTCCAGCAGAGTGATGAGCCTATTTTTAAAGACCAGGCATACTCTGAATGAATAATGACCTCTCTTTTTCTCTACCCTGTGCCAATCAGTGACTCATCAACCATTTTCTAAATGACTATGTTTTCATTCCCCAGTTTCCTTCACAGTGCGATATTAGAGAAGATTAAATGCAGCCCCTAGCTGCCTCCCTCTGCTTTTCTGCGTCTTGTTTTAGAGATGTTAATGCCCCCAAAATAGAAGCATTTCATTGAATACTGATCATTTAGTGACAAGTGAAAACACACACACACAGCCGTGTTAGGGAAAGGTTTGTATGACTTCCAGGAGGAGGATGGGTAAAAAGAAAAGAAAGTGGTATCTTGGACTATGATGGCAAATGTGGTATCTCATCTGGACCTCATTCCCTGCCCCTCACTGGACTCCTAAATTTCCAGGCTGGGGCCCTTTATTTAGGAGCTACCTACACTTTGTATGGTCACTTTCTACTCCTTGCTATTCTCTTACTGCCAAATCGTTGTTTTCTTTTCTAGGGTTTTCTCTTCCTACTCCTGCTCCTGGACATCACTGTTTCCAAAATGAGGCTTGTCTTTTGTCCCAGGGGAAAAAAGAGGGTTTGGATGGTGAACATAAACTCATCACCATTTTTGGGCTAGTTATACTTCACTTATCCTGCTGCTGATGGGCCTGTGGTCTTATCTTCTTGACCAAAAAGAAGAAAAAAAAAAAAGAAAAGAAAAAGAAACCCAACAACCCAATCCCAATCCTTAGATGCCCCTTCTCTACTGTGCCAGGGATCTTCTCTTTGTTCTTCTCCACTTTGCTCTGTGGCCCATGAGCTTCATTTACATGGATTACATCAACAGAATTCTCTAGTCCACAGACTTCCAGATGAGTTTGAACTGGGGAGAGTATCAGAAGTAGATTTGGTGGGTTGGGGGTGGGAGGACAGTGAGATTTAGGTATTTATTCTGCTCAGTTCCATCTTTGGCCTGATTCTGTCCCATGCCCTAAGGTCACTGCTTCTTTCAAGAAAGACTGCCTACATTACTCTCTCCTTCTGGTAACCACTCTTCCTTTGGGCCTAGGGGTGGTAACAGCTCTGCTGCTAAGTCCTGAGTCCTTGCATTGTGCCCACTTGCTGCCATTGTGTAATTAGTCCCTCAGTGAAAGAACACCAACATGGCACATGTATACATATGTAACAAACCTGCATGTTGTGCATATGTACCCTAGAACTTAAAGTATAATAAAAATATTAAATAAATAAGTAAATAAGTACAATAAAAAAGCAGAGTTCATTATTTGTTTATAGCTTTTCCAAGAAAGCCTTATTGAAATATAATTGCTATTCAATAAAGTGCACATATATAAGAAATTAATTGTACACTTATACGTGTACACTCATGAAATCATAATCACAATCAGAATAAAGAATATATCCTTCAAAAAAAAAAAGAATGCTCTTCAAATCATTAATCGGTTTCCTCTTAAGATCCCAACTGGTCCTATCTTCACCTGTTCTCCGTCCCCACCCTGCCCTGTCGTCCTACTTTGCTCTGATTTTTCTCTCACTTCCTGCAGCATCTTCTGGCCTCCTTAGGCCTCTAGCATGAAGCACAGCGAGCCTTCTGAGGCATCTGCTGACCCTTAGAGACACAGCATCAAAGGGGCACAGTGGCAGGGATGAGCCTTTCTGGAGCAAGAAGTACGGCCTCTCAGAAATCTTCAGAGTTATGATCTCAACGTGTTGTGCATGAGCTTCAGTTGCTGGGGTTAAAGGATGAGGATTGATTTGGAGCTGGTCTCCCTTGACTAGAGCAGTGATTGAAAAAAAAAAATGGAGCTGGATTTTTTTATCATGGCTCAAGCCCTCCACATTACAATGTACTTGTCCTGAGCCTGCAGGACTTCTTCCTCTGTGAATCATTCCCAGATCATCTAAGGCTACAGTAAGCTCTACAGCAACTGCATCTCAATAATTATAATAATCATAATTATAATCATCATAATGGCTACCAATTACTGAATGCCAACTCTGAACCAGGCGCTCCGCCTGGTGTTTTGCCTCAGTAAACCAAATGGAAGTTCCCATCTCACTCTTAAGGGCTGGCTTCCGCACGGTATTTGAGAAAAGGTCACATTGAATCCCGATCCATTCCCAAGTTGTCCACTGGGGTCTCTCGGCTTCCCTGAGTCACGTGTTACTTCCGGTTCCACCAGGGGGCGCAAAGAACTTCACTGTGGGTGGAGGTCTGGAGCCCTAAGAGGGCCTGCACTTCGGTATGTCTGGGAGTTTTGCGGGGTGGGGGTGGAGGGGGGTGTAGTGATGATTGCCGAGTCCCAGCTCTCACTTTCCTTCCCGACACAGCCAGACTGTGATGCGGGTCTGTCAGTCTGTGAGGAAGGTTTGAGTAGCATCAAAGGGAAAACCGCCCGTGAAAGGAAGGATGAAAAATCGCAGGACCCTTTGAGGTGTTTAGCTGTCACAGGCGGACTCTTAGAAGCACACCCCAGTTCATGTCCTGGCCCTGGCTCTCCGCTTCCACCTCAAGTCAGCTCTCTCTGTGGAAGCCCTTCCTTCTTCCACCTCTGCCTCTCCCCTTTTGGAAATGTTCATCCACTGGGACCGTTCTCATCCCCAGGATGCATCCCTCTTCCCCCAGCAGGACCCCTCCTCCAGTGTGAGTTAGTCAATGGGAGGACCTCTGCCCTGTCCCCTGGGTGGCATATATCTGTTCTCTCTCCCTCAAGACCTGCACGCTAAGGTGAGGGACAGATGCATGTCTTTACTCTTCAGTTTGTGTTGACAGTAGCTGTGGGCAGCGCTCTCTCTCTCTCTCTCTCTCTCTCTCTCACACACACACACACACACACACACACACACACACACTTGCAGAGATCTCCCAAGGACAAATATTGATTCTCGGGATCAACATAGTCTACACCCAGATGGAGAAAGAATTCTTTCCCTAAGTGCTTCCACACTTTGCAAGGCCCCTCTCCCGCAGTGAACTTGGTACTTCACATCATTATATGATAGCAGTTGGTTTGTCTATTCATTTTTCCCTTTCAAGTTGCTCAGTCTCGGCTCTTTGAGAATGGACTCTTTAATGGCCACCCCTTTCTCTATGCAAAGACCCAGTCCAGGTGGAGAGATGACCAACTATATGAGATATTGCATTTCTTAGTTAAGGTCCCTCCTCTGCCCGATGGAGTGGGTTTGGTTTCATTCCTCCAGTTCCATATATCTTAAGCTCTAGACCCTCACAACTTCCTGGGGTGGCTGAGATTCTTTTCCCACATTCTTTTCCCTAGTGAATGGCCCATCAATCTGGGGACCTAGGAATTGGCCTTTTCTCCTTTCACGCTCTAGCCCTTATATCACATACATTACCAAGTTCTGGTGATGTTAACTCCTTGACTGTTTCTGGAACCTATCTGCCTCTTTCCATTCCTCCCACTTCCACCACTCCCACCACTGCCGGCATGGTGGCTGCCAGTCCGTTCATCCCGTCATCCTTCCCATCCCTTATCTGCCATTGCTGTTCACTTTTTCACTAGTTGTATGTGATCATGCCTCCCCCAACTAAACTACAAGCCCATGAGGGCAAGAATTTTGTCCATCTGGTTCACTTCTGTATCCCTGGTGCCTGGCACAGTGCCTGGTAGGTAATAGGCGTTCAATACTTACTTGCTGAATGAATGAATAAATTGTTGAGTCCAATTCACTTATCTCAGAGGCTGGGAGATAAAGCCTCTAGCACTGTCTTGTATACAGGAAGCTGTCGAAGAATACCTGTTGGATAAATGAGTATTTCTTTTGCTCAAGGCCATGTAGCTAATTAGTGGCAGCACTTAAATCAAGTCTTCTTACTCCAGGTGATTCATATTCTTGGCTGTACATTAGAAACACCTGGGGAGTTAAAAAAATTCCTGATGCCCAAGCTATACTCTAGACCAATTAAAGTAGAACTTCTTGGTGGGGTCTAGGTGTAAATATTTCTTAAAGCTTGCCAGGTGGTTCTGATGTTCAGCCAAGGTTGAGAACCGTATTAAATCATGAAGTAGCGCCAAGGTAACCCCACACTCCTCACACTGCATCTAATAGAAAAAGTTTGAGAAAAATTAAAAACCTCACTGAGTGAATTGAACATTGAAGGCCCTCAAATAGTGGTAGCTTGTGGGAGAAAGAGAGCACGTCATCATATTGGGTTGGGGTTGGGGCCATACCCTGGTAAGAACCAACATGTGTTAATCTCCAAAAGTGAACCCTGAGGGCAGAGAAATTGTTTTGTAAGGTGGGTGTAGGCACTAGAAGAAAATAGGTAATAAGAATGTATTCGAGACTGGTTACTGGGAAGCTATTGCCTAATAATCCTCTTAGACCACAGAAGAGTAACTACAGGGATTTGAGGTGGATTTTTTGTTTGCGTCATTTAAAATGGGCAAATCTCCAGCTGTGTTTACCAAGGAAACCCTTTTAGGCAATGATGGGTAATAGGTTGGAGGAGTTGTTTTCTCCCAGAAAAACATCATGTTGGATAGCCGTAGTACTTGGTGGTTCATATTATCCCAGAATCGCCAACCCCTTTGCTTGAGGCTTGTTTTCAGGACTGCCATATGTGAAGCTGGGAATTATGACTTGAAAGAGAAGTGAGAAAAGAAAGGATGGGTGACTTGCCCAAGGATTGCTTTAAGTCATTGAAATCACTGGGAGAGAATGCTGTTCTCAGAGTTCCCAATTTTGAGCCCCTGCTCCATCCTTGGGATGTTACCCTAACCGCAGAGGGCCAATGTCATGCAATTAGAACTCCTTACAATGACAGTTTCTTAAATACATTACTGGGTTTCTTAAAATATGAGGGAACAGCAAAGTAAACCACTGTCCAATAGCACAGAATTAGATTTTGTCTATTTGTAACATATATAATAAATAGATACTGACATTAATATATAAAGTACTTAAGTTAGGTATTATGACTCAATACAATGTTTAATTGAAATACTATGTTTACATGGCCAATACTTCTATTTATAAAGAATTGCCCAGAGGGATTTTTCAGAGCTATGAAGATGCATGGACTAGCCTGTCAATTTATTCTAGGTTTTAGCCATTCAAGTGGCATACACAGGAGAACAAGACTAAGGAGGAAGAAAGGTTATACCGATTCCAGGGCTTTACTAAGATGGAATCCTGTTTTGGGTGGAAAAACCAAGCCATAGTTATTGTAAAGCTGATGGAATTGGCCCAAATGGAAACTCAATTGCAGTAGCTTTTCTTACCTCCCAAGTCTAACAGTTCTCTCATGTTACCTTCATTTTACACATGGCTTTATTCCTCTGGTGTGGACATAATCTGCAGTGTACATTTCATGTGTTTTAACATTAAAAACAATAAACCAGCATGCAAGAATTCAGCATGGATTAATATTGAAAACATCAGTGGTTGGAAACATGCAATCTTGAAATCAGAAGGGTCATTTAGGTCAGTTCCTTCCCTCTAGGTATTTGAATGTTTAAACACCAAGATGTTGAGTTTGGAGACAGGTCATTGTAAAAGATCTCTAGGACTAGAGAGTCCATAAACTCAATTCAGGGTTTTTACAGTCAGGAGACTTGTATCATTTGTTTATTTCATATATTATCATATTTTTTCCCCTGGGTGAAGCCCAATTCTTCTTGTTTAGAAAAAATTACAGTATAAGAAGACAGGTCCTAGGGCAGAGGAAGGTTTCATAGGCCATAGGACACTAACAAGGTAGTCTTTGGCAAAAAAGTGGTCACCTTAGGGCTGTGCAATGAAAGAGTAGGGAAGAGTGGGGCAATGTTCTACTTTTGAATACTTAAGAACTGTTATCTAATTATCTACTAATATGATAAAAGATTAAGTTCCCAAGGCATGCTACAGCTGTAAATTGAGCTTATGGTAGAACAATCATAGTTACTCAGATCATATGTGATTTCAAAAATCAGCTCTCTCAGCATTTCCATTTTATGGACGCTTGAATCCCTTTGAAAGTAATGCCATCTTTCCAGTTCCTTAAAATATTAAAGATCATTTTCTTCTTTTTGTACGGTAAATAATTTAAAAACCCAATTTTAAGCAAATACTGTTTAATTTTAGGTTAATAATTGATTAAACAAGTAATTAAAACTTACTAGGAAACACAATGTAATTTTTTACTACTATTCATAATCTATAAAAACAAATTTTAATATTTTCCTATTTAACAAATGACATTATTTATCGGCCTTAAATTGCTTATATAATAAAAACTAGACCGTCAACAAATTAAATTGACATATTATTTTGTATGTGGTTCTGGGACTGAATGTACATCAAAATTCAGTAGAAATTTAAATCTATGTTCAGACATCAAAATAGACAAAAACTATTTTCATGACATGATGTTAATAATTTATATTGTACTTTTTATATATGACACATTTGAAGGTTTTTAAAAATGATAATGTGGGATAAAAGTTTTAATGCTATTTTCAATGAGCATAACAAATCACAGTGTGAATAGTTTTTATTTAGTGCAAATGCAAAATGGTAAAATTATCACTATACTTTCTAAATTTAACATTAATTATTGAGGTACTGGAAACATCCTGATGAGTACATAAGATTTTGATACGTTGAATACTGATCTAGAGGAGATTATCATAATTATTCCTGTTTTTATGCTTCACATTAACTTGTGCCTCAATATTAAGAACGCTTATGCATCTTATCTTATGCACTGGCCAATTGAGGGTCAAATTATGATTAACAGTTAAAACTATTAGCATGTTACACTGGTCAGAACCAACAAGGTGGCTAGCTATGTTTAGTTGGATGATGATATATTGTGTGAGTTATAAGCAAGCCCCTCTAATTTCTACTAACCTTAATTCAAATGGGAATGGTTTCTGATGGTTTGTTCCAAAGGAGAAATGCAACAAATTCTATTCCTTATTAATTAAAGAAAAATGGCTACAGACACTGCCTTAGATCAGGATCCCAGGAGCAGAACCTGAGGTGGGGAATTTTCAGTGCAGATGATTTAGTAAGATAATGCTCCCAGGAGAAACCTGTGAAGTATGAAGGAAGCAGAGGTGGCAGGGGAAGGATCTAAGCAAAGATGTGGGTTCAGGAGAAGGCCAGCCTCAGCCTGATGCCATAGAGAGTGCTGGAGTGTGAGTACCAGCACAGGGTTTGTTTTGCACTCCACCATTGAGTCATTGGCCATGGGCTTCCCTTCTTGGGGGATATAATCTTCCAGGCGGGACCCTCTGAGATACAGGAAATCCTCCAGAGCAGGGTGCACCTGTGAGCAGTTAACATCCACAGACATGGGGGCTGAGTGTGCTGGCTGGGTGAAGAGAATCTGGAAGGGGAATCAACCATCACCTGCTACAGACATAATTTCTTTTTATTATTTTAAGTATATAAACCCAGTAGAAGCAGCTCCTGAATACATAAACTGTTTGTTGTGGAACAAATGAATGTTTAATATTGTGTGCCTGTCTCTCCCTAATTGTCTCTCCCTAATTGGAAGTTAAGCTCCATAAGGGCAGGTCTTGATCTCATTAGTTTGCAGATGATTCCTTGGTTCCTAGAATAGCCACAGACACATAGTAGGTATTTGTTGGATAACATCTATGGAATGAATGAGACAGATCCAGAACCCTCATCTCCTGAATTTTGTAGCATTGCTTTGTAGGGAATTGGTACTCCTGCCAGTCAGAACCACATCTGACTGCTTGTACAGTGGCCGACCCAAATAGGGGCATTTTTCTCACAAATACAAGAAATCTGGAGTAGGGCAAATCCAGGTATGGGAGGACACTTGGCTTTATTATTTATAATCCAGGAGCCTTCTCTCCTTTAGCTTTACCATCCTTTGCATGTGACTTTTATCCTCATGTATGACACAGTCACAGGATGGCCCTTCCATCTCAGTCTGGATTCCATTCTGGTGTGTGTGTGGGGGATGGGGGGAGATGAAAAGGGAAGGAGCAGGAAGCAGCAGCTCCTGTATCAGGAAAACAGAAACATTTCCAGAAATCTCTAGCAGATTTCCATGTAGATGTCCTTGTCCAGAACTGTGTCATCTGGCCAATCCTGAATGCAAGGGAGTCTGGGACTATGAGCAGATTGGCTGGTGACATTGCCACACAGGACAAAATTGGGATTGCGTTAGGAAGGAAGAAGGGGATAACGGGTGTCTGCCACTGTAGCAAAACTACACCAGGCCTATGGGTGTGTGAATACAAATACCCAACAGCAAAGAAGGCAACATTCAAATAAAAACAGAAAATAATTTTAAAAACTCAAAATCCCTGCTTTCTTCTTTTTCTGCTTCTCTATCCTTTTATTATGACTTTCTTAGCAACCAAGGTGAAGTTGTCCCCAAAGTCAGTAGGCAGGAAATACTTTAAACGTGTTTCAAAACAGATCAAAATGAAGCTGTAACTAAGGCACTTGCCTACAGCCCTTTTTTTCAACAAAATTCTTGTACCACTGTTTATTTTCATCCTAGTGGCCTGGTATTCCATCTGTACACTAGTGAGTGTGTAGGATGGTCACCTTTTAAATTCTTTTTCTCTACAGTAGGAAATTCAGACTCCTGCAATGTTTCTGCTAGTGTTGTCGTTACTATAGGAGACTCCTAGCTGCTATTGTGCTTTATAGCAAGTCTTGAGTTTCTCCATGGAGAAGGTTTTATTATTTCCAGACTCTTATTGAACCCATTATGAGGCCATCGAGACAGGATGAGAAATAAAAATGACTACTTTGTGCACTGGGCTGTTATTCCTGGATCTTTACAATTGAAGTGGAGAAAGAAAACACCTCCGAAAAAATAATTTAAGAGGCATGGCTGGTTGGTTGTCTCAGATTTGATCCCAGGAGTCCTGTAGTTCATGCACAAATATGAAAAGGACCACATAAGTACGTTTTAGTGACATTTTTTAGTTACAAATCTCCTGGTGATAAAATCACCTTTCCCATTAAGGGTCATCTGGGTGCACAATTTAAGGGTTGGCCTTTCTATTAAAGTGCCTTTGCTTCAAGAGTTCTGAATTTCCATTTACAGAGGAGTTTTCTCTGAGTGTTTGATCATGCTGGGTTTGAAGTGGTGTGTTGATATTTTTGTGCCTTTGTGTTCCCCATTCATAAAATTGGTTGTAATTTTGATTGTATTCATGAGGAGGTACCGAGTCAAATATCCTGGCCCCAAGAGGGTAAGACACCATTTCTGCAAGTAGATTTGTTAGCTAAGTTCATCAGAAGGGTATAACAGTTCCTTCCAAAGAATAAGACTCACACCTAGTATTGCTAATTGGCCAGATATTGTTTTTGTTATTTGTTACAGCTTGTCTAATGCAATATCATATATTATTATCCAAGTGAGCATCTTACGGTGATGTTAACTTGTTATACACCCACATAAAATATGTTATTCTCTGGTTTTCTTATTAGATTTACTAACATGTCATTGTTGTACCATTAACATTTAACAGCCTAGGAAGAGGAAAGAACATGCTATATTATACAACTCTTGGCAAAGCCAACACTGATATAGAGAAGTCATTAAGCTTCAGGAAGTTTTTACTTTCTTGTATGCAATTTCTTATCATTAATATACAGTTTGTATTCCTCCCAGGCCCCCTGATTTTGTAAAGGAAATAGAAGGAGAGAAAGGCGGAGGGGAGCCAGGAAGAGACACAAATGAGACTGAGCCATTTCTAGTGCCTGCACTTACATCAGTGATTAATCAAACTAATGGGGAGTTCTAATTCGGTGCTTTGCTACCCTTAAGCCCTGTAATTGCGGTGTCTCTGAACCCAAAGGAAACACGTTGCGCTCTGCATGCCCAGGCGCATAGCTTTTAAATCTTCATAACTCTGTAATTACTACAGTGCTTTCCTTCAAATCTGGCTCAATTTCACTTCCTTAATGAGCACCACAATCTTGATAAAGTTTGAAGTTTGCTGCCTCTGCTGTTCACAAGGACTCAACCCCAGACTGATAATGTGAGTTGTAGATTTTACTCCCTCAAGTTTCTCTCCAAAAGAGCTGATTTATTACAGGACCACCACAGTCAAAAGCAATTCCTCTGAGTCAAGGCCAGCACTGGGTGTTTTCATCACAGAAGGGTGCTTGGGGAGGAAATTCTGAACAGTTAAAAAGTGGGGGGAGCTTATGAACTCCTGGAGAATGGCCGTTTAGCTTTATTAGCACCCTATGCCCTAGAGACTGTGGTTCATCCTACCTAATTGAAGACTTTTCTTCATAGGAAATATATTAAAAATCTTCCACTTCCTCTTTATAAACTGAGCCCTGCCAAAGAGTGAAAATTATAAATCAGCTATTTTTTAAGAGAAAAAAACCAACATAATTTCCACATTATTTCTCCTACCGCCTGGTTTTCAGGGTTTTTAAAAGACTTGTTGGGAATGCCATTTAATGATTATAGTCAAAAGCACATTTTCTCCTGCAGCTGGTTGGAGGGTGTCTTAATTTTAGCCACTGTTTTGTTTTTAACCATGTAGCGCTGCCTCGTCTTGGCTTTGGTCTTTCCGTTTCTAACCTGTGAGAACCAGCGCCGAAGCTTGCGTTGTCTTTAGAATCCCTGCTCCAGTCTATGTTCCCCCAAGACAGTGTTAATCGCTCTGGGATTCTGAATAGCACTTAATTCTTATCTCTATTATAGCTTGCCTGGCGTTGCACTACAATTATTTGTTTACGTGTCTGTCTACCCCACTAGACAACACCCTTTGAGAGCAATGTTTATGTCTTCTTTCCTTTTATATCTCTGGCAGCTCACAGAGGCCTAAGCACCCAATAAATGTTTGCACTCAGTAAATGGAAGCATCCGGTCAATGTTTGTTACATCACCAAAGGAACGAATAAGTGAATGAAACTCCATTGTTGTTTGCTATCACCATCTGCTTTAATTCTGTCAGTTATTTTGAGTTACGTATTTGCAGTTCTGACTAAATCCAGATTTGGCATGTTTAAAATTATATTCAGTTGTAAAATGTGAGGCTAGGATTTTTGAAGATTAGAAAGAAGTAAGAATTTCTCCCACAGGAAACAATGTGAGTAATCAACAGTTCTCTGCAAAGGAAGATAAAAAGGCTGGTTGGCATAGTCTTTGTATTCACAGTCTTTGGCATTTTGGGAAAACCATTTTAATAGCATTATTTTTTCTGCCCATGTTTTCCTATCAATAAAATGCAGAGAGAAACCCCTGTCCTTCACACTTGATAGACTAAATGAAGATTTTTAAGGAAGAAAAGCACAAGCTGAAACAAGGGAAAACCTTCAATGGTAGTATATAGTCTTTTTTCTCCCTCGAAACTATACATATGGTAGTTATCAATATATGTGTAAATATATTTATGTGTATGGTGGATTAATATTTTGATGTATTAATGAATATGTTTCTCTCCCAGTGTTTCATGGGAATACCTGTACACAAAGCCACATTCAAAGTTCCTGAACTGGAAGAACTTGGACTTTAGAGTTGCAAAAAGTAAGCTATGAAGGCTTTGGACATCATAAACCACACATATGGAAGAATGCATGCTTCCTCATTCAAGATGGCATACCACCATGGGCTGTGAACTTCCTCCCATGAGCCAGCAAAACTAAAGGAAAGAGGGATTTGGGGACTCTCAGAGCTCAGCAACTAACATTAAACTTTGCAGAAACTCTTGGAAAGCCTGACAATGGTGGCCTCCTGGTGTGGGAGAGAGAGGAGTGAGTAACATCTTTCTGTGACCCTTCAGTCGGCTATGTGTATGAGCTCTTTCCATATGTTTTAAGGCTCTCTGAAGTTTATCCTTTATTTTTCCCTTAAGGTGTTGTTCTGTACTGTAACTTTATTTGTAAGTGCAGTTTAAGTGTAGTATAGCCATGAGCTCGAAAAAGTTTTCTGCTTCATTGTGAACCACATGACTCTCCAACGATTTCCCAAGAATGACAACCTCACCCTCCTCCACTCCTCACCACCCAATTTCAAATCTGCTCTTCTTCCTTCATGAGATATTATAACATTGCATTTTATGTACAAACTATATTTATTTACTTTCAAATTGTAGCCCTTCACCTATGTAAACTTGCTATAGTTTTCTATCTGTGAAATGGTTTAAGTAACTTAAGTTGGGATGGAATGCTCATAATTTTTTCCAATAAAATTAATGCAAATATTTTTTATTTAACAGGTTTTTACTTAGTGGCAGGACTTTTTAGGAGTAGATTACATTGATTAAATGAGGAATAGGTTCAATTAGGTGGAGGAAAAGACACTTCAGTCACTATAATTCAATGATTATGCTAATGTGCCCCGTGTATCTCCTGGCATTTCTTAGCCAAAAGAAATATTTTCAAGTATAAATAATGGTAGGATATTCAAATCAGAACATTTTTAGCGAAGAGTGTTTTAGGAATCTCTGCTTTGCCGCTTGTGAGGTTCTATAGGAAGCCTGACTAGGGTTCCGTGGAGGCATGAGGACAGCCAGGTTGAGGACAGTGGCGCTTCACGGTGCTCTCAATGCCAATCTTCAAGTTCAGCAAAGCCCTTCTTCCTTCTGGGCTGGAGCAGGCAAGAATGTAACTGTGGGGCGTGGTGACACAGACAGGATCTTTCATTCATTTTACAATGGCATACAGTTTATACTGACTAAACATTTGAATTTATGGGCGAATTGTGCTGGCCTTTGAGCTGCATGAATGACTGCTGGGAATTAGGCGATGGGGCCATTTAAAAATGTTTCCTTTCCCTTCTATTTTGGCTACAAGTGCACGGTAAATAAACATGTGTACATGAATAGTGGGGAGGCGGTGTGATTGGGAGAGATCAACACACACATAACAATCTGGTGTAACAATCAGGTGTAACAACCTGGCTTTAGAAAGCAACCTTGACTTCATCAGAACTTTTTGTGGGAAAATTTGGAGTAAAATGTCACAATTCAGGATTTAAACAAGAAAGACACAGCTCCCACGTATGCTGAAAACTCATCAGCTTAAGACTATTCACATGTCCTGTCAGGATTACATGTGTTGCTACCCTTTTTAAAATTTCAGTATTTTAGTTCTAGAAAGCAGGAATAAAACCCAAAAATGTGTGTAGGGGTGTGTGTGTGGGGGTAATTCACATGGGAGGGACTTGAGTTGGGAAAAGGGTAGGATGGGGCCAGCAGGCTGTCTTGAAGCTGCCTTCCCAAAGCTAGCAGTTTTTTATTTAGATGGTGTCACTAATGTAAAACAATCGTTACATTTTCTAAAGATACCTTTATTCATATCTTACAGAGGACTGGGAAAACATCAACCAACCATATCAATGAATATGATCATTTGTATTAGGTTTGGTTTTGGTGACTTTGAAGGAGGGTGTCTTTCTCCCCAAATAAAACAAAAACAAAAACAAAAACAAAAACAAAAACAAAAACGTAATGTGCTCTTGGAAAGGTCACTGGGGACCACCACCAAAGGAAGGGGAGGGGACAGCGAGAATGAAGGAGATCAAAAGCCAAAATTAAAGGTTTTTAAAATTTTAACCAAAGGGCTTTATTAGCACACAAGTCAGAGTCAAGGAGATTACAAAGAGGGCACTCCTTTTTGCATCCTTGAACTGTGCTTTGAATCATTTTGAAATCTCGGCTTGAATCTGAGCTGATCACTTGGGGGCAGACACTAAGGTAGCTGGCCTGTTTTTTAGCTTAATTACCCCCTTGAACCCTTTCTCTCCTGGGCCTTTGCCCTTCCTTTCTGATCACTTATTTTGGGAGCCCTGGAAGGAACTTGCCAATAATCTGAAACTCCCTTTAGGAGTGAGAGTCCCACACCACTTATTCATTGCCCCTGTCAATGCTCAGATGGGCCCGCTCCACTGGCACCCTTGCTATTAATAGGACAGTGCTAGGTAAGGGAGAGTGAGAGGCAGGGCAGCCTGTTGCCACAAGGCTTGCTAACCAGATGCCTTTAATATCCCTCATTGTTCTCCATGCTTCCATGTGTTTAGGGAGAAGTGTCTGGCTTGCCTACCCAGCAGAACTCATGTTCAGAATTTTGAACGTATTAAAAAGTCAAGCTCAATTTAAAAACAGCTAGCTCAACGCTTTTCAGATTTGTGAGATAAAAAACAAACCTTAAAAGACCTTGTTCCAAAATATTCTTTTCTTTCATTTTTTATTTGGAAACAAAACCAAATTTAAAGTTGCAAGAAATGTACAATGAACCCTGATATGCCCTTAACCTAGACTATTTTGAACATTTTGCCATATTTTGTTTTTTTCTCCCTTCATACATACACATCTTTATTATCATCATTCTTCTTCTTGTTGTTACTGAAACATTTATGTGTACTTTGCAGACATCATGGCCCTTTACCCCCAAAGCCTCAGCCTGGATCTTTTATGAACAAGGATATGTCCTTGCCGAAAATTTTGGTTTTTTTTTGTTTTTTTTTTTTTGTTTTGTAGAATAAGACAAGGGTCTGTTGAAGCCTTTAAAACCAAAGCGTGGGCCAGTCCAAAGTGCTGACTGTTGGAGCCTCCTCCCTCTCCCGCCTTTAGAGGGAGGAGAGGAGACACCACCGCAGGTCTGGAGGACTTTATTGTTGCCATAAAACATATTTTTTCCATGTTCTCTTTAGAAACACGAAAAGAGGCTGCATTCCCAAGATCTGGCTTGTGGCTTTAAAATAAAAAATATTTTTACAGTATACTTTTTGGAGGCATGAAAGCACGTGTTTTATTAACATTTCCCAAACTCTTTTTACTGACGGCATACAGCCTGCAGCCTGCTGCAATCGAAAATGCATGCCTTTTTAGAAATTATACCTTTCAGTTAACTGAAGGGGAAAACTTTCCCTTCTTCTGTAAATCATCATCTCTCTGATGGAGAACTTTAAAAATCCTGTGTATGATCAGCACAGTAGGGTGACGAGGAGGTAATGCCGTTTATCTCACCCAACGTGCAATGAGTTTCGTAAGCAGTTTTCTGGGGATTTTGCTCATTGGTGGTTTGGGTCTCATTCACGATATTCTATAGAGCCCGTGCCCAAAACAGGGGGCCACGTGATGCCTGGGAAGGGGTATAAACAGCACTCTGGCTGCTCTGGCCACATGGAGATGCGCCTACGCCCTTTGCCCTCCCCAGTTGTCTCCTTGCGTTCATAGAGCCCGGGGATCTCCAAGGAGCAGCCCAGTTTTCCCTGTAAGAACCCAAAGGTCTTGTACAGAGCTGGAATTCGGCGAAAAACTTGCTCCAACACGCCAAATCTGCCGCATCCTCAATACCCCACCCTCTTCCCTCTGCGCTTACTGCCCACACCCCTACTCCCAACTTGAGGACTCCCCGCCCCCACCACGCTGACAGTCTCAATTCCAACCCCTTGGATGTGAGGAAGTGTCTTTGCGCCTGAACGCGCCCAGCACGGCGAGGCCACCAGTGACTCCCAGCGGCCGCACAGGGCGCTGCGCCCCCCTCGCCCCGGCCTCCCCCGCCCTGCGTCCGCCCCGTCACCCCCGCGCGGCCTCCTGCGCCCGGGCTGGAGGCAGATTCCTCTCTCCGGGTTTTCAGAGCGCCTTTCCGAAACCTCCTCCCCGCCCAGCCAGGGAGAGAGATCCCGGGCGCAATCGCTCCCCGGAGCGGCCGAGGGGCGCGCGGGGAGAGGCCTGCGCCGGGGTACTTTCAAACTGAGGCGCGCGCACACACTCACACCCACCCACCCACTCACCCACACACACACAGACACACGCACGCCCATTTATATAGGCGGCGGCGACGGCAGTGGCCGGGGTGGCGACGGCGAGCACAGAAACGATGGAGTTGAGCCAGTCGACCCTGGTTGGAAGCAAGTGAGAAGAGACCAGGCGCACCCCTAAATTTCTGTGCGGAGCGCTTGTCATCCTCCCCAGGGAACGGTGCACCCAAAGGAGGACTGGCTGGACTGATTTGCTAGGGAGAGGGCGGGGAAGAGGAGGCAAGGTGAGCAGAGAAGCCCCCTGCGTATCCGGACTGCCAGATCGCGCTTTTGCCGGACTCCTGCCCCCTCCCTGCTCAGGTGGGCGCGCCCGGTCTCCAGCTCACAGGGGCGCTTGGAGGAGACCAGAAAGTCGCCGCCTGGCTGCGCGGGATGCCTTTCGCCAAGCGGATCGTGGAGCCGCAATGGCTGTGCAGGCAGCGGCGCCCTGCGCCCGGCCCAGCAGTGGACGCGAGCGGAGGCAGCGCTGAGCCGCCGCCGCCCTTGCAGCCGCCGGGCCGGAGGGACCTGGACGAGGTCGAGGCGCCAGGGCCAGAGGAGCCAGCCCGCGCCGTCCCTGCACCTTCAGGGCTGCCACCGCCGCCGCCGCCACTGCCCGCGCCGGCCGACCAGACTCAGCCGCCGCACGGAGAGGCGTCCGTGGCTGGCGAGGAGAGCACGGCGGGGATCCCGGAGGCGGCGCCCGCAGCCGGCGAGGCGTCCTCGGCGGCGGCGGCGGCGGCCGTGCTGCTCATGCTGGACCTATGCGCGGTCAGCAACGCCGCTCTGGCCCGTGTCCTCCGGCAGCTCTCGGACGTGGCCCGGCACGCTTGCAGCCTCTTCCAGGAGCTCGAGAGCGACATCCAGCTCACCCACCGCCGCGTCTGGGCGCTGCAGGGCAAGCTCGGCGGCGTGCAGCGCGTCCTCAGCACGCTTGACCCTAAGCAGGAGGCAGTGCGTGAGTACCCGCGCCGTCCGCCCGCCAGGCTATGGGTTTCTGCGCCGCACCCTCGCGCCCTCCCCAGCAGCGGCAATCCCAGCCCCGCGGCGCCGCTCCGGTTGCAGCTTGCACCTTACTACTCTCGCCTTCCCACCCTTCCCATCCCCTGGGACCCACCCCAATCCTCCTGGGGCTGAGTGGCTGGGCTGGACCCCGATTCAGTGATGCAGACGTGGACGGTGGAAAGTTAAAAGGGCGACCTCTGAAGTCGCAGGCAGCGTGGGCTGAGAAGGAGCAGAAAGGGAGCGTTTATGGGGAGCACAGGAGGCAGAGAGGGTCTGTCCTTCACCACCGGGGCTCGCCTTTCACGTCCTTCACGGGGCGTAGGGAGGAGGGTTGCAACTCCTGTGGTTTCCAGAAGCCCAGCCCTGAGCCCTGTAGCCCACACCATGCATGTTCAGGGTTGGGGGTTCCAGGAGTAGTGAGTGTTCTTTTGAGACTGCTGCAGCACCGCGGCTGTTTCGTCACTCGCTGTGACCTCAGGTGCTGCCCCGAGCTCCGAACTTGTGCCTTGCCCTCGTGTGCGACGTAGCGTGGCGCTGCTCGCCTCCTAGACTGAACTTCGTAGTGCTTCTGCCGAAAACCCTTGTGGCCCGGAGGGGCCGCGGGGAGGGTCAGGGAGAGATGAGGGTGGGAGTGTCAGGGGCCCCGGGGAGATGGAGGAGACCCCTGGGCATCTTTTCTGCTCTGAACAGCCCAGGGTTCCTACTAAATGGCTCTGTGCCATCTGCCCGCAGAGGATCCCACAGACTATCTTCCTCCTCCCCGGTGCACTGTCGCCCAAATTTACTGGCACGTGGACTTAGGTATGAACTAGTCTGCTAGGCGGGCTGCAGGGAAACGACGAGGAAGGAAGTCTGGGAGACCCCTGGGCGTCTTTGCTGTCCGTTGACTTCGCTTTTACGACACCCAAGGGCTCCCAATAAATAGTCATTCTATGTCATCTCCCTTCCAAGGGCGGTCCCCTTGGCTCCGGATCGTCCAAATCTGGCGACGGCAGAATCATTTAGGAACGACCCAGGAGGTAGACAGGGGCGCTGGGTTGGCGCGACGGTCCTTTGGCGCCTAGTCAGGCTGCGACGCTCGCGGCGAAGGTGATGTCAGCGGCTCTGACTTACGTAAGAAGCTTCCTAGGTTGCTGCCGCAGCTGCGCCGGTGCGCAGTGGCCTAGGAGCGCGCGGGGCGGAGGCGCTTTGGAGGCATCCTTCCCTGGGGATTTCCGGGCACCTCTGCCCCACAGCCCAGCTCAGCCTCCCAGCGGTCCCTGCCCGCCCGCGTGTTCTCTCCCTCTTCCCCTCCTCCTCCGAAAAACCCTTTGAACCCCGTCCCGGGAATTCACTGCTTTTCTGCAATAACAATAGTAATAAGCGTAATGAATAAATGATGTGCTCGATCGGTTTTCGCAGCTATAAAAGACCCGGAGTTGGGTTAATGACTGGTTGTTTAAAAGGGCAATTCCGGGGATGAGTTCTGGAAAGAATTAGGACTGCCGTAGGCCAAGTCGTATTTTACTTTTGGGACTTGAAATGAGCGCTTTAATCCTGCCTCCTTTTTACCCCAAACCACACAGCAGGGACAGGCCCTTCACTTTCAACAGCGCAGGTATCTGGGGAGTGCGGTTGTGGGAGTGGTGATTTCACTTCAAAAGAACTGGAGGGAAGTTTTGCAGACTGTTGAGTGGTGCATACATTTCCCGTGTGTGTGTGTGTGTGTGTGTGTGTGAGACACACCTCTCCTTAAGTTAGATTTCACGCGAATGAAACTCACTGCCAGAGCAGAATGTGCCCACTTCTTTCTCTCTTTAGATGCAGCAGTGGGCAGTTATGTACCTGGAACGTGTCAGAGTTCTTTCAAGTCCTTTTAACTGTTTGGGGTACAAACTAATAGTTAGTAGAGATAAGAGAGGATCTTGAGTGTGTGCATATAGTTGGTGAATATATACTCTATACATATTTGTACATGAATAATAAAGATGGGGCTGATTTCTACCTGGGATAGATTTAAAATCTCATATTATTTTAAATTTTATTTTCTAAAATGCTATCTCCACACTTTATGTCCAGATCTCTCTCTTCTCTTGTTCATTTAAATTTGGGATGGCATTGTTTTTGTTTGATGTCATAAAAGGCATTACCTTTGGGAGAAAAAACACACTATTATGTGTCTTGGTTTAGGTTTCCTAGAATGCAGAGCCTGAGACAAGGATTTCGATGCAATTAACTTATTTGGGAAGGGTTCCCTGGAAGCACAGAGAGGGGGTAGGGAAGTGAGACAGGAAAGGGAGGAAAGAGGAAAGCCAGTACACCATGTAAGCTGGTTAGCCCTGTGGGCAACTGGGGTTCAATCCAGCTGGCGACCCTCTGAGCACACACCTCAAATGTGTTCCACTAATGATTAAAGAAGCTGGAGTATTTATGCACCAGCTTCTTCTTCCCACAGATGGAAGGTAGCACCTGGAGCATGAACTCCATGGCTTCTGGGTCTTGCCCCACATGTAGTCCCAGCATGCACCCAGGGCCAGGTAGAGAGATGCAAAAAGCCTATGATGTGCACAGGAATGTTGACAGAGGTCCTCTGGGGAGGGCAAAGTAGCTGTGGGTCGGTCACTAGCGGCATCAGCTGCATTATGCATCTATCTCCCTTTAGTATTGCTCAGGCCTAGGGGAGTTTGAAAGGGAGAGGAAGCCTAAAAGTAAAACTTACTCTTTTTTCTCTTCCTTTGAGAGTGCCTTCACACCACCTGTATATCCTTGTCACCTGATCCTCATTCCCCTGCGTAATCTGCTTGCTATTTCATCCTTGGACAGCTGCTTCCTGTTGCCCTGAGACAGGCTGGGGGGCTTCTTGCAGGGGCAACATGATCTGATGTACACTTTGGAAGAGTCACTCTGGAAGCAAGTCTGGTGGCTAGTAAACCAGTTAGACACTGTGACTGGTGATGGTGGCTAGGACTAGGGAGGTAGCTGTAGAGACGGTGAGAAGTGGTTAGATTCTGAATGCATTTTGGAAATAGGATTGCCAAGACTTAACTGATTTGATTGGGTACAGGTTGTGGAAAAAAAAAATAATTTAGGATGACTCCTAGTTTGTTGTTTTTGCTTGAAAAGCTTAAATAACTTGTAGACTGTGGCTGGGCACGGTGGCTCACGCCTGTAATCCCAGCACTTTGGGAGGCCGAGGCGGGCAGATCGCCTGAGGTCAGGAGTTCGAGACCAGCCTGGCCAACATGGTGAAACCCCGTCTCTACTAAAAATACAAAAATTAGCCAGGCGTGGTGGCAGGCGCCTGTAATCCCAGCTACTTGGGAGGCTGAGGCAGGAGAAATGCTTGGATCCGGGAGGCAGAGGTTGCAGTTAGCCAAGATCGCGCCATTGCACTCCAGCGTGGGCAACAAGAGTGAGACTTCATCTCAAAATAATAGTAATAATAATAACTGGTAGAATGTATTACCATTTGTAGAAATGGGGAAGGCTAGTGGGAGAGTGAATATTTTCTTGTGGAGGGAATGGAATCAATAGTTTTATATTTGAGCCATGTTAAGTTTGAGATACCTGATGTGTCTTACATAATTACATGTGTGAGTTGAGAGGTCCAGGCTGGAGATGTGAATGTGAGACCTAAGCGTAGAGACAGTTTGTGAAGCCTTGGAGCTAGACACAGTGAAGCTAGTAAAGAAAAGGAGGCCAGGACTTAGCCCAGGGCAGTCCAACTTTGAAAGCTTCACAGGGAAGGAGAAAGGCTGAGAAAGGACAGCCAGAAAGCTAGAAGGAGAATCAGAAGAGTGTAGTATGGTGCAAGCCAGGAGATGTTTCCAGAACTGGGGAGAAGTCAACTTGGTCAAGTGCTTCTGAGAGGAAGATAAGCACTGAGAAGAGGCTATTGAGTTTGGTTACTTGTAATTAATTAGTGGCCTTGAGAGGTGCCATTTCATTGGAGGGGTGGAGATGAACGCCAAATCAGAGGTGTTGGAGAAAGAATAGGAGAGGTGGAGAGGAAATAGCAACTACAGAGAGCTTTTTTTTTTTTTTTCACTCTATCACCCAGACTGGGTACAGTGACTTGATCATGACTCACTGCAGCCTTGACCGCCCCAGGCTCCCATCTCGGCCCCCCAAGTAGCTAGGACTACAGGTGTGCACCACTACGCTAGGCTAATTTTGTTTTTTTTCATAGAGACAGGGTTTCGCCATGTTACCCGGGGTGGTCTCGAACTCTTGCGCTGAAGCAGTCCTCACGCCTCCCAAAGTGCTGGGATTACAGGCGTGAGCCACCGCACCCAGCTCTACAGACAACTCTTGTAAGGCGTTTCACTCTGAAGGGGAGTGGAGAAATGGAGCAGTGGCTGGAAGGGAATACAGTATCAAGGAAAAATGTCTTAAAAGGTATTGATATTTTAGGCATGTTCAGATTCCAAGAGAAGGGTGAATTGATGATCCTGGGGGAGAGAACTGAATAATTATGGATATCATTGAGAAGCCGAGAGGGGATGAGATGAGAGCACCATTTCATCCATGGCCGCTGGAGGGAAGCTGAAGGATACGAGCAGGGAGGCAGGTGGGCTGGTGAACTGCTGGTGGTGGGATGGGGTATTCTTCTATAAGGGGATCTATTTTCTCTGTAAAGTATGGGGTGAGGTCATCAGCTGAGAGTGTTGGCAATGTGAGGAGAGAAGGGAGGGTGTTAATAAGTTGTCTCAGGGAGGGAACGTGAAGGCATTAAGGAAGTATATTGGGATGATCTTACTGTGTTGAGAGCCTTCTGAGACTGATGGTCATCAATTTGAAGAGTCCAACTTTTCAGTCACTGAAACCTGAGACTTTGGAAATACTTCATGGGCTTTGACTCCAGGATGTTCATCTTTAGACATTTTAATGTTGCTGGCATTTTGGTTGCCGTTGATTTATTTAGTTACTGAGTTTTAAAATAAATTTTATATTAAAGTTTAACATTCCCACAGAAAAGCGCACAGACCATAAGTGTTCGTCTTGGTTGATTTTCACAAAGTGAACAGCTCATGTAAACACCACTCAGATCAAGAAATAAAATGTTACTCCACCTGAAACATCCTCCCCTCCCTTCAAGCCACCTTCAGTCAATATCCCCCTTCCCAAAAGTAACAACTCTCCCAATTTCTACCCTTATCAATTAGATGTTCTTGTTTTTGAAGTTTATATAAGTGAAATCATATATACTTCTTTCTAGCATTATTCACTTAACATTATGTATGTAAGATTCTTTCATCTTATTGCATATATAGCTGATTGTTCATTCTCATTGCTGAATAAAATTCCATTGTGTGTACATACCACAATTTCTTGATCCATTCTCCTGATGATGGACATTTGGGTTGTTTCCATTTGGGAGCTATTGCGTGAACAATTTTTTCTACATGCTTCTTGATGAACTTATGTATACACAGTTATTTGGTATGTATCTAAAAGAGGAATTGCTGGATCAAAGGGGATGATTTGTTTGGCTGAACAGTTTTCTACACTGGTTGTACCAATTTATAACCCTGGAAGTATATGAAAGTTCTGGTTGCTCCACATCCTCACTGATATTGGTATTGATGTTTAAATTGTAGCCACTTTGGTGGATGTGTAATGAAATCTCATACTGGTTTTGATTTGCATTTCTCTAATGGCTTGTGAGACTGAACACCATTTTATATAATTTTTAACTACCTAGATATTCTCCTTTGTGGATTACTTGTTCAAGATGTTTGCTCATTTTTATTTCTCTTTTCTCTCTCTTTTTTAACTTTTATTTTAGGTTCAGGGGTACATGTGCGGGCTTGATATATAGGTAAATCATGTGTCGTGGTGGTTTGGTATACAAATTATTTCATCGCCCAGGTAATTGCTCATTTTTCAGTAAGGTTCTTTGCACCTTTTCTTACTGTCTTACAGATGTCTTTTATGTATTTTGAATATGAGTCATTTGTCAGCTGTATGTATTTCCAATACCTTCTCTTACTCTGTGGCTTGCCTTTTCAATCTCTTAGTGTTATATTTTGAGGGCAGAAGTTCTTATTTTTGTATAGTCCAGTTTATCAATCCTTTTCTTTATGGTTAGTGTGTTTTTGTGTTCTCTTCTGTTTGTTCTTAAACAAATTCTTCACCAACCTCGAGGTCATGAAGATATCTCAAAAGTTCTAGAAATTTTTCATTTTGCCTTTGTCATTTAGATCCATGTTTCATATGGAATTGATATTTGCAAATGGTGTGAGGTAGGGCTCAAGATTACTTTTTTCCCAAATATGGATGCACAATTGGCCTACTGCCACTTATTGAAAAGACCATCATTTCCCCATTGTACTGCAGTGACACTTTTGTTACCTCCCCCACCTATGACTTTTCTAGAACTCTGTGCTAACCTTTATCTTAGCTTTTCTCATTCTGTACAGTAGACATTGTTGGTGCCCTGTCTATATTCCATCTCTCATGCTGAAGGCTACTTACTGCAAACTCCTGTAACTCTGCCTGGAACTTTTGTTTTGTACTGGCTTATGGACCATGCTTGGCCTTGCTTGTTGGGAAGGCCAGAGGTGCCAGCAGGTTAATGCCTCAGAAGCAGCACTCAACCAAATATGGACAGGGAGTTGGTGGATGAATGCACCAGTGCCATTACTCCTTGGATAGGAGAACTCTGCAGCATTTTCTCCACCATTTCTCAGAATTCTCAAGTAGGACTGAGCTCCAGTTACCCACAGTGATGACTTATTTGATGACACATCCTATCTTTGCTGTCTTCCTTTCTCCATCTCACTTCTTCACTCACCTATGGGTGTTTCTGGAGTCACCTCCCACATAAACTACTTGCACTCAAACCTGTACTTGCAGTCATAGGGTCTACTTATGGGGGAACTGCAACCAAGACAATCTATTTAATCTTTAAACTGTGAAGGCAAAGACCTAGGGCTGGGGGTATGGTAGAGATGAAGTTTCTCACTCTTTTTCCTTAAACTATTTAGCCCAGGATTATTATATTAGCCACACGCCCAGCCCCTCCCAGAACACTCTATAGTGTGTGTATTAGTCTGTTCTCTCACTGCTATAAAAAAACTACCTGAGACTGGGTAATTTATAAAGAAAAGAGGTTTAATTGACTCACAGTTTTGCAGGCTGTACAGGAGCCATGGCCAGGAAGGCCTAAGGAAACTTACAATCATGGCAAAAGGAAAAGGGAAAGCAAGCACATCTTCACATGGTGGCAGGAGAGAGAGCAAGAGTGAAGGGGGAAGTGCTACACACGTTTAAACAACCAGCTCTCAAGAGAACTTACTCACTGTCACTAGAACAGCAAGTGGGGAATCTGCCCCCATGATCCAGTCACCTCCCACCGTGTCCCTCCTCTTACATTGGGGATTATAATTCAACATGAGATATGGGTGGGGATACAGAGCCAAACCATATCAGTGGGTCTGGAAATAGCTGTTACTACCATTAGTGGATGCACAGTTTGAATCCCTGTCTTGGCATGGGAGAGCTTCAGTGCTTCAGCAGTGAGAAGGGTAACAAAAGGAACTCAAATCTATGATAATGAAGACATACCCCCTAAATTTCTCCATGTTCTATTGACAAGCCTTTGAGAGTGTTGTTTATTGCCCTTTGGAATGCATAAGTGACAGCCCCAGGAGATCCAAACTACCTATTTGAGAAGGATAATTTTCAGCCAGAGCAGACACAGAAACTGCTAACCTCTGAAAGGAACCAGGAGGTAATACATTGGGTGAATTGATCATTTTGGGTTGGTGTGGCAACACTGATCATGGGCTCATTCTGGTTTTGGAAGGATGGTCCTGCTTTTCCTTCCCTTTCTGTTCAGTCTACCACTTGTAAAAAACCTTCACAGTTTGGTTAGTGTGTTCTCTTGGATGTTTCTGTAATTGTGGTTAAGTTTCTTTTCCTCCTGGCCCTGCTCAGTGAGCTTCTGTGAGGCATTATGAGATCCTAACAGCTTCATTGAAAGCTGCTTTGAAACCCATCACAGAAGAGCTGAGAAGAACACAATCTTTCAAGGGTTTAATAATTCATGGTTGTAATTTCCTCATAACCAGTAACAGCATCACATTTCTTTCTAGACTTTTCTTGTTATACTGGATTGGGCTTTTAAATCAAAACTCCTGAATTACTTTATCTAAGAAATCCTTGAGATTCTGTTGGACTGATATTACTAAGATGATAATGATAAAGATTTCTTTCTTCCTGTGTGTGGAGGCCTTTTCTACACAATGCCATCAGGACAGTGTAAAGTCCACATAAACTCTCAGAAACGTCTTCAGTCTCAGCACTTCTAGTCTAGTTTTAATGGGCATTACTTTTAAAAGGCAATGACATGTAAAAATCTCTCCTATTGTCCCATGTTAGTCCCAGAGTCTTGAAGATTCACTGATTTTGTATGACATTTTGAAATTTTAGGGTCAAGGACAATTTTAAATATAGTTGGAATTTTATTTGATAGTTCAGCTTAATTTCTTTTTGCTTTATTAAAAATTGTGGGGCACAAGATTTTGAGGGACATTCTATTAAAAAATCATAGGAGGAGTAAGACTGGAACAAACAATCACAAAAATTCCTGAACGTTTTTCTTGCATCAAGAATTCTTCATGAATCCTATCTTAATAATAAGTGGAAATAAAAATAATGAGGTAGGAATGGTTCCTGAATGTAAGGATCTCATTCTGGGGTTGAAATTTGTTGAAACAAAGTTTTGGAGAGCCCACCCACCAGACTAAGCCCAGAGGGCAGGGAAACTGTCTACTTTATTTTTGTGAATGACTAAAAGAGATATGGTCAAGTTTTGTTTCTGACATCTCTCAATCCATTAATGTACATGAGGTTTGGCTGTATTGAATGAGTAATCTGAGGACCTGGGCATTCATGTGCTAAAAAATTGCTTAATTCTGGGAGGCCAAGGTGGGAGGATTGCTTGAACCCAGGAGTTCGAGACTAGACTGGGCAACATGGTGAAACCCCATCTCTACAAAAAATACAAAAATTGGCCGGGCATGATGGTATGTGCCCGTAGTCCCATCTACTCAGGAGTCTGAGATGGGAGGGTCGCTTAAATCAAGGAGGTGGAGGTTGCAGTAAGCCAAGATCATGCCACTGCATACCAACCTGGGTGGCAGAGTAAGACTATATCCAGAAAAAATTTTTACTTAATTATTATTATTTTTTATTTTGTTTTCATTTTTTGTGTGTTCTAAGCTTAATTGGTGACACATGTGACATCTCAAATCATGAGATTGCTCCTCAGTTTTTAAAAACACTACATAATATTCCCCTGCACAAACGTGCTCAAAGCATTTAACCACCTTTTACCCATATGGTAGCATTTTCTTGGTTTTAGTTATTATAAACAAATCTCATACAAACAGTTTCCATATATATATTTGCTTATATGTATGAATTTTTAAGAATGGTTTCTTAAAAGTGTAATTGCTGGATCTAAAGATATCTGTGCCTACATCCTTCAAAGTGAAATTAACCAAGAATAAAGTTAATTTAACAAGAGTCCTAGAATCTTGGAATCATAGAGTTGGGAAAGACCTTAGTACCCATAGAATCAAACTTCTCACCCAGAGTGGGAATCTTTTTTAAGATGTCCCAAATGGCAGCTCATCTGGTTTCCATGCCCTCTGAGACTCCAGGGAGTGGGAAGTGGCCACCCCTGCCCCAACTGTATTGCTGGATAGCTCCCATTCTCAAACAGTCCTTATCTACATTGAGAGTGAATCTGTCTTTTTGTAATGCAAGCCTTTTCATCTTTGTTCTGGTGTCTCATGTCATACGGAATCTACCTATAACTGCTTTTCTAGAACATCTTTTAAGGGTCTGGAGGTCACTGTTATGGCACTGTCTAAGCTTTCTTCATCCCAGGTAAAACAACTTCAATTCCTTCAACCAGGCTTCCTAATGCCAAGTTTCCAGGCCATTCCCACTCTGGTTGTCCTCTACCACAGGTGCAGGGCACAAATGGACCCATTCCTGTCTTTATAAGAATGTCCCAGGCCAGGCGTAGTGGCTCATGCCTCTAATCCCAGCACTTTGGGAGGCTGAAGCAGGTGGATCACTTGAGGTCAGGAGTTCAAGACCAGCCTGACCAACATGGTGAAAACCCGTCTCTACTAAAAAATACAAAAATTAGCTGGGCGTGGTGGCATGCGCCTGTAATCCCGGCTACTTGGGAGGCTGAGACAGGAGAATCACTTTGAACCCAGGAGGCGGAGGTTGCAGTGAGCCGAGATTGCACCATTGCACGCCAGCCTGGGCAGCAAGAGCAAAACTCTGTCTCAAAAAAAAAAAAAAAAAAAAAGAAAAAGAAAAAAAAGAATGTCCCTAATGTGGTCCTTGTTTTAACCATTGCATGACACTGTTGGTGTAAAAATGCTCTTATGGCCCAGCAAACTCCCTTCCTTTATAGTGGCAGTTTTTAACATGAGGTTTTCTTTATTCCATGTGTGCAGTTGGTGTTTTGAACTTAAATTTCACAAGAGTCTCCCATTGTCTCTGTTAAACTGAATCTTGCTTGCTTTGCTCTTTCATTTCCAATCAGTGGTGATGGTTTAAAATCTTGATTCAATGTGTCAGCTACTGCTCACAGTATTTTGCTCTCTGCATACACCATGAACAAGATTCTATGCTGTCACCCACATCTTCGATAAAATTATTGTTCAGACGGATTCAAGGCCAGAGCCCACTGGCAGGCAGTACTAGCAATGTTTCTCCAAGTTGAGATCTATTAATCAACATTCTTTGGGTATCATTGTTGCAGCAGCCACAGGTGCACTCCCCTACCTTCCTGTTCAAATCACATTTCTCCACCTTACTCACAATATCTATCATCACGAGCAACTGTTAAGTGGTTTGCTGAAATCAAGATACCATATGTCTGTAGCATTCTTTTGATCTCCCGGTGTAATTACCCTACTCAAAAGGGAAATGAGGTTAATCTGGCTCAAACTGGACTCAATTCCAGCAATCAGAGGGGCCATTTTAATTTTCTTATATATAATGGGTAAGGAGTTTATTTGGGGGAAATCTGCTTTGGCATGTTGGTCACAGAATAACTGTAACGTTGGACTACAAGGGGACTCTATGGGTCTTAGAGTTCATTTCTCTGACTCTAGAGTGTCAGAATGCTTTTCCCTTCCTTTCTTTTAAGGTACATGGATGTCCTTGTTCTCTGTTCCTTAAGGAAAGGTTGAAATTCATGACCTTTTGGCATTTGCTGAGGCTCAGTTTGAGTAACATTGGCAAGTGTCTGGTTTAACTAATTGTTGAGAAGCAAGAGAATATGTGGTTAAGAGAGTAGACTCTGAAGCTGGACTACATGGGTTCAAATCCCAGCTCCACTCCTTCAAAGCTGTATGACTCTGGACAATTTATTGAATTTTCTTTTCTTCATCTGCTATGGAGTGGAGATAAAAGCAGTACTGATTGCATCAGGTTGTTGACAAAACTAAGAAAGTCAAGGTGTGCAGGCACTGAGAACTGTGCTTTGCACATGGTTAGCCTCTGATAATTATTGGCTATTATTGGCTATTTTATTGATACTATAATTGGATCAGAGTAGGAGGTATGTGTTAATTTCTTTCAAGTAGGTGAAAACCTGTGCCTGAATCTGTGAAGTGCTGGGTCAGGGTAAAGTATACAGCTGACCAAGCAATGCTGTGTGTCTCTGCATGGTCAAAGATGTCTATTAAGGTTCTTTTGTTGTTGTTGTTGTTGTTGTGGCTTCTTTTTGTTATGCAGAAAAGTAGAGAAAAAATTGACCAATAATCTTATTATCCAGATTCATTCATTTATTACACAGCAGTCACTATTCTAGGCCCTTGAGTTTCATCAGTAAACAAAAAGTTACCAGGACCTTATGTTTCAATGGAGAGAGACAAATCCTAAATAATAAACACAATACATTTGACGAAATTACAAAACATGTTAGGAGGTAGTAAGTGCTGTGGGCAAAAAGAAACTAGAGCAAGGTGAAGGTGATCCAGAGATTTGGGGCGGGGTTACTATTTTAAATGGGGTGGTCAGGTGGGCCTCACTGAGGAAGTGGCATTTGAGCAAAGATTGGAAAGAGGTAAGGGTAAATTACATAGACTGCTGGAGGAAGAGTGTTCCAGTGGAGAGAAACAGAGCTAGTGCAAAGGCCCTGAGGTGAGAGCATGCCTGGTGTGATCCGGGGATGGCAAGGAGGCCAGGGTGGTGGATGAGGAGTTAGCAAGGAGGAGAGTAGGAGGATAAGAGGCCAGCAAGGAGAAATGGCAGTGGGGCGGATCACCTAGGGTCTAGTAGGCCATTGTGAGGACTTTGCCTTTTGCTCCGAGTGGAGTGGGTAGTCATTGAAGGCTTTTAAGCCCAGGAGAAACATGATTGATTTAGAGTTTAAAAGGATCACTTTGGGTATTGTGGCAAGAAGAGACTGCGGGAGAGGCAAGAGGGGTAGAAGCCAGGAGACCAAGTAGGAGGCTTTTGCAGTAATCCTGGTGAGAGACAGTGGTGGTCTGGTAAAAGTATTGAGAAGTAGAGCTGTTGATGGTTGTTTCATGTCTGGGGCTAGGCATGCAACTCATACAGAAGGGTACAACATTGAAAAGAACAAGAAAGCCCTCCTCTCCGCTCTCACTCTGCCAGACTTGCTCCAGACTTTTGCAAAACCATTGAATGTTGAGGAAGTAGGCACTTCTCCTACGGTCTTGTTGATTAATCTGCTGTCTTGGAAAAATTTAAAAAGTGTCCTAACTAATACTCTTTTTAAAAAATCAAGATATAATTTACATGCAGTGAAATGTACAGATCTTGATGAGTTTTAACAGCTGTATCCACCTGCATAACATACAACCCTATTAAGATAGAGAACATTCTCCTCACACCAGGCAGGTAATACTACTTTCAGGTAGGAAAGCAGTATTTGAACTCTGATAGCCTAGCACTATCCCCTACCAAGGTTGTTGTGTGAACATGGGCACAGAAGAAGATAATTCCATGGGGGGCTTCTGGGCTTTCGACCAAGACTAAGAATTAGTGATTCCATTTATAAGATATCCAAGACAAATTGAAATAGTGGAGTTTCCTCACTTTTGGTCTGATGGTGTTGGGCTGTTTATGACATCATCGTGCTGGATTTTAGGGAGAATCAGGTTTTTGACAAGGATAAAAATCTAGCCTCAGAGGTGCCAGGGGTAACTTAGAAGTAGGAGCCTTTTATTTTCTTATTTATTTATTTATTTATTTATTTATTTTTTGAGACAGAGTCTCGCCCTGTCATCCAGGCTGGAGTACAGTGGTGCAATCTCAGCTCACTGCAACCTCTGCCCACCGGGTTCAAGCAATTCTCCTGTGTCAGCCTCCCAAGTAGCTGAAATTATGGGTGCCTGCCACCACGCCCAGCTCATTTTTGTAGTTTTAGTAGAGATGGGGTTTTGCCATGTTGGCCAGGCTGGTCTCGAACTCCTGACCTCAAGTGATCTGCCCGCCTCGGCCTCCCAAAGTGCTGGGATTACAGGCGTGAGCCACCGCACCTGGCCAGTAGGAGCCTTTTCTACGATAAAGCTAAAATAACATTTTTAAAAAAAATGAAAAAAAAAAAAGACCTTGATACTCTCTGGTACATTTCTAAGTAGCAGGAAATACTGATTTGCAAACTGTGTTTTCAGCTCATGCTGATGCTTGAAGCCTGGATGGAGGACAAAATTGCTTAGAATTGGATTTATGACTGTCCTATCTAAGTGCATTCAGATGTGTGAAATAAGAAGCCCTATTCTAGAGTTCAGTTACTCTTGATTTTTCCTACTAGAAATCTAAGGGAAGGAAGAGGTAGTAGCTGTGAGGACAAATGACAGCCCATGAGATCTAATGTTCATTAGAATATAACATCAATATTTATGTTTCTCTCCAGTCTACATCTGGACTCTGTTCCTTGAGCCTGTATTTATATTTTAATAATGCGAGGAAAGCTTTATTTTCCTTTTAAATTTTGTGTCAGAGTTCTGCTACCTCAGCCCACCCCCTCCCCACCCCTGAAGTGATTCATTTACAAGATGGCGCATGTTTATTGAGAGTTTGATTCTAGAGATTAACTTCAAGAAGTGCATCATGAAGTGCAGCAGGAATAAATACCACAGAAATCCTTTTCCATGTGAGAAGTCATAGGGCTTTCTGCTGCATAAACAGGAGAGACGGAGGCTTCAAAGTTTGCGGCAATGTGGGGGAGAAGTGGGAAAACCTAGAAGAGACATTGGGAAGGGTTCCCTGGAAGATTTTCAAACAGTATCACTTGTGTTAAATGCCTTTGGTATGAGAAAAGAGATGTTGGAACCCTGCTCAGGTATCAGATGTCACCCAGTACTCATCTGGCAAACTTTTAGCCTTTGCTAATTAAAACTAATCCAATTGCATGAAGAAAAATATATTGCGTAAGCTTGCCTCTTGTGTGGCTTTATTTTAACCCTTTGCCCCATATCCTAATACCAGCGAATCTCAGGCTGGTTATAGGGTAGAAGACGATAATGAGAAATGGGGTTCACTTACAAATAAATTTCAGTCAAGACAATGAGTGGAGCAGGCTGTTAAGAATATTGGCTTGTAAATGTAAAATTGAAGCCCTTCTGGGTTTTCTTGATTGATTTGTCAATTCAAAGGTTTTAGTGGCTGTTGAGTGGGAAGGAAAATTAAAACAAACAAACAAACAGACAGACAGACACCCTCTTTTAATTATCAATTTATGCTTTGCTGTCTTTCCAAGTTGCTTTGTGTGCTTCTCTGTGGCCCGGCCAGCCTGGTTGGATCAAGCTTTGCATTTTTAAATCTTAGGTTCAAGGTTTGTTCTCTGAGGGACTGGAGTTTTGTCATGATCACATGCTTGTGTTCCTAACCTGAATGAACTTTCTAGTTAAGAGTATATCTCAGTCTTTGATTCTCTCAGTTCCACCACTTACCAGCTGTGTGACCTTGGACAAATTCTTACCTCAGTTTGCATATCTGTGAAATGGAGATACTATTGGTACTCATTTTATAGAGTTGTGTAGATTAAGTGATTAATCCATGGACAGTGCCAGCAGTGTATGGCATATACACAGTATACATACTATGGGCTAATACATGTAAGCCATTGATAGTACTACTTTTGTTGTTGTTTTATCATTATTATTATCAAGAGGCTTGGGTAAAGGATGTAGGTATAAAAATGGATAAAACCCAGCCCTGTGACTTCTGAACCAGTGTAAACGTTTTGGTCAGCTGGATCCATGGTGAAATGGGAAGAGAAGAATGCTGCCCATTTTCTGACTTGGCTCGTCTAACTCATGTTGTGAAGCACTGCAAGAACAATTTAGCATCTGGCTGCCATGACACTCTCATTCTTGGGGAGTGTGTACTTCTGCTGATGGGTGGAGGAGGTCTGGATGTGAATATTTGCCATCATGGAAGTGGTGGTGTAGAAATGCAAGCACCCATGCGTTTGCTTTGTGAGACTGTCTGTATCTTTTCCTATAATGACGATATCCTCTCCTATAATGACATGTCTTCTCTTTGTAGTCAGATATCAGGCATGGAACAGCTAGCAGAGGGGAGATTATGGATCTGGCATGGCAGAGAATGCCTAGGTGTTCACCAACTCCTTCCCTTTTGCTCCTGGGTGCATGGCTAGACTACATTTCCCAGCCTCCCTTGCAGTTAGTTGCAACTTTGTGACAGAGTTCTGTCCAATGGAATGTGGAAGTAATAATTGCTCCAATTGTAGGAAGGCCATATAAAAGCTCCTAAGCAACCCTCTGTAGTTTGTTTCTGTAGTTTGTTTCTTCCCCACTCTGCTGGCTGCATGCAGAGGGTTCAACAGATGATTCCGAGGCCCTAAGGGATGGTAGGGCCACCGTATGGAAAGAGCCTGGGTTCCTGAATCACCACATGAAAGGCTATCTGCCAACACTTGATTTGATTTCATGTGAGGAACAAGTAAACTTTTATTGTGAGATTTAGGGGATATTTGTTACAGCAGTTAGCCAACCATGACTAACACAGAGGTACAGTGCTGGGAGCAAAAAGGACCAGTTTTCCTGAAAATGCGCAGATGACAAAGTTACTCCAAAGTATTTGATGTTCCTTCTCTGAATAAAGGATGTACTAAACTGCAGAGTTTTCTTTTTTGAGAGATACAGAATTCCTATGTGTGACCGGAAGCCATGTAACAGCTTTCCTTGAGTAAGCAAATGGAAATAAAAACTTGTTAGCAGAGTTCCAGTTTCTAGAGAAATGTTGCTACCAAAAGAATTCATTCTGCCTCTCTCCCTTTCTCTCTCTCTTCATATATAAGTGATATAGATTGATTTGTGACATGCTTAAAACCTAATTATAATGCAAATAACGAATGTGCACAAATCATGTGTGTACAGCCTCAATGAATTTTTGCAAACTGAACACAGATTTAAAACTAGTACCTGGGACAAGATACAGAACATTTTCAGCCCTCTAGAAATCCTGCCAATGTTCTCTTCTGATCCTGCCTTCCCAAGGGTAGCCATCATCCTGACCTCTGACAGCATAGATTACATTGGCCTGTTTTGGAATCATATAGTATGTGCCTTTTCTATATCTAGATTTCTATATGTAAATTATATTTCATGATCCATTCATGTTGTTGCATGTAGTTGTAGTTCATTTATTTTCATTGCTGTATAGTATTCCTTTGTATGAGTATACCATGGTATGGGCATCTGGATAATTTCCATTGTGGGCTATTTTGAATAATGCTGCTGTGAATATTCTAGTTCCTGTCTTTTGCTGAATATACCTACACATTTCTGTTGGGTTAAAAACTTCTTTCCTTGAAGTTTTACAAAACTTTGTTCCTCAATAAGACATTTCAAGGCTGTGACAATGACTGTTCTTATTCCTTGCTGTACCTAGACTTTCTGATCTACACCAAGCAAAAGCTTTGATCTGTTTTTCTGTAATGTAAAAGATTATCACTGATGTTTAATAACAAAGTTCTGGTGCCTAAAATAGCGAAAACCCGATCTACTTAAAAGGAATCCCCCCAGCTTTAAAAAAACATTGGAGCATAGTTGTGGGGCCTTTTGATTCACAGACAGTGGCTCCTCACAAAGCCATGTTTCAAATCACTTGCAAACTCTGTGTAATTGGCGTTTGACATTGGAATCTTTATTGGCACTGCTTCAGCTCTTCCTCTGTGAGGAGAATCCTCTTGGATTTTCAAATTGCATCCTTTCCTTGGGGAAACAGTGGAGGAGGAAGAGTGATGAGTTCTCTAATCACTTGGTTGGATTAGCCTTAGAGTTATCGGGAGTTGCCTTCTGTAAGTGCCCCTACTATCAAGGTTTCATGGAAAATCTAGGCAAGGCAGAACTTCCTCAGAAGGACAAGAGACAAAGAAGTGGGGAGGCCCTCCTATCCATAGCTGAGAGGGTTTATTCTTGTGGTTCTGCTGTCAGAGCCTTGGATGTCTGATCTGAGATGGAGCAACCCCAGCTAGACAGAACTTTGTAGATTTGGGGGTTTAAAAGGCCTCAAGCAAATTCTAAAACTTTCTTTGAACCCCCTGGCATAGGCTCAGTTTCCCTGACTCCGTTGCTGAGTTTGAAATACTGGACTCAATGAATAGTACGACATTCCGCCCCCCCACCGCACCCTCAGCCCCACAGGGTCCCTCACTGTTTGGTTTGAAATGACCATGATTGGAGAATTGAGGGGTGAATGTTTTAGTCTGAGCCTTTCCCTTCAAGCATATCAGGAATATCTGAAACATCTTTGAGGCCAAAGCAGACCGAAGGCTGCCTTGTGTTTTGATTGAACGTTTAGTTCACTTTGGGCTTGAGGTGTGTGATGCCTTTACAGTTAAGTCTGAAAAAATGGTCGTGAAAAGCCCCTGGGGGACCTGGCTGCTGAGTGACACACAGCTGGGCCTTTGAAAGTGGGCTTTTATGATAAATTTGAACATGGTTTTAGACCTTACTATAAGTGCTTCAATTTTTTTCCCCTAACTACAGAATAAGTGAGCTGATTTTTCCATGAGGGAATTGCTTTGGAACATTAACCAAGATTTTCTTCAAATATAGAGGTGACTATGTAATTTGCTTGTGCCTTTTAAAAACTGATGGAGGCCTAGTGAGGCATCTCTGTGAAGTCAGAAGTTAGACAAGGGATGCTTTTCTTCACTTGCCAGGTGTGGAATGCAAATGAGCTTCATGCAGAATAAGAGGCCTTTAAAAATCCAGGTTGCCTTTGAGGACCTGGTAACTCTTGTTTCGATCCACTGCTTCTCCCAGGTTGCCTATCTTTTCTGTAGGTGACAGCTAAGACCATGGCCTACACTTTGTTTTCCTTCAACCCCCTAACTTCTTCCTATGGCCAACCCCACCCCCAGTTTTTGGAAGATCGCTGATTTTTTGTCTTAGATGACTGAGTGTTATCAACAGGATTCTAAATGTGTTGAGGCAGATACGAAACAAATTCACACATACCACCCCGACATTTCGTGTGTGACTGCCTTCTGCTAGTACAATGTCACGTTATTTCACAAGCCCCTCAAAATTCTGTGATGGAAATATTATAATATTCTTTTGATAGATGAGGAAATGAAGGCTCCACTAGTGGCTTTAAGACCACAGTGTTAAAAAATTGTCTGGTCTTGGATTCAAATGTGGTTCTTGCATCTTCAGTTTGGGCACCTCCTCTGCTCTACCCTGCTTCTCTCTGTCAGCCTACTACTCTTCCTCCCATCACCACCACCTTATGGCCACTGAGGTGACATTCTCCCTCCCAGTTTATGATGGAGAAACAGAGGCAAAGAAAAAAAAAAAAGACATGAGGACAATATCCAGGTGCAACTTTGAATACTCAAAAGGGCTGGGATTAGAACATCTAAGCAAAAAGGCTCATGAATCAAGAGGTACTTCTGGTGCAGCCAGAGCAGGCATACAACTGGGTTATAAGTTAACACGTGTATTTGGGTGAGGCTGTGGCTGTATGTCTGGTTCTAATTAGTTGCTTAGTTTTCCCCCAAAATAAATAGGAACATGCTGATTGTCTAAAATAAGTCATTCACTATAGCAGGAGTCATTTTATATATCAAGGCCTTTACTATCTAAAGCCAAAACATTCACCTCATGGACACACAAGTTTCTTTTCTAGCTCAGTGGTCACCCTTTTGTATTCTCTAAGGTTGCTTGAAGGCTGGTGTAAATGAACTGTGGGGGACCCCAATTCAGGAACGAATCAACCCAAATTATAATAGATTGCCATTTTTTTCATTTATTCAGATAGGCCAAGATGAAAAAATGATAATGGTCAAGTTTGGGGTGGGCATAAGGGTAATTTTAGACACTACTGATGGAACAATAAATTAGTATACTTTTTCTGGTAGGCAGTTGGCATACACAAAAAGCTGTATGCCAAAGATGTTATTTCAGAATTTGATCTAAGAAAATAATTGCAAAAGTAAATAACAGAAAATAATATATAAACACTTCAGTGCTGCTTATAAGTAAGAAATATTGGAAATATCCTAAATGATTAACAATAGAAAATTGGCTGAACAAACAACATTACTGTGCATTGGTATAGCAAACAACATTACAACTCATTGGTACAGTGAAATACTTTATCACCATTAAAATGATTATACAAATGGATATTTATTAGCCCAGAAATATGTTTATGATACATTCCAAAGTTAAAATGACTTGTTACCAAATACTGTGCATTTTATTGCATGTTTATTAAGAAGATATAAGAATACAGGAAAAAATCTCTGGAAGGGTATATACCAAATCAGTATTTTAAAAACATATTTTGATCATGATCCACTATGAGAAATACATTTTACATTTGTGAGTCAGTAGACACATGTAGCTGAAACAATAGTTTATTAACAATACTTGTATTTTCTTGTGTGGTACGTTCTGATATATTTATTTATTTATTTTCTCTTTTTTACCGTATTATCCTATCCTTTCCTTTCTTACCCTATTCTACTTTATTCTAATTCTATTTCTTTTCTCTTCTCCTTTCTTTTGTTTCATTTTTTAAAATGCTAGTCATGACCTATTAAGTTGATTTTATGATCTCCTAATGAGCCACAAACCACAGTTTGAAAAACTGCTCTCAAATGTTAACAGTAGTTATGTCTAGCAGGTGGTAAATAACTCTGTTTTGTGAGGAGACAAGATTACTGTGACTTCTCTGTGTTACTTATATGATCCAAAAACTAATGAAAATTTGAAAAATGGTATAATAATTCCATTTATAAACAAAGTGATGCCCACAGCTTTTTAGGAAGATACTGATTGTATAAAGTAAGATGCCTACTCTGCTCTACAGTTATTGGGCACTCAGAATGTTCTGGGAACTTTAAAGAACATTATGGCAGGAAAAATATATCCACTGAGACACATAGTTTAAATAATAGAACAATAAGAAAATACAACATGACTTTACATATTCAAACTCAAAAGATCATCAGGCATCCATACATATTGCTTTACCCCAGCAATGTTGCATCATGTCTATGGGATTTATTTCTATTTCTGATCCAGATTGCATTTTTTTTCATACTCATTCCCCACCTTAAAAAAAAAGCTACTAAATTCACCAGACTTCTTTCTGGCCAGATTATCTTGGCTTACAGTACTGTTGAAGTTAGCCTCTTTTAAAGCTAAAGATAAGTTTAAATGGAAGGTAGTCATTAAAAACTTAGATCAGGAAGCAAAAGCTTTAAAGGAGGATGGGAAGAATCTCTGGCTAGAGCCAGTACACTTCCCTATGGGCTTCCTGCTTTCAGCACAGAGCTGGAAATCTGCAGAACAACCCCAGGAGCCCCTCCCGGCATGGCCACACAACCAACCGGGTGGCATGTTAAGTGAGCTTTCCCTGGGTCTTCTCTGGGAAAACCTTGATGAATAACAAATTCCACAGAAATGATGCAACATCACTGGGGTAAAGTGATGTGTATTGGTGCTTGGTGATCTTCTGAGTTTGAAGGTGTAATATTATGTTTTATTTTCTTGTTCTTTGGGCACCATGAGCTAACTGCCCATGAGGGAGGGTGATCTGCTGGGTTGTGGTTGGGGAGAGGCTGGCTGGCATTTTCAGGGAAAGAGTATGGAGAGAGATGCTTCCTGCCTTTGAAAGGAATTAATGATAGGAGATAACCGGGGTTGCTTTTCACGATGTAGTAATTTAGTTACTTTTCTTTCAGACTTTATGCTGAGAGTAACTTGGCGTTGCTAAAAATGTAATTTGGAGCCCTGGCCTTCTGCTCATGGAGAAGGCTAAGTTCATCCTACCTTTGAAACATTGTGAATAACATATCAAAGTTATTCATGTGCTCATTGATTTATTCATTGATTATGCAATAACTATCCATTCATGTGGTTGTTTGCTCATCCATTCATCCATCCATCTATCTATCCATCCATCCACCCATTTTTCCAGGTATCCATTTACATGGTATTTCTTGGCTAGATGCTGTGTGTTGAGGGATGTGGTAATCACTGGGGTGGGAGAAGGGACTCCATAAGGAAGAAGCTGTCTGTGTAGTTGAGTTGTTCACTGTCTGGTGAAGCAGATAGGCAAGTAAACAAATAATTGCCACAAAGAGTGGGCAGTGATACAAAAGGGACCAACCTGTCTTGATTCATGTGAAACTACTTCTCCTCTTCAGGCCTACAATCATGGAATGTTAACCTGAGAGAGGCCTTAGAGAAACTGAAGAAGATAATGTTTTCCAGACTTTATCTCAAGATCCCTGAGGTGCCATTCCAGGGTGTGAAGGTGGGAGTAGGAGAGAGGAATGAGAGGAAAGCTGAACAGAAGTTCTGGAGCTTTCTCCAGAACCAGAACAGATTCCTTTTCATCTATTTCATATATTGAGGTTGCTTGTAACCTATCATTTGAGGAAAAGGGTTGGCTGTTTAATAATAATTGCAAAGCACTTGACCAGTCCCCCATCTTTCCTTGTTTCTCTTGTTTAAAGATCGAGACTCAAAAATGTAAAGTGATTGGCTCAAAGTTGTAAAATCAGCATGTGAACAATCCAGGAATAAGACTTGGTCTTCTAACTTCATGTGGACATTGCCTCTGTATCAGTTAGCTTTTGCTGTGTAACAAATAACCCTAAAAATCAGTGGCTTTAAACAACCACTGTTTACTTAGCCCATAATTCTATGAGTTGGCAATTTGGGCTGGACTCAGCTGGGTAGCTCTTCTAGTTTCAGCTGGGCTTGTTCTTGTCTGTGATGAGTTACTGGTTGGCTGGCAAGTCACCTGAGAACTGACTGGTCTAAAGTGGTCTTACCTCTCAGGGTTGGCTGGGTGTTGGCCAGAGTAATTGGGTTACTGAGTTGATAGTCTCTCTTCTTTAGCAGAATTTCAACAGAGCAGGGAAGCATGCACAGCCTCTTGAGGCCCAGGCTTAGGGCTGGTCAAAGCAAATCACGAGACCAGTTAACACTTAGGGAGTGAAGAAATAGACTCTACTTCTTGACTGGAGAATTTCAAGGTTTTTGGACACAAGGAGAGGAGAATTGTTGCCTTTTTTGCTATCTACCACAAGAATACTAAGTTATTGCTATATCTTTTCTTCTTAATTTGGACATTGGAAAAATACATGTTTGAAACGCTATCTAATTCCAAAGCCATTTTTACAAGGATCTGAAAGCATGGCTCTTTCTATAGACCATGGGGATTCCTGCCTACTTGAGTTTTCTCTTTTTTCTTTTCTTTTTTTTTTCAGACAAGGTCTTGCTCTGTTGCCCAGGCCGGAGTGCAGTGGTACTATCTCAGCTTACTGCGACCTCCACCTCCCGGGTTCAAGTGATTCTCCTGCCTCAGCCTCCTGAGTAGCTGGGATTACAGGTGCACACCACCACGGCTGGCTAATTTTTGTATTTTTAGTAGAGACAGGGTTTCACCATGTTGGCCAGGCTAGTCTAGAACTCCTGACCTCAAGTGATCCACCCGCCGTGGCCTCCCAAAGTGCTGGAATTACAGGCGTGAGCCACCATGCCCGACCCCTACTTGAGTTTTCAAATTGTTTATATTTGAGACAGGTGATAGTTACTGCTTGTGGTAAGGGACACTGTACCCTAAGAACATTCCTGCTTTACTCCCAGTCACAGTCTTTCCATCAACAACTCTTCCTATGGAAAGGAACCTTCAGCTCTTGATTCTGTTAGGTGTCTCTGAGGGATAAATTTATCCTCATCATTTCCACAAACATTTATTGTTGAGTGACTCTTACGTATCATGCACCTCTCTAGATATTGAAGATACAAATAAGTCTAAGATAGACCCCTAACTTCAGGTAACTCACAGTCTGGCAGGGAAGGAAGAAAGATACGGATTGTTACAGTGAAATAAGATGGGGAAGATGGCTGGAAATTGAATTTTTTCAGTGGTCATTGTTTTCTTTGTAATAAGAAGGTGTGGTTGTATGATCACCCAAATGGATGTAGGAATGGCATTTGACAAAATTCAGATCTTTTCATGACAAAAACACTTAACAAACTAGGAGTAGAAGGGAATTTCCTCAATCTGATGAAGTACATCTATGAAAGACTTACAGCTGACATCATACTTAACAGTGAAAGATTGAATGCTTTCCCCCTAAGATTGGAAACAAGACAGGCTGTCCATTCTTGCCAATTATATTTAATATTATGCTGCAGATTCTAGCCAGAGCAATTGGAAGAAAAAGAAATAAAGGCATCCAATTGGAAAAGCAGAAGTAAAAGCATCTTTACTCACAGATGACATAATCTTGTATGTAGAAAATTCTAAGGAATCCACAAAAATTATTAGAACTAATAAATGAGTTTAGGAAGCTTTTAGGATACAAGATCAATACACAAAATTCAACTGTATTCTATACACTAGCAATGAACAATCAGAAAAAGAAATTAAGAAAACAATTCTAAGGCCAGGTGTGGTGGCTCATGCCTGTAATCCCAGCACTCTGGGAGGCTGAAGTGGGTGGATTACGAGGTCAGGATTTCGAGACCAGCCTGGCCAAGATGATGAAACCTCGTCTCTACTAAAAATACAAAAATTAGCTGGGTGCAGTGGCAGACGCCTGTAATCCCAGCTACTTGGGAAGCTGAGGCAGGAGAATCACTTGAACCCGGGAAGCAGAGGTTGCAGTGAGCCCAGATTGTGCCACTGCACTGTAGCTTGGGTGACAGAGCAAGACTCCATGTCAAAAAGAAAAAAAAAAAGAGAGAGAATGAGAAGAAAACAATTCTATTTACAATAGCATCAAAAATAATAAGATATTTAGGAATTAATTTAACAAAAAAAGTGCAAGACTCATGCACTGAAAAACATCAAAGTTCATTGAAGGAACATAAAGAAGATTAAATAAATAGAAAGACATCTTGCGTTCGCGGATCAGAAGATTCAACGTTTGCGAGATGGCTATACTCCCTAAATCAATATACAGATTCAATGCAATCCATATCAAAATCCCAGCTGACTTTTTTGCAGTAATTGACAAAGTGATCCTAAAATTAATGTGGAAAGGGAAGGAACCCAAAATAGCCAAAAAACAGTCTTGAAAAAGAAGGACAAAGTGGGAGAACTCACACTTCCCAGTTTTGAAACTTATTACAAAACTACAGTAATCAAGACAGTGTGGAGCTGGTGTAAGGATGCAGATATAGATCAATGGAACAGAGTCAAAACTCCAGAAATAAGTTTTTACATTTATGATCAGTTGATTATCGATAAGGGTGCCAAGACAATTCAATGGGGGGAAACAATAGTCTTTTCAACAAATGGTGCTGGGACAGCTGAATATCCACATGCAAAAGAATGAGGTTGGGCCCCCTCCTTATATCATCACAACATTTAACTCAAAAGCAGTCATAGCTTTAAACTTAAGAGTTAAAACTATAAAGCTCTTATAAGCAAAGTAAGTCTTTATGACCTTGGATAGGGCAATTAATTCTTAGATATGAATCTTACAGTACAAGTGACAAAAGAAAAAATAAATAGGACTTCATAGAAATAAAGAACTTTGTCCTTCAAAGGATGCCATAAACAAAGTGAAAAGTCAACCCACAAAATGGGAGAAAGTATTTGCAGGTCATTTACCTGAAAAGGCACTTTGTATTAGTTTCCTAGGGCTGCTGTGACTACTTACCACAAACTGGGGTGGCATAAGACAACAGAAGTTAATTTTCTCATTTCAGGAGGCTGGAAGTCCAAAATCATGGTGTTAACAAGGCCATGCTCTCTCTGAAGGTTTTATGAAAGAATCCTTCCTTGCCTGTCTCTTGTCTTCTGGTGGTTGCCAGAAATTCTTGGTGTTCCTTGGCTTTCAGACATATGATTACATTCTGTCTCCATCTTTGCATGGTGCTGTCTTCTCAGTGTGTCTTTACATGGCCTTATTATAAGGATAACAGTCATTGGAGCTAGGGCTCACCCTAATCCAGTGTGTCCTTATCTTAAATTGATTACATCTGCAAAGACCCTATTACCAAGTGAGGTCATATTCACAAGTACTGGGGATTGGACTTTAACATATCATTTCAAGGTGCACAATTCAACCCATAACAGGCTTGTATCCAGAATACATAAAGAAAGTATATAACTCAACAATAAAAAGACAACCTAATTTTTTAAGTGGGCAAAAGATTTGAATAGATATTACTCCAAAGAAGACATAAAAATGGCCATAAGCACATGAAAAGATGCTCAACATCACTAGTCACCAAGGCAATGCAAATCAAAACCACAACGAGATACCACATCATCATACCCATTGGGAAGGATAAAATAAAAAAGGCAGACAATAGTAAGTGTTGGTGAGAATCTGAAGAAATTGGAACCGTTATACATTGCTGGGGAACAGTTTGGCAGTTCCTCAAGATGTTAAATGTAGAGTTACCATATGACTCAACAAATTCACTCCTAAATATATATACAAGAGATCTGAAAACATATTCTCACACAAAAACATGTACATTGCTGATCATAGCAGCACTATTCATAGTAGGCAAAATGTTGAAATAGTACAGATGTCCATCAACCAATGAATGGATAAAGAAAATGTGGGATATCCATGCAATAAAACATTGTCAATAAAAAGGTGACTAAAGGCAATAAAGATTATTGATACATGCTACAACATGGATGACCTTTGAAAACATGCTAAGTGAAAGAACACATTTGCATGATCTTAATGATATGAAATATCCAGAACAGATAAATTTATAGACAGAGAGTAGATTAGTGGTTGTCTAGGGCTGGGAAGAAGGGAATGGGAAGTGACTGCTAATGAGTATGGAGTTTCTTTTAGGGGTGATGAAAATATTCTAAAATTAGATAGTGATAATGGTTGTGCAACTCCGTGAATATACCAAAAACCATCAAATTACACATTTTAAAGAGTGAATTTCATCTCAATAAAGCTGTTAAAAAATAAGATGATGTCCTTTACCAAGAGTAGAGGGTATTAGGGGGCTTGAGGAAAATGTTGAAGATTTGAAATTCCCATTCAAAAGAATAAGAGAGGGAGCTGTTTTAGTCATATTAGGCTAGCTACTGTAATAAACAGACTCCAACTTTCAGTGGCTGAACACAAGAAAACTTTATTTCTCTCATACAGTTGTCTGATCTTGGTCAGGTGACCATCCTCAATGGCTCTCCTCCAAATAGTGACTCAGGGACCCAGGTTCTTTCCATCTTTTGTCTCTGCTATCTTTTTGGTCCTTGGTCTTTTGGATCTTTAGGTCCTGGGCCTCCCCACCCATATGCTGGATGGGGAAAGAGAATGGAGGATTGAACCTGGGAGGGTTTTATGGAACAGGCCTGGAGGTAACTTTCTTTACTTCCACTCACATTCTTTTGGCCAGAACTCAGTCACATGGCCACACCTAACTGCAGGAGAGATTGGCACATACAGTCTACTTATGTGTCCAGGAGGAAAAGATAAACAGGTTTGCTGAACAGCTAGCCAGCTTCTGCTACAAGGGCTGACCAAGGACAAAGAACGATTGCAGGCTCCAAGCCCAGCTTGAGGTGGCATGTTTTCGTGGCTGAGAGCAGGGCTGGATCATTTTCTCCCACTGTTCTTGGTGGAACATTCATAGGTTGAAAGTACTACTATGGGGCACATTCCTGCTGGTAAATGTAGCCCAGTCTCCACCAGTAATATCTGGTGATGGAATAAACACTAGAGCAACCTTGAACACTTTGGCATCTCACCCACAGAATGAGAAATGTAGCCATGCTGTCCACACTGTCATTCAAAGGGGAGCAGGAGATGAATGTGGGAAATAAACTGCTATTTCTTTGCACTTGGACAAGGGTTGAATAAAAATAAGACTCTGTCCCCTTTTAAGGTTGTGCTTTAAATAGAAATCTGCCCCAGGCCCTTCTTGATCTTTTTTTTCCTGGCTCCCTCTCTCTTAGTGTCCTTCACTCCTGGCCACATCTGCTCCTTTGTGGCTGAGGGGCCTGAGTTCTCCTTGGGAACCAGATTGCCTGGTGGATCCCTCAGATTGAAGCCCCCTCCCCACTTACCTTTTCATAAGTTTCTAGTGCTACCCGGACAGGTGCAGCTATTTTAGTTATATTTCTATAGTGGTTGTGCCTGCCCTTCTAGACAGCTGCCACTTGTCTTTCTGACAGACTGTTTGCTTGTGTGTGGCTGCTAATGCTGTAGTAAAAATCACCTCGCTGTCCTGTCCTTGTTTTCAGAGGCACTTGTCTCTTGGTGTAATGCTGGATGTTTAATGGGCATTGTTTATAAGGAGTATAAGACGGAATAGTATAGCCTCTTGCTTTGTGTCGTAATTCCCTCTGGGCTTACTGAAAAGGATGCTGGGAGTTAGGCCAGGCTGGCAGGAAGAGGGATATAAATTAGAAAGGGAGGGAGCACCAGGGCCAGAGAGAAGTGATTCTGTTAAGAGTGGGCCCTCAGAAAAGGTGGCCAAAGGTCTAAATAACAATGACCAAAGTGTGCAGTAAGGAGGGTGGGATCCGGGTTGGTGTCAATGTCTAAGAGTCTGAAGCACTATATTGGTTTCTGGAAGAGATTTTCAACTGGTGAGTATGTTTGCCTTGCCTTATTCTCCCCTAATCCATTCTCTACACTCCTGCAGAGTGAAATCTTGCAAGGTACAATTCCTAGTTCACATTCTTCCATGGCTTCTTATAATAATATCTAAATGAACTGGTTTTCAAGACCATATGAGCCTGGTCCCAGCCTCTCTCCAGCCTAATCTCTCCTTCTGCCTCCCTAGATTCATTGCCATGGCCCCAGTTCTAAGATTCTTCTGTTTCCTTCTTATACGCCAAGCTCTCTAGCACCTCATACAGCTCCCTCTGGTCCCAACTTTGATACCACTTTTTTCCTGGTAGCTTTCCTGACTAACCCTCCCCATTGAGTTAGTTGCCCGTAACACTCTGTCTCTCTCTCTCTCTCTCTCTCTCTCTCCGTGGCAATTATCTCACTCTATTGCAATTACCTGCTCATTTTTGTGCTCTTCCACTAAACTGGAAACTTCATAGGATCAGGGACCATGACTTAGTCCACTTTGTACTCCCAATTCTATAGTCAGAATAGGCTAATTTCTGTAATAAAGAACCCCAAAAGTCTCAGTATCTGAAGACAACAGAAGTTTTATGTCTTACCCACATGGAATTCAATGTGGGTGTTCAGTAGATAACCTTCTACACTGTTATTCGGCAATTAGGCCCCTTTCATTTTGTAGTTTTCTTATCTCCTAGGGCTGTCCTCTCTTTCCAAGCCTGCATCTGACAGACAGATGGAAGAAGAGGGAATGGAGAATTGTATAGGAAGGTTTTTAATGGGCTCTGCCTGGAAGTTGGGTACTAAACCCCCACTCATATTCCATTGGCTGGAACTCAGCCATATGACTGCATATACCTGCAGGAGCTGCTGGAAAATGTCATCTAGCCATGAGCAGGCTTGGTGAGCAAGTAGTGGGTCTCTGCATGCCACCAGTTAGTGCCTGCCTGGAATGTGGTAGGAGCTGAGTGAATATTTGTTGAATGAGTGAACTTTGGATTCTAGGTTTCATCTTGATTCTTAGGTGATTCAGTTTAATCATCAGGAGGGACATGTGATGACTAATCACAGTGGATTTCAGGGCTCTGGGCACCTTGGAAGGGTTACGGATAATGATAGAGAGAAGAGTAGTGCTGCCTAAGAGTCCAGCTCCCAGTGAGGTGCTTTCCTTCAAATCCAACAGGGAAAGAGATTTTTAAAAATTAATCTTGAATTTTCATTTTTTGGAGAGGACAAAGGAGGAGGTAACAGAGAAGAGGAGTGAGGACTGCTTCCTGGATTTTGTAGACTGTGACAGTGTCAGCTTTTTCCACACGTGCCTCGTAGGTTGATGGAAGCAGTGTGTGACATGCTGGTGCATGCACCCAGCTGCCTGTCCCTCCCCTGCCTGAGAGAGAACAGGTGTGTAATAGCACACGTGACGTGTCCACTCTCTGTTTCACAGTTAGAGCATCCCTGAGGCCATGCTTCCTCAACTGAAACATCCACTCAGGCTTCACCCACAATCCAGTTCCCTATGGGTGGAAGAGAACTCATTCCCCAGGTGGGTAGGCAGAAGCAAGAGAACCACGTTGTGAGAGCTAGCATGGACCAACAATTTAGTTTGAAAATTTGCCTCCAAAGACAACTTCTGGATGAGCTGGGATATAATAACTTCTTATCGTGGGTGGCTCTTCAGAATTTTCTAAAGCACTTTCCCACACCTTATCTCATTTCATCCTTGTAACAACATGGTGAGGTAAGAAAGCCAAGAGTTATTATGTCAGTCTTACAGATGATAAAACCGAGGCTCAAAGTAGCTCAGACGACTTTCCCAAGACCACGTGGCTGCTTTTCCTCTCCTGCCATTTCCACCCCAAACCCCCTTGTCCACATTGGTAAAGTAGTTTCTAGAAGATGTCCTCTTAGTTTGCAGTCAGGGAGACTGGAAAATATGTCTCATGACTGACCTTATCCCTCAACACTGGCCATTTATTTTCCTGTCTAAACAAGCGGGTCTGCAAGAAGCTACCACAAAATCCTCCCCTATGTTTACATCTCTGTGAGCTGTGGATCCATGCCTTCCAGTGTCCCCTTCGATTGTTGGTGGAGAAAACCAAGACAGCTAAAATGTTTCCCAGGTTGCAGCACCACACATCTCAGCTAGTTACAGCAGTGTCTAGGTGGAGTTGTGCCATGGGACTCTTTTTCATTAAAACAAAACAAAACAAAACAAAACACCACGGAGCTAGGATGTTTTAATAAATGTCTGTGTGTGCGCTTGCTAGGACACACTACTGTTGCACTCTCAGGAATCATTAACGCTGTCTCCCAACCTTACTCAGACAGAAAGCTGACGTTACCTTGCCATCCTACCTAATTAAAGATGAAGGCTATAGTTTCCCCAGTCTATTATAGTCTAGTTTCTGTATTTTGCCATTGCAGAGGAAGAGGGAGAAGCTAAAGGTTGACTGTGATGTGGGAGGATGCAGCCAGGGGCAAAGAGGGTGAGGATGAGTTGCTTACCTCACAGAACCTAACACCAAATTTTTAGCATCAAAATCCTAACAGCAGAAAGAAAGTTTCCCTGTGGAAGAAGGACTGGGCCATGTCAATTCCCAAACCTTCCATCCTTCCTTCCTCCCAACGGCTCAGGTATACCTGAGAAACCTACATCTGCTGGCATCATCTCCCATGCATTGTTTTTGCAGAAGCAGAGCATGACCGACATCTAATAATATCTATGTTGGTATCTGTCTCAGCAAATCCTTTCTGTATTAAAAGATTAATGTAGTAAATCCAGAGTTACAGGGAGATTGTGGTGTTTCCTCTTCTGGTGTCAGAGTGTTGTTTTTTTAATACTATATTTTGTTTTCCTTTTTCACCCTCCCTTCTCATCCCTATAAACCATATTTTGAAGCCCTTCTCCAATTGCTTGATTTTCCTAATAGTAATAAAAAGCCTAGACAGTTTGGATGGCATCTGTACCACCTCTTTTAGGGATTATAACCCAATTTTTCTCCAACAGTGAACTTATGGGTCTTTTATGATCTGGCTTTAGGTCTCTTGAATGAGGCTGACATGAGGATGTAAGGCTTGAATCATAAGATTTTAGGAAAGGCTCTGAAAAGCAAGCTCTTTCTGAGGAGTGTTGATTTTTTTTGGGGGAAGATTATTTTGCCAGTGTTCAGGTAAGAATTCACATTTGCTTCTGTTACTAGTCATGATAGCTGAATGGTGTGCTTCATTCAGATACTGTGTAGTGATCACTTACTTTGAATTGCATATTAAGACATGTGACCATATAACCTTTTATTTGAACCAAGCAATTTACATGGTGGAGCTGAAGATTGGTTGTTACTGGTTCATTTTTAGTGAGCACTGACTGTTTCTAAGACTCTATCTTGGTCAGACTCTCTCTTGAGGTCTCCCAGGGTAAGTCAGCCAGACTGAGAGTGACCCAAGAAGATGGGGCAACATTCTGAAGAAAATAGAAAATAGTGCTGTCATGTGGTGAAGAGGCCAGGGAGCATTTGTTTCCCCATGCCCCTACCCACCCCGTTATTTATTGATTCTGCTCATAACGTAACAGTATATGTATTTTTGTTGTTGTTGTTGTTGTTGGAGACAGGGTCTCACTGTCACCCAGGCTGGAGTACAGTGATGTGATCTCCTCTCACTGCAACCTCCACCTCCTGGACTCAGTCCTCCTACCTCAGCCTCTCTAGTAGCTGGGAATACAGGCATGTGCCACCATACCTGGCTAATTTTTGTATTTTTTGTAGAGATGGGGTTTTGCCATGTTGCCCAGGCTGGACTTGAACTCCTGGGCTCAAGCGACTCTCCCACCTCGGCCTCCCAAAGTTCTGGGGTTACAGGCATGAGCCACTGTACCTGCCTGAACAGTATATGCACCTCTATAAAGAATGATCAGATGATCAATATTAATGTATTGCTTGATTCAACTCCCAGCGTGATGTTTAATAGCACATGGTGGGTGCTCAGTAGATGTTTGTGGTATTGAAGCAATGTGTTTATTCTATGTGTTTTCCACTAGATTATGAGTTCTTTGGAGTCAGGGCCCATGTGTCCTTTGTCTTTGTGTCCCCAGCCCCATCCCCAGTGCCCAGTACATAAGGAGTATTTGTTGAGCTCCCACAAAACAACATCCGTCTGTCAAGGATTGTTCAAATCCCTCCTTCCAACTTGTTCTCCCTTCTCCCTTAGGATAAGCTCTTTTCTTTTATTCTAGTGCCTCAGCCCTGAGAGAATTTTTTTTCCAAGTAATTACCAACTCATGTCATCGGATGCCCATTTGACTAGTCCCAGTATGTATTAGTCTACTAGGGCTGCCATAGAAAGTACCATAGATTAGACTATTTAAACAACAGAAATTAATTCCTCATGGTTCTGGAGGCTGAGAAGTCCAAGATCAAGGTGACTGCCAATTCAGTTTCTGGTGAGGGCCCTTTTCTTGTCTTGTAGATAACTGCGTTCTTGCTGTATCCTCACATGTTAGACAGAGAGAGGGAGAAACCGACGGAGAGAGGAGAGAGAGAGAGAGAGAGAGAGAGCAAGGGAGCATACAGGCTCCCTGGTGTCTCTTCTGATAAAGATGCTAATTCACCTGGATCAGAGCTCCACCCTCATGAACTTGTTTAACCTTAATCACTTCCTTAGAGCCCCCGTCTCCAAATACAGCCCCACTGGGGGTTAGGGCTTCAGCATATGAAATTTGGGTACAAACAATCAGTTCATAACACAAGGTACTTGTTGCCCACTGTAACATCTGCTGTTTCCCGAACAAGACAAAGGTGATGATAATTAAACATGGTACTAGACTATTCATGTTAAAAAGCATAGTACTGTGTGTGAAGCATCTTAAATGAGTCAGGCAGGAGCACTTAATGAAAATCTATGGTCAATTGAACATAGGTTTACTGTGCCCTTGTCTTTTCCTTCCATTATGTTTTTTTTTTTTTTTTAAATTACTATTCCATGGGGATTCTCCTAAGCTTGTCAATTACAGACAGGTGCTCTTGTTTTGGAGCCAGAGCAGCAGTTGTAAAAAGGTGAAACTGGAAGGTCAGGATAAGCTGGGTTATGCCATGACAATAAACATCTCCCAAATCTCAATGGCTCATATAACAAATGTTTCTTTCTCCCCTACGCTACATGTCTAAGGGGTGTCACCAGGGGTGCTCTGTTAGTTGTAATTGTTCTTGGATCTGGACTGATGGAGGCTTCATTCTGACACGTGTCACAAAGGAGAATATAGTAAATTGTATACTGGCTCCAAAGTTTTCACCTAGAAGTGCCACATACCACTTTTGCTCATCCTTCATTGGCTAAAGCAAGTCACATGGCCACATCCAACCTCAAAGAAGTAGGTGAAACAATCTTACTAAGAAGGAGGAGAGCTAAAGCTTTCCTTTGGCAAATGGCACTGATTAATACTATAATGGGGTAATAATGAGGCCTAGGTAAACAGGGTAGGACTTGAGCAAAACTTGTGGCACAAATGAGAAATTTTATGTACTTAATGCTTTTTTAGAAAAATGCTGCTTCCAAAACAGCTCTAACATCCAGGATTTCTTGCCTAGCCAGTATTTCTGTGCCTAGAGTGAGATTCAGAGAATGAAACCCTTTTTTACTGAGATCCTGAGAGTTGCCTTTCAAGTGTCCATAGAGTATAAATAACAATAGCCTCAAAGAAACAATTAAAGGCTCTCCGGGTGGCTTATCTCAGATCCACTGAGAAATGAAAACCCCCAAACATGCCAGAACACTAAAAAAATGGCTGTGTCTGAGGGTGGTCTCCTTGTCATGATAAAGCTTTCTCCTCATCCTTCTGAAAATGATACCACCCTCATGTTAGCAACAGTATCGCTGTCTGGAAAGGGGCTGGCTGAATCTGGTGGGATTACTTTGAGTTGCATAAACACAGATTGAATTAAGCATGGCGAGTTGATGATGGGGAGTGTAGAAAGAGTCAGGACCTTGCGTTGGGATAATAACTAGTTCATTATCTGCCCAGATAAAGGTCGTACAGGCTTTTAGCAACAGCATGGAAAGGAAACCAGATTGACCTTTCTGACGGCAACTCTCTGCTTTTTTTTTTTTTTTTTTTTTCCAGACCTTAGAACACCAGTGAGTAAAGAAATCCGTGTCCCTCCTGACACCTTTCCTTTCCCTTTCCTGGCGTTCCCAAAATGCAGGCCTTCATTTCCATTGGTTTTGAAATGGCTGCCTTTGTTTAAATTACTTATAATAGAACGTTCCTGGAAAACTCTCACATAAGCCCATGAGCAGATGTTAGTATCTTATATGCCTCCAATTTTATATGCTATATCACACCTCTTCCTTGCTCCAAAATTTTGCCTTTGCATCAAAAAAGGCAAAAATCCTATTATTTAGTCAAAGGAAACTTCTGCTTCTTGGGCTATATCTTCCAAATTTCTTTAAAAGAGCTCATTATGAATCATTTGGAAGGAGCCAGCACACCATATTGTCTTTGTGTGAAACTTAGAAAGCAGTGTGGTGTGGGTGGAGATACGTCCAACTATAAAGAGAAATTATAGTTACAAGTGGCTTTCAAGACATTAAGGATATTTTGGAGTCCTAAATTAAGCAATGGCAGGTTAATCTTTTCCCAAGAGGTGGTGATTTTGGCTAAGTATCATAAAAGGGTTATCCCAATGTTTTCAACGTGGTTTCAAGTGAATGATCATCTCTTATTCATTTTTCATAATCATTTTAATATGCCACATATGTTCCAAAATGGGTTGGCAAATTTATTTTCTTTCTGCTACCTTAGAAATCTTGTCAATAAAATGAAGCCTAGTAATATGGATTTCTTACGTAGCTATAATTTTTCTTTGTGAGGGAGTTAAGATGTGTACTTCAGTAAGAGGAATGGGCTGTGTTGAATGCCAGATCATAATGAGGCCTCCTGGCGCCAATAAATTACACTTGCTCTAGGTTGACTAGCCATGGAATGAGGTCATGTATCCTTGATCCAGATCATGAATGTGACAGCCTGCATCTACATACAGTATAACCCAATCCTTGCTACCGTACTATATTTCATCACAGTCTGTGTCACCTTCAGGGCGTGGGTTTGACAGAAGATGACAGTAGTGATGCATATTATGCTCAATCCTTAGCCTCAAACAGCAAAAGGCCTTACATTTAGATTTTTTTTAAAAAAAGAAGACAATTTTATATCACCTACAGATAATTAACAGGCTCTGTGTGAAAAATGAAATTAGAAATATTGAACTTAGAAATAGAGGAAAAAATGAAATATTCCTTGAAATATATCCAGGTAGTGTAGAATAACCCATGACCATATTCTGTAAGATTTTCCTTTTCCTGGCTCCCTACCCTATGTTTATATTCACCCCAAATGCACTTTTAATCACAGCTTTTTCTCCATGAGCAAGTAATTTTTTTTGAAATAAGATAATCTGTTTTGTAAGGGGTAAGTGATTGTTTTATCCAGGAAAGATGTATTTCACAATGGTATTAGAATTATGTGTAGTTTCATACTTTTGGTAACAGGAGATTTTTAGATGAATGTTCAGCCACCCCTGATTATTTATATAGCTCCCTGAAGTTTGCAGTGACATAGAATGAAGTGATAAAGAATGATGGTAAATGTCATTATGGTGTTAAGTGTATCTTTTCATATGAAATAGTGAGAAAAGCCTTGTGCATATATGAAGCTCTTGAACTATGGATGAGTAACATTAGTGTGGCTCCATTTCAATGATATTTATATACTTAAATAATGTATTCTTTTATAATATATATTATATATTAAGATAATATATATGTATTCTATCATCATATCAAGAACATAGCTCAAAAATGTTTTCAAAGAAATTGAGATTGAAAACAAGCGTTGCTGGGTGCAGTGGCTCATGCCTGTAATCCCAGCACTTTGGGAGGTCGAGGCCGGCAGATCAGTTGAACCCAGGAGTTCAAGACCAGCCTGGGCAACATGGCAAAACCCCGTCTCTACTAAAAATAAGAAAAAATCAGCTGGGTGTGGTGGCATGCACCTGTAGTCCCAGCTACTCAGGAGGCTGGGGTGGGAGAATCACCTGAGCCCAGGAAGTCAAGGCTGCAGTGAGCTGTGATCACGTCACTGCACTCCAGCCTGGTCAATGGGAGTGAGACCCTGTCTTAAGAAGAAAGAGAGAGAGAGAGAGAAAACAAAGGCAGCAATTATGCTAAGTCTCAAAAGTTCCTTTTAACTGAATGCTTAGTGTGTCCTGATATTTAACATCACTTTCCAATAATCTGAAAAAAAGTCTAGTGCTTGTTGACTCAAACTTGAACAATGTTTGCATGCTGACTGATGTGTGAGTCAGAAGGTATCCATTATCTTAATCAAAGATTCACAATTTTTTTTCTGTAAAGATCCAGAGGGTAAATATCTTGAGCATTGCAGATCATGAAGTCTCTGTCATAGCTCTTTGTCACTGAGTGCGAAAGCAGCCATAGACAATACGTAAATGAGTGAGCATGGCTGTGTTCCAATGAAAGTTTATAAAAAACAGGTGGTGGGTCAATTTGGCTTGTGGGCTGAAGTTTGTCAGCCTCCGATCTTAACTATGAAGCTTTTAAACTTAGCCTAATTGAAAAACGATTTCCATATGGCACCTAGTAGAATATGTGACTACCTGTGTATTTAGCGCTTGTGTGTGTGTGCGTGCACACACGCACACACATACACACAAGAATGAAGGTTTACATGCCTTTTTGAGATCAGTCTGGAAAAACTCCTGTACATGTAATTTTGTCTTACAGTCAATAAATATGTTCCATTTTCTAAATAAATAGTCCGATTCTCTGTGGGATTGTGGCTACCTTATCCAATTAAAGTTTATGTAGCGTTGTCATTGTTATCATTTCTCCTCTCAAGTTCATTGCATCATGATCATATGGGTTGCTTAATTATTACTCTTTAGTGGTGATGATGCTATTCACATGGACTTTTTTAATGTGGGCTGTGCAAGTTGCTTTTGTTATGAGTCATTCTCTCTTGATGTCATTAGCTGTTTTAAACTAGGCATTAATTGAAATGAAACCACAAGCTTGGTTAGATTGATTAATCGTTTCAGAACCTATTCAAAATACTTTTCTTTCTTCCCAGAAAAAGAAACTATAGTCATTTGCCCAGAAATGGGAGAGAATCATGCTTTTCCAAAGGCGAAGACTGTTTGTTTTGAAAAGTGGATTTATTGGGATGATAAATCTGGCTTGTACTATCTGCTCACCTGTTTGTCCTCGGGGGAGCTATCACTCTATTAATCCTTTTACACTGGAAATGTTGAAATGATAGACAGTTTCAAAAGTTGCACCCCCAAAAAAAGCAGATAAACATAAACAAATCTTACTCTTCTACTTTGGATATGCTTTGAATCAGCATGCTGGGGCACTTCCTTATAAGAGGAAGGCAATTAAACAAGAGCTTTGGTCTTTTGTAACCAGGTCCTGCCTTGTATTTGGGAAGCTCTGTCGTATAGAGAATCAGGCTGCAGGTCTTACCTTCTAAACTCTCAGCTTTAACTTTTCTTTCCTGTTTTTTATTTTTTTTCAAAGAAATAACTGATCTTTCCACATCTAAACTGCAGGTGCAGACAGGCACACAAAATGACACTGTCCCAAGGTCCAGGCTACTTCTTCTGGACATTTGATCTGCCAGGTCAAATTTCCAGGAGGACTGGCCCAGACAATGTCAAGATGAGAATTTCTTCCCTTACTGCTTTCTGTGCAATTGATTGCAGCATCTCTGCAAAACCACTGACATTCTCTTAACCTTAGTTTGCTTTTTTGTGAAATGAGTGAATCCCAGTACAAGGCAGCAGCAAACAAAGGTGTAAAAATCACCTGAGGCAGGAAGGCCAGAAACGAATCCCGGTGGCTTGAGGTACAGTTGTGCATTCATAAATTCCATCAGCATGTTTGGTCATGAATGTCAGTGTGACATTTCAGTCATTTAAATCATTGACGATCATGTACTTTTATGTGCAATTTGCTTCTAAAAATATGTGGGCTTTCCAGGCTTTTATTTCATAATGTTCCCTCCCTCCCCCGTCTCCGCGCCAGTGAAACAATTAGGTAATATGTTTTAGAGAATGCCTCTTCTTAGCTTGGGCCTGTTTTCTCTAAGACGTTACTAGCAGTTTGCTCATTAGCAGTGACAAGGAAATGGCACCAGAGATGCTTTCCTGAGAGGTCTCCCTGCACTGGGACCTGGAAGGTGAGCCACTGGGTGGCTGAGACCCTGGGAGTTTTAGCATGACGGCAAAGGGGAACAAGAATTTTCCTAGCCTATGATGTTTTCAAGTATCCACTCTGAAAACGATGAATTAGATGAATTCTACTTTAGGATAGGCAACACAGAGAGAAAGACAGACAGACCTTCCCCCTCCTTGCCCCCTTCCACAGAGGCAGAGGAAAGAAAGATTAGAGGCAGAGCAGCAAGGGTTCAAGAATGGAGGACAGAAAGGCAGAAGAGAAAATGGTGAGGCTGCAGTTCTCTGTTGCCCTTGGCAACACTGCATGGGGGCGGGGGTTGGCTGGTATCTTGGTACTGAGCCTGCCCTGCCCTGCCCCGGGAGGTTGTGGGATATCACATAGGGGTGGAGACCTCGCTGGGGACAGCTGAGCAGATGACAAGTCTGCACCAAGAACAAGCAAATGTTCTCTGCCGGGACACTGGCTCTATCTGTCTGGCTCCTTCCAGGACCTTTTGAACTTGTTCCCTGGGACACGGTATAGCCCGCTTGTGGCTCCTCTAGATATTTGTTTTTCCTAAGTGCATTGATCTATCAGAGTAAAAACTAGCCAAAAATAAGAATGGGGAATGAATCAATCCTCTGGACTCCTCTCTCCTCTGTGTTCCCGAGTCTCAATGGTATCAGATGGCCAGTTGCAAACATTTACTTCTGACTGAGTGCCCTGATTTCTTTAGTCTCTTATCTTCTCCCCTTCCCTCCCTCATTTCCTTATCCCTTTTCCCCTCTGCCCTCCTCTCTCCACAGCTTTGGTAAGAAATAGCCAGCCTTGAATTCAAGCATAATTGCTCGGCAGGGGGGACTTCCTTGAAAAAACCTCAAATTTTTGGGCTGTAACAGTGGAAATCTGTTTGAACCCTTGAACTTCCTTTATTGTTGAAATGACCACCTACAGAAACATGCTGGGGGAAAGTAGCAGAAGCACAGTGGTCCCTTTTATGGGAAAAACAGTAGCTGGAATTATTTCACTTTTGCAAGAATTCTGTAATGAGGAGGCATTTCTGAAGGGAGAGTATGGCACAAACATTCCACAAGTTGGAGATGTCTGGACTGAGATTGGGATATTGTAATAATCGATGTTTCTGGGCTTAGAAACAGAGTCTTCATTCTTTTTTTGACCACAAGCATAAAAGCTGGTAACTGTAGCATTTCTGTCTACTTTTGTTGCCATTTGCATGGGCTCGCTCTGGGTACTGGAGATTTTCAGGCACACAAGCTGCAATAGAAAGGCGGCTGGTATTTGCCTCTTAGAAAGTAAAGTTGGCATGCTATGATTTGTATTTTCCAACCAACAGGCTGTGTGGACTTTTTCCTCGGTTCACTCAGGCACCAGGATATCTTCCATTTATGGATGCCCTGTTCACTCAGTGTGCCAGAGAGGGCTTGTGCATGGGTGGACATACACTGATAAATCTGGGAAGTCGTTGCTTTCAGTCTCTCTCTCACCCTCATCCTCTCTCCACCCTACCCCCCAACGTTTTCATCTTAAACCAAAAATCAGAGTATGCCATTTATCTGCTTAACAAATGCCTATAACCCTCACCTATACAAGATAAAGTTCAAACTCCTTAGCAAGGTGTAGGTCTGAACCCAGCTCACTTTTCCCAACTCATCTCTTTACACTTCCCTGCTTCCCCTGGACTCCAGCACATGTGATGTGCAGGTCTCCAGATCTACCATGTTTATTTCACTTCATTGCATGTGCTGTTGCTCCTGCTGCTTAAAATACCTTTTCTTCTCTTTTTCACTGCAAACAACTCCTACTCAGACTTCCAAGCACAAGTGAAATATAACTTCCTCTGTGAAGTCTTCCCTAACTTCATCTGCTCACTCCATCCACTTTGCTGCTAAAATGTTTTCATATTTACAGATATTTCTCTTAACAGTACTTACTGCATGGGACTGTAATCAAATGTTACATGCCTGTTGCAGTCTGCTGCAAGCCTGGTGAGGGCCGGGGCCATATGGTATTCTGTTTTGGATTCTTAGGGCCCAGCATAGCACCTGGCATCTAGTAAGTGTTCAGTAAATATTTTCTGAATGAGTGGTTGGGATCCATTAGGAAAATGTAGGAGTATGTGTGTGTGTGTGTGTGTGTGTGTGTGAGAGAGAGAGAGAGAGAGAGAGACAAACTAGGGAGTGCGTGTTTTGAGTTGGAAGGCAGTTACTGCGATTGGTGTAAATTGTTATCTAGTTACAAAAGAGTCATAGTTTTCTTTCAATGAGCCTTGTAAAAGGGGGTGTTCTCTTCAAGAAATAGAAAGATAATTACATTCACCCTCTTTATTACCCTTCTGGACAAACACTTCAATATTGTTATGTGATGACACAATGCTTCTGTATTTGTGGGTCTGTGTGAATTTAAGAAAACAGAATACACACACACACACACACACACACACACAGAGTCTGAGTTTCAAAGACACAAAAACTAAGATTTTTTTTTAAATTGAAGTATTGCATACCAGGGTCAGAAATTTTTTTTCTGTAAAGGACCAGATAGTAAATACTTTAGGCTTTGTGGGACATTTAGTCTTTGTCACAGCTACTCAAAGTCTGCTGTTGTAAAGAAAAAGCAGCCATAGACAATATGTAATTTACAAGAACATATTTTTTAAAAGGTTTTTTAAAATTAACATACAAACTCTCTACATTTAAATAGTGAACATTCAGTAATGATTTTATCTGAAAAATTATTCTTTTCCTGAAACCTTTTCAATTATATAAACCATGTTAGGGTAGATAAGCAGAGCAGCAGGAGCAAATGCACTAAGATTGGGTGATTGCATCAGAACCACTTTGGTTTCATGTCATCATGTCAACCACAAAACTTGTGATAAAACTCTTCCACCTGCAAAAAGTAAAACAAAATGCAATATAAAATCCAAGTTTTTAGCAATAATTTTACTAACTTATGGCCTTCAGGGTCCATTTTGTCATTTACAGTGATTAATCATTGGCTTATCTGAGAAAGAAATTTTTTCTGCATTACTGTTCCTTATTGGCATTGTGTTAATCAGACCAATCCTAATTGGGCATTAAAGACATGTTCATAGAAGTTACAGTGTGGTCAAGATATCTGCATATTCTGTAGAATGTTCTGTGAACAGTCTAGTGACTTACATTTGGATGAGAAATAAAAGACCACGGATTTTGTGTGTCAATGTTGTACCTTTGGTTAATTTTGCTATTTTCCATTTTGTCGGTGATGGCTTCCATTTGCAGCCACATTTGGAGATGCCTCATTTTAAGCAACTCAGGTCAGGATTATGCTTGACACCCAAGAGCATGTTCATGAAAGAACTTCAAAAATTGCAAAGTCCTGGAAAAGCATAGGCTTCATTTTTATTATTTATCATGAAGCTGCTCAAATCTCCTCTTAAGCATGAAGCCTGATATTTTCACTGCAGAATATTTGGAAGGTGCTGTCCTTGTCCATCAAGGACTCTTTCCAACAAAACCAAGTAGCAAGACATTAATGCAAAAAGAGAAGGTAAACAATGAGCTAGATGGCAAATGTATGTGTGAATGCCTTAATGTTATGAGAGAGCAAGATGGTGCATTCAGAGAACTCATTCATTCTCTGAATGTTGGAGACGTTTTACTATTGCTTACTTAAAAATAGGCTAGAAGTCTAGAGATAACCTCTTCATCATCCTGAAATGGACTGGCCCCTCTGGGTAATTTCCTCCTACATTTCTGGGAGAAATTTTACAACTACAGTTTCTTCAGCTGGGCCTACCTGGAGAATGTCCCCAGCGGTCCCAAATCTAATCTGTCAAAACAGGATAGTTTCTTTCTCCTCATTCTTGGCTGCCTTCAATCCAATGCCAAGGAGGCCAGAAATTCCCTCAACTTCTTACAGGTTCGGGCTACTTTGCAGAAAAGATAAATCTCTATTATCTGAGGATTTGTGCATCCTCAAATCTCTATGTGGCGTTAGAGCCTATGACATTTTTTTTTGCAAAGACCTGGTGCAATGGTCCTTCCCAGTGCATTTTCACAAGGCTTCTCTTTGTGATGATGTTTATTCAGCCCATTTAATTTGGAAGTGAAGGAAAGAGGAGAAATGAAAAGAAACTGTGGGCACGAGAGAGTCAAAGAATGAATAAGGAAAACTAAGGGACGGAGGAAAAGAAGAAGGAAAAGAAAGAACAGCTCTAACAGCAAAGAGCAAGTAGAGGAGAATATTGATGTCAGGCTGGAGACTGATAAACGTTAAGTTTCACAGCTAAGGCTCTCAGAGCAGAGACCACTCCTTCCTTCTCTTGTGTATGTATTTGTGGATAGAACCAAAAAGGAATGGGATTATTCTGCTGTAGATATTCTTGTCGCAGTTTTATCTTAGTGTCTTTATAGTTTAACATATATCCTTTCCTTTTATTAAATGCATCGTAAAATCAGCAAGCTTTGCTATAGACTTTCATAAACAGAATTTTCCCTTTTTGGTATGGAGCCTGGAAATCTGAAGGACATGGTACTGCTTACGGGCAGATCATTTGTTTAAACTCTTCAACGGCCTGCCGTCAGCACCAGGAACATTTTTAAATCGGGTTCTGAGCTGTTAATCTTTGGTTTGCACTAAAATTCTCAATTGAAACATTTTTCTTTTTCAAGTGGACCTTCTGAATCTGGACATAAACTTCTACCGTCTAGTGTGTTTCTCAGAATAGGAACATTTAAAGAAAGCTTTTGGGTGACTGCTATTTCTGGATTGAAGTGAGAACAAAAATGTAGACAAAATGCACATGTAGACAACATGAAAAAAATAACTGTTGTCTTTAATGCTGTGGGAAGCCTGGGTGGTATTTGCCCTGAATTGTGTCAATTTATGTAATATTGCTTAAACTTGGTCTGCTGCTTGAAGAACCATATATGTGCCCATGTGTGCATATATATGATAGAAAGAGAGAATATTTCTAGATTTAGTGTATAAAGAATAATGGCCTAGAAGTTCTAGAAAGTGCGAATCCATTAGTCATGGCCGTGAATCGCCCACCTCAAGGATCTGTTGCCAACCAACTGTAAGGTATGTACCATGAAAAGCTAAAATTGTTTCCTGATATCACTTTAAAAGGTAAGGTATATGATAGCTTCTTTTCTAGAAAGTCATAATTTTGAATTATCAAAGTGCCTTGCTTATAAATACTTTTGGAATAAGTAATTCTGTCTTTCCTAATATTTCTAGATATTGGGAGCAAATTCGTGTTTACCTTATGTGTATCCCTCATGGATTTTTCCATTTCCATTGTATTAACTGTGACTTTCTTCAGCAAATCTGGTGGTTGTAGATTTATTTTAATTCTCCGTGCCATAGTATTCTACCTCAGCATGCAATCTGCTGATTCCTTCCCCTTTCTAAAATGAGCTTGCATTTTAATTTTTAAAATTAGTATTAACCAGGTAATAAATATTAACTGAGTACCGACTATGAACCTGACTCTGAGAAATGTCATAATGAGATATTTAATGACAACAGTTTGAGAAGCTAAAAAATAATTTGCCAAAGCATATAATTTATTTGCTAGTGCTTTGTTCATTCATCCATTCACCCATTAACCTGACTTCCATCTTCTTATTCCCTATCTGCTCATCCGTCCACCCCTGCACCCATGCACTTATCCAAGAATCCATTCATTAATTTATTCACTCATCCATTTATTCACACACTCATCCACCCATCCACCCATCTATGAATCCACCCGTCAATTCATTCTTCCATCCACTCACTTACTGAACTATCCATGTACCCATCCACCCATCTATTCATCCACTCATCCATTCTTGCACCCATCTACCCATCTACTCATTCACCCATCCACCAGTCCACCCATCCATTCAGCCACCCATCCACACTTCCACCCATTCACTTGTCCATTCATCCATCCATCTGTCGTTCACCAGACAGATGCTGAAGGCCTTTGATGGTCTTGCACTTATCTTGGCATTTTAAATATAAAGTTGGCAAAGTAGTTCCTGTCTTCTTAAAGCTCAAAATCCAAGCAAGGAGACAGACCACATAAAAAATATTTGTAAATATTTTGAACTTCTTTATAGAAAAGCAGTCTTCAACCTCACAGTGGCCTAATCTCAGTAAATGTGTATTGGCATTCTTTAATAGTTATCATTAAAAAAATACTAAGTTCTCCTTTGGCAACTGTATATTGTTTTCCTGCATTCTTCTGACTTCTTACTTAGAGTTATAATATTTTTATAATGATCTGTAATGGTATGCTTTTAAAATGGAAATAAGAAATATAGAGACAGGTGTTACATGAAGGGGGCTACTAAAATGTAGGAATTCATTTGGGGGACAGATGAGAATTTACTGGTTTTAAAAGTACTTGCCATCTTTTTTTTTTCAGTAGCAGGAAACTAATGATTTCTTTTTATTCTTGGGAGGGAGAGGGCAGGGGTGGTTTCTTAATTATGAAGTGCAATTGTTTAGATTTTTAAGTAGTGTTATTCCTGTTATGAGCTGCCCAGGCAGCCACATCAAAAGCAGCTCTACGTGTGTGTGTGTGTGTGTGCGCGCACACACACACACACACGCCAGCCTGGATTGTGGAGACAGACCTGGTCTCTCAGACCTGGATTTAATTTCATTGCTTGAAGGAGAAATAAGTTGGTGTGTTCTTTCTGGCGGAGAGTCATTTTTTCCTGCCTTGTTTTCTAGCTTTCAAGTCTGTATTTGCATTTTAATTAAGAAAGAAGACAACTGTTGGAAATGAAATTTGGATGAAAGCTGTGAATATTTATCATTTGAACAAGTGGTGTTAACATAAGTCTACCTGTTGAAAACAATGGTTTTAAACTTTTATACTGTGGCTGATTTTTTCTTTTTTGTACTTTTTGTTTATTTTATTTTATTTTATTTTTGAGACAGAGTCTTGCTCTGTCGCCCATGCTGGAGTGCAGTGGTGTGATCTTGGCTTACTGCAACCTCTGCCTCCCAGGTTCAAGCAATTCTCCTGCCTCAGCCTCCCAAGTAGCTGGGATTACAGCTGTGCGCCACCACACCTGGCTAATTTTTGTATTTTTAGTAGAGACAGGGTTTCACCATGTTGGCCAGGCTGGTCTTGAACTCCTGACCTCAGGTGATCCGCCCACCTCAGCTTCCCAAAGTGCTAGGATTACAGGCGTGAGCCACCGCGCCCGGCCTCTACTTTTTATTTTTAATTAATGTTTTCCTTTTCAAAAAATGAGATATAACTGACATACAGTAATGTGAATAAATCTTAAGTGTATGGCTTGACAAATTTTGATGTGTGTACACATCTATGGGACCACAAATCAGATACAGATATAGAACATTTCCAGTGATCCAAAAAGTTCCTTCATGCACCTTTTTCAGTCAATACTCATACCTCGCCTTTCACAACAGTAACTACTATTCAGACCTCTGTTATCATAGATTTATTTTGTTTGTTTTTGAACTTCATATAAATGGAATCGTACAATAATAATATGTATCTTTTGTGTTGGGTTCTTTTGATCAATATTATGCCTATGAGACTTCTAAAGTAAATAAACCTTATGCTTTTATTCACAGACTGGGGTAACAAAACTATCAGGATTCTACTTAGGTTCTAAAAAAGTGGAATTGCTAACTGAGTTGTTGTTAGTTGGGTTTGTCTGACTTTGTTTTGGCAACAGGAGTTGGTCCCAGTGATAGGGCAGCTAATGATTCAATCCATCAATCTATAGGTTTTTATCGAAAACCCTCTATATGCTTAGCATGTGTCTCTTCTCGATGGTTCTTTTCAAATCCAGGGTTTCCCACCCTCAGCACTACTGACATTTGGGGCTGGATCATTCTTTGCTGTGGAGCTGTCTGTGCACTGTAGGATGTTTAGCCACACCCCTGTTCTCCACTCACTGGGTACCAGTGGTATCTACTCCTCTTTTGTCCAGTTATGACACCAAAAATGTTTTCAGATATTGCCAATATCCCTGGTGAGGCAAAATTACCCTCAGTTGAGAGTCACTGTCATAAACCTACTGCCACTGCTTTCTACATTTTATTTCACAAACTTTTTTGGGTACTTTCTGATAAGAAGAACCTATGAGACACTTTGGACGAGTAGGGAAGGTGGGCTCCAAGTTCTTTATTTGTTATGTACTTGGTTGAGTGAAGCACACAGTTTTCATTTCTAGGGGTGGGTAATATTATGAAAAAAAGGTAGAAATTGGTAAGATTTGATGATAGCTACTGACAGGGTAACTGGGTCAAACTTCAAAGTGGCAATTCTGAAAATGCACTAGCAGTCTGAATCTCCAAGTGATTTTTAGACGTTTTGAAAAATCCAAGAAATTCTAAGACCACCACAGTTTGGAACCATGCCTTGAGTAATAGGCCTGGGATAGACATGAAATTCCTACACTGCATTTAATTAGGAGGTTTTGATCAGGGTTCCAACTGGCATTTGCAGCTGATGTTTGATTAAGAGAAAGTCCTGTCTCAAAATATGAGAAAACTTGAATAATAAAAGCACTGTGCCAATGGCTTTTCATGTATTTGTTTAGAACCTGCCTTGGTTCCAGGAAGGATTTAATGTGGATTTCTATCATTGCATGTGCTGTCTTCATCAATGGTTTAAAATATCAACCAGGGTGAAGATATAAGAGAGGAATATCGAATCATTGCTTAGAAGAAGACTTGAGCAGGCATCTCCTCCTCCTCCATCTAAGCTTCAAAAGAGGCCTCCCCTAACCAGACAGTCCAGTGAGATAATGAATTAATTAGAGACTTGGAAGGGTTAGCATGAGAGCCTTGTCTGTCTTGCCTCTGGCCCTCTGTCTGCTCGGCTAGATCCTGGTTAGGAGCTTTTGGCAGTCCTCAGGTTGGGGATGAGATACCTTGGCAGGCTTGAGTGGGCATCAAAGACACCAGGAAGGATCCCAGCCCAGTTTCTGGCAATTCTATCTGTCACTGGGTTTTATGCCTGTGTTCAAAATATTCCATTTCTCCATCTGTAAAATGGAGATAATCCTTCCTCACCTTGCAGGGATGTTGGGAGGATTAATTAGCTAGTGTTCCTCAAGTGCTTTGAAGATGAAAAGGCTTGTGGAAGTGCTAAGTATTAAGGCAAGGCAGCGAATGCCTGCTGGAAGTGCTCTTCCTTTCCTCATCCTCTTGTCAGCAGTTGTGTTTCTCTTGCCTTTTCTGCATATTTCACAGACCAAAGTGCTGGCATGGTAGGTAGGACAATGCATGGATCAGCACAGAACAAAGACAGTAATGCCTTATTTTATGCCTTGCTACTAACTTGGCTTATCAGTTGGCATGACCTCTGAAGATCTTTTTGCTCTGAATGTTTTAATCATCAAGTTCTGGTGGTTATCCAAGGTGATCCTAATCTACTTTGGGGTGGAGGGAGGAAGTGGTGTCAGGAGAGATCAAACCAGGCCACCTTGAGCTGAAAGCTCTGAAGGAGAAGGATTCCTTGAAATGGAGGTAATTTTTGAATTATAATAAGTGAGAAGACTGCAAGGGAGACAAGCTGAGGGACAAATGCTCTGTGCTTTTCTCCTCACTTTCACAAACAGGAGGAGAACTTCCACTGACCTAGCAGTAGTTTGCTCCTCCAGGCTGTCATGTCTTCTGATCATGTCTTTTATGAGGTGAATTTCTCCTCATGAAAGACTAGACTTTAAGGAGAGATTCTGTGCAGGTCCCTACAGTGTGGAGATGGATTGATTGGGCCTACAGATTGCAGCTAATCAATTCATCCTTTGCTTCCCAAAGGTTTATGCATTTGGGTGGAGTTCACAATGAGTGGTCTGGGTGCAGGGCCGTGTGGAGAAGCATGTCCACCGCTCTTGCCCCGGTGGCTTCTTTAGATAATCTTGCAATCTTCACAGGTTCTTTTCTAGGTATGTTATTGTTTGGAATAACTCCCTTGAGTTTGGAAGAAGAAAAGGAATAGTACCAGGTTTACTCAATCATTTGTTAGTTTGCTTGTTATCTTAAAAAATTCTATAAAATTCTTTTGAGAAGTTTCTCTGCTCATTGATCTTGAAAATCTCCTTGCTTTAGAGAATGGATGTGCTCCTCATATGCTAAGGATAAACCAGATTTTGGTAAATCAGGTTATCTTAGGGGTCCCAGGTGAGTTTGCCATTTTAACGATGCTTAGAGTGAATCCTTGTATAAGGGAAAGTATCTTGTATATTCTGTATCCTTTAGGAACTCACGTCTGTTGACTTTATCAGATGTTGGGGTGGTGGTGAGGCTAAAGACCAATAGGCGACATATGGCAGGATCTTCCCTCCAAGTGACCCTCTGGAAAGGGCTATACTTACTTAATTTTGGTGGAGCTCATCATAGGGTCAGGAAACCAGGGAGAAAGCTGAGCAACTGGTATTTATAGATCTTTCTCTTTAAATCAGGTTTGCTCATGATTTGTCTGGTCTTTATTCTTCTCCATGTCTGAAACTGAGTTCCTTGGATTCCCTTCTCTTCAAAGCCCTCTTGGCAACCTTCTGAGGAATGGCAGAGTTCATTCTGATCCACGTCCGGTGAGCGTAGCTCAACCGTGATGGAGCTTGACCTGTCAAATTCACAGAAAAATGTCCGTTACATATTCCAGCTGTTCCTTAAACATGCTCCCTAAGAGCTAGTTCCATTTGTTAGCTGTCAGAACGATGTGGAGGAATTGCTCCAGACCCTTGGATGTCATCAACCACTTTTGTTTATACACCAGTTATTTTCTCTATTAGCAAATCAATGTTTGGCAAAAAGAAAGCACAGGCTAAGAACTTTTCCTGATGAGTTGCTGCCCCAGCCTTGGAACTCTTCTCAGCCAAAAAAAAAAAAAAAAAAAAAAAAAAAAAAAAAAAAAAAAAAAAAAAAAGAAAGAAAGAAAGAAAGAAAGAAATTGAGGAGGAATTCAGTTTTACATGTTTTCCTTCCTGCTTACATGAACAGAGGAGGCCTACCTGAAGCTGAATCCAAGCACTGCCTTTGACGTTGGTAAAGATGGGGCTCTGAGCTCACATATCACCTTGGAAACTGGATCCTGTTACTGCTGGGAAAGGAATGCTTGGTTGCCAAAAGCATTAAGATAGGGAATGTGGATTCCACCTCTCAGTGCTCCTGCCTTGGATCAATTAGGTAGGATACTACCCAGAGATACAGACATGATGGACCAAGTAACTTCTCCAAACTTTGATTCTCTCTGGATCCCATGGATATGGGAACTGTGATGTCCAGGAGATCCAGAGAGAATCAGAGTTTCAGTGAGTGAAACCTAGAGTGTGTGCTGCTAGGATTTTCCTCATAAACCTGGGTGTTTTATTCTTGTGGGCCAGAAAGTTATTTCATTCCTAAACCCGTGATGTAGACTTCTCAGAAATTCCAGTGGTGTGGAGGATCCAGCTTCTATCAGCTCACAAGAGCTGATTGCACATATCTCTCCCCAACTGCTGTTCAGTGGCATCAAGTTGGTAGCTTGAAATCTGCCATGATGAGAGTATTTACACTATAGAAATTGGCAAATATGGCAAATAAGGGTCCCCACCACCCATGCTTGTGAAACATCTTCCAGCACACCAAGGAAATTATCCTAACACGTAACATCACTTATGGGGGCTGTTTAGCTTCAGGGGAGGAAATCCCCTTTGCTCTGATCTCATTGTGTGTACCTGCTTTGCATAGGCAGACTACCCCTTGTTCTCTCATCTATTAAACTCGACCTGAGAGAGAGCTTCATGAGATGGGTTGTGTGACAGGAGATCACTAGGGTAATGAGTCTGTTCCTTTCGCTGCTCAGCTATATGACAGGTTATTTTACCTCTCTAGGCCTCAGCTTCCTCTTCACTATAATAAAAGTAATTTAGATCATTAAATAATTGCTAAGTTTCCTTGTAGCTTCGACATTCTGCAATTTGATGAGTGCTTGGCTGCTGGAAAATGTCATGTGTTTCAAAGGCTTGGGGCACATGCACATCATTCACAGTGACCAGCTGAGCTCTCTCATTTTCTTTCTGGATCTTGGACTCCCAGTAATTCTACTTTTATCTGGACTTCTATCTTCAGCATGAATGAGCAGGGTGCCTCTAAGTGAGAAGCATAATTGATTAGTTCCTTCCATCTGGGGGTGTCAAAGCACTTTCAAGTCAGTAGTCAGTATCCATCATGGTTGCTCTGCAGGGAAGACTGCCTGAGAGTGCCTGTTTTGCAAGGGACATATCACAGTGGTGGACCAAGGACCCAGAATTATTGACTTGTCTTTTAATCAGAAAAGGGGCTACTTCCTGGTCTTAAAGAAGTTCCAGCTTTGAGATTAATCTGCTGTCTATAACCCCAGATCACTTGGCATGCTCGGCCTGGCTGACCTGCTGACAGAACTTGATATATTTCCCATCTCTCTGACATGGAGATAAACCTGAATAGGATTTTGCTAGTTCAGAGGATTTGGGGATACATGTTTAGGTAAAGTTTTCCTATAAAATTCCTTAAAAGAGGTGTGGTGTGGGTTTTTGTTGGGAATTGAGGCTACACTTAATGGAATGTGGAAGAGACCAAATCCACCTTTATGGGGTGCCTGGATGGAAAAGGTGTACTGATAGGAAGTTGGGACTGACCACAGACTTGGGCTGCTTTGTGATTTTGCTTACAGTCTTGCCAAGACCTAGCATCTGCCAAAATACGTGTCTCTGGGCCCTCTCTACCGAAATGTACACATTGACATGCACCAACTCATGCCGCTGTTGTTATGATTGTGTTTATGAAGCCATTTACTCTTGAATCAAGAACCTGAGTGACTTGCTGAGTGTTTGTAGGTTTATTGTCCACTCTGCCAGCTGACTGGGCTGTGTGTGTTCAATGGCTGAAGCCATGATTCCCACAGCTGAAGGTTTGGTCCATTGAGTCTGCCACCATAAAGCACAAGCTATGTGAAGGGCTGGAAAAGAAATAAATTCTTCTGGGATTAACTCCAAAGCAGAAGTACAGTTCTGTCTTGCACAGATAATAGAGGCTGGGTTCAAACTTCTTGGGGTCAGACTGCCAGCTGTGACCCACATTGGAGGTCTACCATCTTTTCTTGTTGGAATACTTCCTAAGAATATATTTTTTAAAAAATCAAGCACCCCTTGTGTATTTTACATTTGATATCTGAATTTTCTAATCGTAAGTTGAATTCATCACAAAAGTATATTTTCCAGCACATTGTGTATTCTCACAGCTCAAAGTCTGATGCACGGGTCAGCAACATCAGCATCCCCTGGCAGCTTGTTAGAAATGCAGAATCTTGGGTCTCTCTCCAGCCCCACTAAATCAGAATAAGCATTTTAATAAGATTCCCAGGTGATTCACATGCACATTTAAGTCTGAGGAGCACTGGTGTATATCATATACATGCTTTAAGTATATCTTCATTAAAACCTTTCAATTTATGAAAAAATTATTAGATCAGGGTACGTGACCTAACTGCAAAGTCATTTCTTATTGTCAAACCATCAGCCAAGCCAGATTAACTTTTAGTCAGTATAAAGAAAGGGGTTTCTTCATTGATTCAGGTGAATGTGTTAACATGTGTACTTGGCCAATCTTCATCCTTCTGAGTTCTGGTTTTAGGATAAGTAGGCAGCTGGCTGGCCAGATAGATATATAAGGCACAAAGCTGTGCTATGAATTTGTTGCCTGAATAAAATATGGCACTGTGGCCTTCAAATTTTTTTGAAATGTTCTTTCTTTGCCCTGGGAATTTTCCTTCTAAAGTGATGCTGACTCAAATGATACCTCGGTTTGGGGCTGGGGAGATTTTTACTCCTTAGGAAAATGCATCCTCATAAGATTGAGAATAGGTGGGCAATTTCCCTTTCTTTATTAAAGGAGGAGGAAGGCAGCTGTGAAAAAGGGAATATGGAGAAGCAGAGCTGCCACAGAGATGGCAGGTCAGCTTTGGGAGGCATGCATATGGAAGCAGAAAATATGGAAACTGAATCTCTTAAAGCTATCCATATACCTACATACTGCCAGAAAGTCTCTGGGGACCCCAGTGGTAGGTGAGCCCAAGTTTAAGAAAGTTGAGTTGGAGAATCAATTAATGCCCTTTTGGAACTTCCTGGTTTCCAGCCTTTTTATCTCCTTGAATGCACATGTCTCTCTCTCTCTCTCTTTCTCTCTCTGTGTGTGTGTGTTTATAAATAAGAGTCATTAAGCCCCAATTCACCACAACCAAAGCTTTTGCCTGTTCCCTCATCTCCTCTTGAATTCCAACTGCAATTAAATTTATCAAATATTTATTTAATCCAACTGCGCATCAGGCACTACACCAGGCATTGGTGATGTTGAGATGACCAATGGAGACAACAATAGTCATTGTTGATAACGAAGACGCACACACTTGTGGAATTCTATAGAGATTTTCAGAAGAAGGGATGGCAAGCAACTTCCAATGTTATCCTTGGAAATCAACTCCTTATTAGGGGGGAAGTTCCTAAAGAAAGGATAATGAAGTCTGCTAAAGAAAAGATGCATCTGCCTGTGTGTACTGGGGGATGTGTGTGTGTGTGTGTGTGTGTGTGTGTGTGTGCACACGTGCGCGCGCGCTATACAGATCAAACCATTGCAGACCTGCAATGTTTTCCAAGTGCTTTAATGTTTAATTCTCTTTGATTTGATCCACGGCGTCATCAAGTATTCCTGCGGGCAATTCCAAGGTGTCTGAGGACCCTTGCTGGGTATCAAAATCCAGTAAGACCTTTGGAGAAATTGAAGAAGGGGAACTTTATTGGTTTTTAGGCCAGTCTTATAATTTAATTCTGTTTTTTGTCTGAAACACACATGCACGGAATCTTTTATCGTCTGTTAGGCATGTGTCCTACCAATCACAAGACTTAAGATGAGAAAAATAAGCAAATGTTTGATGGAGAGAAAACAGCCGTTGGAATCCTGTGGCTGTTCCCACACTGGGGGGATCAGGCAAACCCAGGATCCATGCATTAGAAAAGAATGGTGCAGAGAGAGCTATTGTCCCCTTTGAGCTGTGGCCCATAGTAAATTGTTGACTCTGATCCTAGGGTCAGGTTATTGCTGAGTTGCTGTTAGCATTAATAATTATATAATGGCCTTCCCATTTTTCTACCCCATGTGGATCATTTTGGGTGTTTGTGGTGAGAATGTTCTCTAGGTGGCATCACGGAACTTCTCACCAGTGCTGTTTGGGGGACCCTTGGGCCCAGTCTCCTCCTTCCATGCCTGACATTGCAGCTTGACCTACAGCACTTGCTGCCTTTTCCCCCTCACTGTAACCACTTTGGTTAACTTGGCTGAAGGCTGCAAGCCTCATGAAAGAGGTTCATGGCTATGAACACCCAAAATGATCTCAGATTCAGATTATGCACATATTTTTCCTTCCTTCCTTCCTTCCTTCCTTCCTTCCTTCCTTCCTTTCCTCCATCCCTCCCTCCCTCCCTGCCTTCCTTCCTTCTTTCTCCTTCCTTCCCTTCTTCCTTCCCTTCTTTCCCTCCCCTCCCTCCCTTCCTTCCTTGCTTCCTTCCTTCCTTCCCTCCCTCCCTCCCTCCCCTCTTTCTTTTTCTTTCTTTCTTTCTTTCTTTCTTTCTTTCTTTCTTTCTTTCTTTCTTTCTTTCCTTTCTTTCTTTCTTTTTCTTCTCTTTCTTTCTTTCTTTTTCTTCTTTCTTTCTTTCCTTCTTTCTTTCTTTTTTCTTTCTTTCTCCTTTCTTTCTCCTTCCTTCCTTCCTTCCTTTCTTTCTCTCTCTCTCTTTCTTTCCTTATTTATTGGGTGCTAAACATTTATAGCGTAAAATGTTTATTTTAAAAAACATTTAAAAATAACAGCTTTATTAAGATATAGTTCACCCATTTAAAGCGTACAGTTTAGTGGTTTTTAGTGTATTCACACAGTTGTGTAGCCATTACTACATCCATTTGTAGTCACTCCCCATTTACTCCTCCCCGCAGCCTCTGACAACCACCGATGTACTTTTTGTTTTCAAAGATTTGCCTATTCTGGACATTTCATATAAATGCAGTCACACAATATGTGATCCTTGGTGTCTGACTTCTTTCCCTTAGCATGATGTTTTCAAGGTTCATTTATGTTGTAGCATGTATCAGTATTTCATTCCTTTTTATGGATTAAATACATTCCATTCTATGGATATACTACATTTTATTTGTCCATTTATTCATTGATGGACATTTGAGCTGTTCCCACCTTTTTGCTATTATGAATAGTGATGCTATGAATATTTGTGTGCAAGTCTTTGTGTGGACATATGTTCTCATTTCTTCTCTTATATACCTAAGGAGTGGAATTTCTGGGTCATATGATAACTCCATGTTTAACCCTTGGAGGAATAGATTATGCATTTTTGACTTGTTATTGTCCCATGAGGTCTGAAGTTAGGAAAGGTAGGGAGAATAACTTCTTATGGGGTAGACATCAATGGATCTCAGCAGTGCCCAGGCTGGCAGTGCCATTTTTATGAGTGTAACAAGTTTATCTTCTTCAGCCCTTTGAGGCCTCATTTTCCAGAGACTACTGGCCCTCCTGGGTCTGTGACCCTGGCCAGAACTAGGATTTTTTATTTTTAACCTCTCATAAGGGATTCCTACGAAATATGACCCACTAGAGTGCTTGGTGGACTGTCAACTCTGTATCTGTGGGGAACAAAATCCAGCTGTTCAGCTTGGTTAGCTGCTGTCTCATCTGGAACTGCCTTTCCTAGGTTTATTTCCCCAAACAATGGCCCAAGTTGTAGGCTTGTGGTTGCCAGCCCCCTTTAATTTGGTCCTTAGTTGCATAGTCTGTTATTTGTGCTGTGACTGGCTGTGATTGAAGGGGTATGCTTTTTCCTAAACTCAACAGTGTAGTAAGATGCTTGGTGGACTCCAATAATTCATCTATCCCATGGAGAATGTGAGGAGTGTGTGTAGTGATGGTGAGGGGCATGGCACACTGAGGGGAAAGTACCTTTAAAACAGAATACTGAATTTAATATCAGATCAGGCTGATGTTAAACCTCTGCTTTCCATATGAGAACACTTTCCCAGGGGATTTAATTGTAAAATGACAAAAGGGTCTTAGTGCAATTTCACTGACAAATGGCCTTCTGGTGTGGATTTCCATGACGCAAGCAGAGCCAACTAAGAGCTTCGTCACTTATGTTCCTGGAGCACATAGAACAATTTTCTCCCATTTTGTTGAACTTACTTGAACTTGGGGTAGAATACCTCCCTGGACTTATACTACCAGCAGGTTTAGGCTCCCAGTTTCATTTATGTGTCTTCATCCCATGTATAGCAGTGGCTCCCACCATTGGCAAAGACTGAACTTGAAATGCCTTGCTCTGGAATTCAAGACCATCCGTGATTTAGAGTATAGTGGATAAGGATGACAGCTATGAAGCTACACTACCCAGGGGGTAAACACAGCTTTGTGTGACCCTGGACAAACAATTTAACTTTTCTAATCTGTGGAATAGAAATAAGAATACTACCTACCTCATGTGGTTGTTGGGAGGATTAAATAGGTTGACAAATGTAATATATTAGAAAGGTGCTTAGTCAGTGCTTAGCTGTGTTTGTTGTTATTCTTATCCTATGTTCTGTCCACTCATGGCTGTTGGCCCTGCTCAGATACCATCTCTTCTATGAAGCTGTGCCTGAGTGTGTCTTCCTTACTGCTTTGTACACAGTACCAAACATAGTGCCTAGCATGTAATAGATACTCAATAAATATTTGTTGAATGAACAATGAATGAATATTTGTTGAATGAATGCATTTTCCCACTTGGGAGCAATCCACTCTTCCTCTATGCTTTTATATCACTTTGCCTCTACCTCGTTTTATGGAGTTTTCTACATTTAACCTTTATTTTAGCTAATTATGCTTTAGATGCAACCCCTTCTCCAGAAGGTCAGCCCTTGGATAATAGTGCCTGGGTCAATTGTTTTGGTATTTCCTGTTAGGACTTGCATGGAGGGCAATAAATATTTGGTAAATAATTCATCCCCTTTGGAAACAATGTTCTTAAACCATTAAATTGCTAGGTGTTTTTTTTTTTTAATTAACCGAACACAAACACAGAGACATATGCATGCAGAGACAGTATCCCTCTAACAATTTCATGACATGTTGCCTTCTTTTTTGTTTTCCTAAAGGAAGTGATAAAGGTAAAAGTTGAAGAGGTGGGCGACAGTGGGAGCCAGAGACTCAAAATAAATAAAAATGTGAGTTCAGTTCAAAGAACAGGTTGATATTAAAGTTTTATTGGAGTTCAACAATTTCAGAAAATACATAGGTTTCATTCTTCTTTGAATTCCTTCAAATGTTATTTTTGCTCCCCCTTTTTTTTTTGAGACGGAGTCTCGCTCTGTTGCCCAGGCTGGAGTTCAGTGGCGCAATCTCGGCTCACTGCAAGCTCTCCCTCCCAGGTTCACGCCATTCTCCTGCCTCAGCCTCCCGAGTAGCTGGGACTACAGGCGCCCGCCACCACGCCCGGCTACTTTTTTTTTTTTTTTTTTTTTTTTTTGTATTTTTAGTAGAGACGGGGTTTCACCATGTTAGCCAGGATGGTCTTGATCTCCTGACATTGTGATCTGCCCACCTCGGCCTCCCATAGTGCTCCCCCTTTTAAATAAAAGCTCACAAAGCCCCTTGGTTGTCTGAAAAATAATGGAATATTTGACTTGAGTTCTGGGATTGGAAGCTAGTCACTGTTGCTGTGCTTCTTTGGTTCATAGCTGGAAATGCTGTGGTTGTCTAGTGGGGAGCTGGGCCTGCCTATTCTAGGGCATGGCTGGTTAGAGAGAATGAGAAGTCACTTGGCTGGTGGTCCAACAGATCAGAGCAGAGTTAGTCCACACACAGGCCAGGCTCCTTCCTGGATGCCTAGAGGAAAGGTGGCAGGTCAAAGGGAGATGGATGCCAACTGGCACCTGAAAGGATCCCTGCACTTGGTTTAGGATCAGATAACATTTGACCAAACTGGAAAGTAGAGAAGTAAGTTTTACTGAACTCTTTCACACATATTCTAGGGGAAGAAGCTGTGTGCCTGAAAAACAGGAATATGGAGTGGTTCAAGGTGATTTTTCTTCACTTTGACCTTTGAATTTATGGATTATATGTACCCTGAAGTTTTGGTAAATTGGTGCAGTTTTAAAAAATGTATATTATCCACGATAAACTAACTTCTACAACATCCCCAAACCTCAGTGACTTAACCCAATAAGTGTTATTTCCCACTCATACCAATGTGGGCTAGCAGCGGGTGGAGAAGGGTGCTAGGCTACATATGGTCACTCAAGAACCCAGGCTTCTTCCATCTTGTGGCTTCATTCTCTCTCGGGCCTTGGAGTCCTCCACTGGATGTCGAATTCAGCCAGCAGCCCAAGGATGAGAGCAAGTGAGTGTAGGGGAGTGCAAAGGCAGTTTTTATGGGCTTTGCCTGGAAATGGCATTTATCACTTCCATCCACATTCCACTTGGCAGCCTTAGGCCACACCTAGTCACAGGGAGTTTGGAAGCTGTGGTCTAGCAGTGTGTCCAGAGGAAAGGCAAATGGTTTGGTGGAAAACTAGTCAATCTCTGCCAGAAAAACTCAACTGGAAACTTCCCCTCTCAGTTGGCGTAAGGAGAAACAGAATATTTTACTGTAGTTTAGAAAATGCTTGATTCAAAAATTGCTACCAATGTGTCCTGGGGAAAGACCCAGTGCTGAAGACACCAAGCACATTCATTCATTCAAACAATTTTTTTTTTTTTTTTTTTTTGGACAGAGTCTTGCTCTGTCACCCAGGCTGGAGTGCAGTGGCGCGATCTTGGTTCACTGCAAGCTCCGCCTCCCGGGTTCACGCCATTCTTCTGCCTCAGCCTCCTGGGTAGCTGGGACTACAGGTGCCCACCACCACGCCCAGCTAATTTTTTGTATTTTTAGTAGAGACGGGGTTTCACTGTGTTAACCAGGATGGTCTCAATCTCCTGATCTCGTGATCCACCTGCCTTGGCCTCCCAAAGTGCTGGGATTATAGCCGTGAGCCACCACGCCCGGCCTCAAACAATTTTTTATTAAGCACCTACTCTGGCCCAGGCATTAGGTTGGGTGTGAGGGCCTTGATGGCAAGCAATACCCAGAAGCAGCTCCTGCCTTCTTGGAGCTGGCATCTGTTGGAAGCCAGGCAATTGAATGAACAAATTCCATATACTATGAGGGCAATGTGAGGAAAACTAGGGGTGTTATGGAAGCTCATAGCTGGAGCCCTGGGCCAGGCTGGGAGAGCCAGAGAAGCTTCTAGAAAGAAGTGACATTTCCACTGACACCCAAAAGGAGGCATATGAAGAGTTCATCAGCTGAAGGAAGGCAGGGCAGTGGATATGTGCCAGGCAGAGGGAAAAGCTCAGTGGTTTTCGGCCTTGACTGTACTTTGGAGCCACATGAGGTAGACTGGGCCAATTAACTCAGAATCTTGGGTGGGGTGAGGGATGGCAGAGTAGGTCCAGATATCAGTTTTGTTTGGTTTTAAAAGAAACTTTCCAGGTGATCCTGATGTGCAACCAGGGTCAAGAGTCATTAGAATGGCAGGCTCAAAGAGAGGCCAGGAGGAGTAAAGCACCTAGCTGTTATGTGAGAGACTGAAGGCTTTCCAGGTTGCTGAAGGCATCCCAAAGTGAGATGTGGCATGGGATGGGTGGGGAGCAGGGCAAAAGGGGGAAAATGGTTCATTGAGGAGAAGCCACTTCCCAGGCACTCTTTCCTGTGTGTGGAGACAGGGATCCTTTTTCCCCAGAGCTCCAAGCCTGGTGGGCCTTCACAAGCAGTGAGGTTCTGCCTGCGGGCTCTAATTATCTCCTCCCCTGCCCTTGGTGATTTGGGGAGGGAAAGACAAGCACAAGGATTGGGAATGTGAAAACCTGCCTCTCCGTCTGAGTTCTTAAGCAGAAAAGGGCCAAAGGGCAAGCCCTGCTCCAGAGTTGCTGTTGTTTGTGTTTCACTGGGGTTGGGCAAGTTGCAGCATCAGAATTGTCAGCTTATGGTTCAGCAGGCTAGTGAGCGGAGTTACAAAGAATCCAGTGGGATTTATCTGGTCAGCATGGGGTCCTGCACATAATGGAGGAGTCCACTGGCTGTTGTTTCTGCCTCCTCTTGGGCCTATCAGTCTTTGCCACCATCAGGAGAACCGTGGAGACCCTCAGGTCCCAGGCCTGCATACTAAACAGGCTTGGGTTTGGCAGGACTCATGCTGCCTTCCCCAGGCCACATTGTTTTGCTCATGTGTTTGGAATCCCCTGAAATCCTTGCTATCAAAGATGCCTGTGCCCACCTAAGAGGAGTTACCTTAAAATGAAAAGCAAACAACTTTGCTCTTATTTAGAAAGCATGAAACCAGTGCCTTAACCTTATGGTTTTATCATTCAAACTACAGAGTTGGAAAAAGTGTGTGTTTTTTTGTTGTTGTTGTTTGTTTGTTTGTTTTTAAAAAAAACTTCAAAAAGTTGGGGCTGGGTGTTGAATTGAAGTCAGGGTTGTGTCTCTCAGAAGGTTGTGACGTTTTGGGGGAAACACCCCAAATATAGAGGATAGCTTGTTTAAGAATAAAACTGAAGGAAAAACTTAGACCCATTCTTAACTATTTTTCTCACAAAATCCCCAATCGTTATTGGGTTTTTCTCAGAGATTTAAAGAAAAGCCCTCCCTTTATCTGAGCTCTGTCGTCTCATGGGGGCCTCTTGGGCATGCATTTTTCTAGACACCTTGGACACTTGGTGTGGAAACAAATGTTTGGAAATGATCTATATCTGGATGCTTTCCTCATAAATATATATGGATATATAGAAACTACTTTAAAAATAAAATTTTAGTGATTATTTCTGTGTCATATACTGCAGCCATTTTGCCGGGAGATTCTTGATAAATATTTAGGCTAAAAAAAAAAAAAAAAGAAAGAAATCAAGCCACCTCTCCCCTTGGTGGTTTCCTGCTGCAGGGGACCAGCTGTGGCAATATGGAGCCTGACTTGTATCTTTTCAGATATGTGAGTGTAATATCCAGCTGAATGCCTGGGTTTCCATCACCACACAGGAAAAAAAATCTGCTGGAATCCAAGAAGTCCAGGAGAGTCACCTTGGGTTCTGTGCCAGAAACAACCTCTCTTACCTCAAAGTTCTCCCATTTGACAGCTGGGGAAACAGAAGACCTGAGACTCCAAGTGCCTTTTCCAAAGTTATGCAACTAGTTAGTGACAAAGCTAGGACCGGAAACCTGGTCTCTTGATGCTCGGGGAAAGCTCATTACCTCAGCAGAGATGGCAGGTAGGTTTCCTATTGCATGCCATCATCACTTGATAGTAGCTCAACACTATGTGGAAGCACTGTGTTGAGAAGGATGCTGCAGCTTGATATTCACACACCCGGAAAACATGCGGTGGGCCATTAGCTTGGTCTGCCTGAGGTACAGGTGAGAGGATTCGTTGCACTTTGTGTGTGTCTCCAGCTGTTATACCATGCTGTGTTTTGATTTTTTAAGTACCATAGGTTCAAGAGTTCTTGTTGCCCTCCCCTCCTGGTGCAAGCCCAAGCTTCTTTAGGATGACCTGACAGACACACATGCACACACACATTGTAGTCCAAAAGCACCAGGAAAACCTTTCATTGTTTAGAAGAATTAGACGCCTCACACTAGGAGGTTTTGATGCGTTCCTCAACTTTGACACATTGAGGTTACATTGTCTCTCTCTTCTTACCATTTGTTCTCCTTCCAGTCACCCATTTCTCTGGTAGGCAGGCTCTTCAGGCAAGGGTCACAAAGTGCTGTACCTTCCCTCCTTGGGAAATGGGGCCCAGATCCAGGACAGGAATGAGATCCCTGGGCCTCTTCCAGGGAGGCTTCAGTTTCCGGTGTCATAGTGATCAACTCCCTGGCATCTTTTTAGATCACAATTTGGGAAGCAGTTGACATTCGGGTTTTCCTCATCAGCCAGTAGCACTTCCTGTAAGTTTTGATTGAATTGCCTAACCACACTAAGCCTCAGTTTTCCCATCTGTAAAATAGAGATAGTGATAGTTTCCACATCACAGGACTGTCATGAGGATTCAATAACACATATAAAGTACTTTGCAAGTGTCCAACAAATGTTCCCTATTATTTTTAAGTCACAGATACAAGCCCTTGAGGAAGCATCAGTTGTGTATGCTAATTTTGTGTGTGCTGTGTGTGAGCATTTCAAAGAGAGGGAGGGAGAGGAAGAGCAAACGAGCGAGCTAGTGGTCTGTGCCTAGGATACATTTCAAAACATCATGCTGTATGTGATAAATACGATTTTTATTTTTCAATTAAAAATAAATTTTTTAAAAGATGTAGTGACACGTGGAGAATTGCCATCAGGTATGCGGGTTTGTGTATTGTTTAGGCTGGTGCATTTGAAACTTTAGTGCATATGTGGATCATCTAGGGATCTTATTTAAAATGCAGATTCAGTAGATCTGGGCTCAGGGCCTGGGATTCTGCATTTCTCACAAGCTCCCAGGGGATGCCAGTTGTGTTGGTCTGTGAACCCCACTTTCAGAAGCAAGAGTTTCAGGGGCTGATGCTGTCCTTTACATTTGGAATAACCAGAAACTTCATGGCCCCACGGCCAGTTAGCTGGATCGCTGTATCCAGCAACTGATACCTACTGTAGAAAAAATACTGAAGCACAACTCTGAAGAGCCAGATCCTAGTCCTGAGAGGCAGCGAGTGAGTCATTTTCCTCCCTAGGCCTCGGCAGCTTTCTCATCTTTAAAGGAGGTGGGGAAGGTGCTCTGAGACCTTGCTGTTCCCAGAGTGGTTCTCGGCCCAGCATTATTGGGCCACCACAGATCTCCTGCACCCTAAACTGCATTTGAACAAGTTCCCCAGGAGATTCGCTTGCACATTAGCATTGGAAAAGCACTGGTCTAAGATTCCTTTCAGCTAGAAGATTCTGTGAATCTGAAAAGTTCTAATTCTAGCTCTGGTGACAGAAATCTACAAAAACAAATCACTCCAATTATAAAATGGGGATGTCTTCAGCAAGAAATAGTTCTCCAACACTCTCCTTGGTGATATACAGAGATGGCCAAACTAACGAAATTTAATCTGAACCAGCATTTGCCTGAATTTGGTTGGGAGGGGAGAGTGTTGAGGATCCTGATAGAAATTGGAAATGAGGCACTGGATACCATATTTAGATTCTGTGGCTTCTCTAGACCCAGGGAAGGTGTTATGGATAGTGTTGGGGAAGCACGTTGTCTGGAGTAATGCCCTTCACCATCACTGACACCTCTCTAGGGACCTCAGTGAATTTCAGCATGATCTCCCCATCTTTCCAGAGAAGTCCCAGACCTAGCATCAGTTCCTCCATCTTCCTTCAAAATTGGTGCACATTGACAGAATGGGGAGAAAGATAGCAGGGGTGGGGGGTGGGGCATGTGCCCATAGGTCTACATCCTAAGGTCACCTTCTGCTCTTTGAAGGGGATTGAGGCAAAGAGTGAAAAATTTGTGTTCTGTTGAATCCAAAAGGAAGAAGCAAAATTGTCCCAAGACTTCTGTTCCATGGAGGAATTTTTTTAACTATAAAAATATCATATATATATGAAAAAGAGAATGCTATAAGAAACACCACCAAGATTAAGAAATAAACTATTACAAAGAAAACTGTGATTGTAGATTTCTTCCTAATAGCATCACCTTCTTCAACCACACCCTGAAATTTGGTGTTAGTAACTCCCAGCCATGTCCTCATATTTTAATATATATTTATATATTCCTAAGCAGCATTTGGTATTATTGTGCATGTTCTAAAATTTGTAGACCTTGTTTTGTACTGTTTGTATCTTTCTGCAGCTTGTTGTTTTTGCTCAACGTTATGTATGGAGATTTATTCATATTGTTACTTGTAGCTCCCATTGATTCCTTTTTAATTGCTATATAGAGTTCATTATATGAAACTACTTCAGTTTATCTATTCTCCTATTGATAGACACTTCAGATGCTTCTAGTTTTTCTTCCTCCAAACAATGCTAGAATGAACATACATTGCTTTTGTGTGTATATGTGTGAGCTTTTCACAGAGTGTGTTGTGACCCATTCATAGATCATGAACTTGAACAAATGGGTTGCAAATAGTATTTTAGAAAATGACATAGAATCAACGGCTTTGGAAAATGTCAGAATATGTTGCACATGGTAAGAGTAGTTACTGTTTCATTAAACTTGTCTCAATGACAAAGTAAGAAAATTTACTTTGACACCCAGTTAAAATGGAAACGAGGCCAGGCGTGGTGGCTCACACCTGTAATCCCAGCACTTTGGGAGGCTGAGGCAGGTGGATTGTTTGAGGTCAGGAGTTCGAGACCAGCCTGGCCAACGTGGTGAAACCCCCGTCTCTACTAAAAATACAATAATTAGCTGGCTTGGTGGCCCATGCCTGTAATCCCAGCTACTCAGAGGCCAAGGTGGGAGAATTGCTTGAACCCAGGAGGCAGAGGTTGCAGCAAGCCGAGATTGTGCCTGTGTACTCCAGCCTAGGCAACCAAGCAAGACTCAGTCTTAAAAAAAAAAAAAAAAAAAAAAAAAAAGGAAACCAGTTTAATGATACAGTAACCAGTAACTACTTTCACCATATGGGTCACAGTCAACAAATGTGAAAGTTCCAGGGTGGGAGATACACCTAAAGATGGACTCACTGGGTTGAAGGCCATGTATGTCTTTGGCTTTGTGGGAGATTGCCAAATTGCTCTTTCAAGTGTACCAGTTCACAAGTCTGGGAGATTTTACATCACAAAGTCCAAAGAAAAGAAATGGACCTCAAGGACAGATGGAAGCCAGAGATTGAGTGAGAAGAAAATAAAGCTTAAAATTGCCACCTTGCTTGCTCTTCTTGTATGCCTCTTCACCCTAAGTAAACATTATGGGTTTTCATGACCTTGTAAATTTGCTTTTAATCTTAAAAAAGAAAAAAGTTTGGAAGTTTGGAAGGAAATTCCTTGTTTTCCTGTCTCTCTGGCCTCAGTTCAGGAAGGGGCGAACTGGAAGGAGGTCAGAAATAAGCAACCCCTTTCCTTTTTGGAATCCATTAATAACAAGTTTGAGGTGAGCTGTGGCTAACCTTTGCTCTCTAGCTGCCGTTTGCAGTTTTTCAAAGTTAGACAAAGATTTCTCTGGATCAGAGTCAATGGTGCCATTGTTGCTGTTTGTTTTAAAATTAAGCAGGGATTTGGGGAGCCCAAGGAGCTATCCTCCCATAGGTCATCTCTCTGGGGGACTGGGTCAGTTTCTGTTCTGGTTCCAAACCCTCCCAGGAAGGCCAGGCTCTCAGTGACTGCCCCTCACCCACCACTCCCAGCTGTGAACTGTGTTCTGTCTGACTTATACCCTATTTTCCTGGAAATGTGTATTCTTTTCCACTCTGCATTGCACAAGTAAGACCTAGTGATATAAAGATGGCAGACGTTGGGGAAGAGGGAGCTCCCGAGTCCTCAGCCTGGCCCCTCCTCCGTGCTGGTCCTGGTGCTCTGCACCTACCATCCGTAATCTCAATTCATCCTCGCAATACCCTTTTCTATAGATGAGAAGACTGAGGCTCAGAGAGGTTGGATGACTTCCCCAGGTCAGTCATCCAGTAAGATGTAACTCCTAATCTTTATAGAGTACTTTCTACATGCCAGGCATTATTCTAAGCACCTTACACGATTCTCTTTAAATCCTCATCTCATTCCAATAAGAGTAGGTGTCATTATTATCTCAATTATATAGATGAAACTGAGATACTGAGAGGGTGAGAATGTTACTGAATTGTGGCTTGAGTAGTCATCTAATATTTTGGCGCTTGACACTTTCTATTTTCTGAATGTCAGTAATTAGTGACTTGGTTTTCCTGCCCTGTACTGTATCATGGGTAATGCCCCTTCCCACCTTCCCATCTCCCTCCTTTCCTCCTTCCAGTTTTTCCTTCCTTCCTTCCTTCCTTCGTTCCTTCCTTCCAGCATTTACCAATAGGCAAGGGAGGTGTTCTCTGTCCCATGGGAACCTGAGACAAGCATGAACAGCACAGGGGAAGAAGTGTGGTCACAATGACAGTGACCATATGTAGTTAAGGGCCAAAATGAGTGAATGGCGCAGAGATCAGAAAAGGAGGAGCTGGGTGAGCCTTGCAGGAAGTCTTATGGATTTCACCAGTGAATTTCTACTCACTTAAGCCAGTGGTTCTTAAACTTGAATGAGCGTCGGAATCACCTGGAGGACTTGTTTAAACAAGATGTTTGGGCTCACCACCCCTGTCCCCAAGTTTCTGATTTAGTAGGTCTGGAGGGAGGCCTGAGAATTTGCATTAGTAATAAGCTTCTGCTGCTGCTATTTCAGGAACAACACTTGGAAAATCACTGACATAAACAATAAGTAAGATTTTGTAAGTGGCAAGATAAAGGAAATGAGTGTGATCTGTGTATTAGTCAGGATAGGTTAACTGTCATAACAAATAAATGCTAAAGTCTTTGTGGTGTAGCACAGTAATATTTGATCTCTTGCTCATGTTACAGTCCAGTGTGGGTTGATAGAAGAGTGCTCTGCTCCATGCAGTCATTCTAAGGACCAAACTCCTTCTACCATTGACTCTGCCACACCCCAGTGCCAAAGAGCCCTGAATTGAGCCAGCAGATGACAGAGGAAAATATGGCAGATTTGGCAGGTTTTTATGGGTCAGACCTAAAGGAGAAACACATCACTTCTGCCCACTTGCCGTTGGCTGGAACTCAGTTACACACCTCTACTTAACTGCAAGAAAGTCTGGGAAATGTGTCCCAGCCACGAGGTTCCACATGGAACTTGGTTTGACTAGAGAGGAGCATTCAACATTCACGTTGAGAGAATAAATGGATGTTTCATGTTCTTCCAAGGAAATTTGCATCAGACAATTCGGGTCATTATTTAGCATAATTATAGCATAGATTAGAGTAGGGGGCAAATCACCAGATTTAGGCCCAGATGCTCTTTATTCGAAAGCAAAATAGCTGACTGTAAAGTTACATAACTTCTCAGTACCTGTTTATTTATTTCTCTATAAAAACTGGGATAAGATATATGTGAAAATCACTAGCCTGGTGCTAAGCACATAAAAACAGAGTAGTTATTCCCGTGTTTTCTGCATTCAGATGGACAGACAGTGACAAGCTATTGTGGCCCTGAGAGCCCCTTCATGTGGACAGCTGTGGGATTCACAGTTTAAAGGACATGGGCACAACCTGATCTCAGCAGTTGCATGGCTATTCTAAAGACTGCTACACTGATGTCTCAGATGTACCATAGGAAATCAGGCCATGCCAGCAAGGCCCAAGGGAACGCATAGGCCTCAGACCACAGGATTCATTAAGTACTTGGTTTCTGGAGTCATACTCCCTAGAATCAACACTATTACCCAGCTAGATGACTTTGGCCTTTGGACCTCAGTTTTCTCATGTGTAAGAAAACATGAATCATATTACTATGTTATAGAGTTGTTGTGACAACAGAATGAGAAAAAGCCAGCGACTATATACTGAGAAATATTTTCGTAAATTTCCTAGCCTCCTGTGGTATTCTACCATGTCTTTCTCTTGGCATGGTTAGCTGAGGCCAATATAGATAGAGGTTCTTTGAGCGTGTAAACATGCTATTCTCTGTTTGGTCTTAGGACGGCCACCTGGTGCTTTCCAGAGCCCTGTCCTCTCCCCATAGCTTGACTGTCCATGAATGATTCTGGGTCCCCTGAGCTGTCCATGGACATGAAAGCAGTCTGAGGGAGGAGGTGGTGAGGAATACTCTGAGCTCTTTCTTAAGGCTGCACCTACATGCTTGATTAGTGGCCCACCACTGAGTGAGCCCAGCAGTGGAGATGAGTCTCCTGGGCTCCTTGATGGCAGTAGCAATACCGCTAAGGTTCCCCACCTCCCCATTGCAAATTTCCTTCATTCCATCTTGTAATTTGCTCCCTTGAGGTCTGGGCCCTTTAAAAGCCTTTCCCTCTGCCTTGTTCAAATGGTGCAATTGTGGGTGATTGAAACCACATTTTTATACGTGTCGAAATCAGTTCAGCCCTTAGAAAGAAATCTTAATATAAATTGGATCATATATCCTAAGTGGATGCCACCAGCTAATTCGTTTGTTAGACATTTCAGCTACATGGGATTAAGTGAGTGTTTACTCTTAAGCAGTTACATGTGGGCTTCATTAATACACACACTCTGGCATGGCTTGTGCCTAATATCTTGTCAAATAAGGGAGTGTATAGAAGTAAGGGAGCCCTTACTTCCCCAGTGGAATCAGCCTCTCTTAGCTACCAGGGTGGGACTGAGGGAGGTGACTGGCTCTCTCTGACTTGGTGTTCCAGAAACTTGGTGTCTTGCACTTCCATTAGCTTCTCTGTAAAGCAGAGGAGGGCAAAATGAGAGCCCACACATATGCATTAGTACAAAGGGGACATGGATCTGGAAACTCATTGTGTGCAAGCAGGCACAAGGGGCTAGAAAAATATCTATTTTGGAAAATGTTTCTGCCCCTAATTGAAATTAGGCTTCCTGCAGCTCCTGACAGGCTGTGGTCCATACCCTTACTAGGCCAGGTTGGGTCAGGGACCAACAGCACCACATTCTTGAGTCCCACCCTAGACCAACTGAAACAGAATCTAATTTTAATGTCCAGTGTATGTGCATTAAAGTTTAAGAAGTGCTTCTCTAAGCCATTTATTCTCAAACTTAGCTGCACGTTGGATATAACTGGAGGGTTTATTAAAATGCTGGTGCCTGAGTCCCATTCCAGACATTCAGAAGTAATTGGTATAGACTGTGCCTGAGCATCACATTGGGATGTCTAAAAGCTCCTTAGGTGATTCTAATATACAGCCAAAGTTGGGGAGCACTACTGTCACTGGCTGTGCCTCAAGTTTCCCCCCATATTTTAGTGCATTGCAATGCCTGGTTTGTAGTTGGCTGGGAGGATTTGGGGAGGCAACCCTGGGAATTTACCCAGCACACCACAGGCACCCAGAGGCCTCTCTTCCTTCCTGCCTTCACCACATTTCCTTCTGTCCTTCCTGACTTCCCATTTGTCTACTTCCTGAAGAGTTTCTTTGGCCCAATATGTGAGAGTGTTGGGAAATGGTGCTGAGAAGGGTTCTGGAAGTCTTATGCATTTTTTTTTTTCCATCCAGAACTGTCTTGTTGGCTTTGTGTTTTTGCAATGTTGTAGCAAGAGCATCATTTACTTATGATGGCTTTTATTTCACCCCCAGTTTATACTATTTTTTTTGGTACTACCAGCCAGTGAGCACTGAAATGTGGGGGAAAATGAGTTTGGAAATGCTTCCTTCCTGGTGCGTGTGCTGGGATGCAGACTTGTATCTGAAATTTTGGATATGTGCTATCGGCTGGTTGTGGTGTAGATCAGAGCCCCAAAGGGCACATCGAGCATTTCATTTGGCCACCAGATTGTCTTTTACAACAGAGGAGGTAAGGTATTTTAAACAGGATCTGTGTTAGGCTGGGAAGCCCACACAAGATGGGAAAGACTCATTTCTCCTAGGTCCTTCCCCCTAAGTACAACTAGAAACCCTGGAAATAAAGCAAAAAAATAAATAATGCTAATAGTATCTACTTGCCCCAAGGGTAAATGCTGCCCTAACTTCTGACATCATAGTGTTATCTTGCCTCTTTTTGTGTTTTAGGTAAATGGAATCATTTAGTTTGTGCTAAATGATTTTTTGTGTGTCTGGCTTTTTCCATTCAGTGTTATGTTTTTGAGATTCACCCATGTTGTTGTGTGTAGCTGCAGATTGTTCTAGGGAAGAATTTTGACCAAACATTGATCTTGGACTCTTGGCAGAGTTAAGACTTGAGTAAAACTGAATCTTGTGGCAGTTTTTACTTTTTCTCTTAGTATAGAAGCATAAAACCTATTAAATGAACAGAATTTTAAAAATAAAGATCATTGTTCTTTAACAAACAATTGCTGTCTTTGCATTTTCTCTTTCCTCCAAAATCGCTGAGGTCTCGACTTACTCACTGCTAAAAAAAAAAAAGGGGGGGGGGACTCTGTATATTTTTAAATGAAGAGTGCTGTTTTTACCTAAATCAATCTGGCCTGGTATATGACAACATTTAAAAAAAAAAAAAAAACAACAACTCAAAGATAGAGCCTAAAAACTTGCCGACCAAGCAAGTAATTACGCTGAACCCCCTTGGGCCCCCTTGGATACTCTCTAATTAGATGTCCTGGGTCCTCCCAATTCTTAGTCTTTTAATATCTGTTTTTCCTCTTCTCATATTTGGACCTTATGTCTTCCGTTTAGTTTCTCAATTCATCCAAAACCGTATCCAGGCCATCATCAATGATTCTATATGACAAATGCTCCTTCTAACAACCCCACGATATCACCCCTTACCACAAAATCTTCCTTCAGCTTAATCTCTCCCACTCTAGGTTCCCACGCCGCCCCAATCCTGCTCAAAGCAGCCCTGAGAAACATCGCCCATTATCTCTCCATACCACCCCCCAAAATTTTTGCTGCCCCAACACTTCAACACTATTTTGTTTTATTTTTCTTATTAATATAAGAAGACAGGAATGTCAGGCCTCTGAGCCCAAGCTCAGCCATCATATCCCCTGTGACCCGCACGTATACATCCAGATGGCCTGAAGTAACTGAAGAATCACAACAGAAGTGAAAATGGTTTGTTCCTGCCTTAACTGATGACATTACCTTGTGAAATTCCTTCTCCTGGCTCATCCTGGCTCAAAAGCTCCCCTACTGAGCACCTTGTGACCCCCGCCCCTGCCCGCCAGTGAACAACCCCCTTTGACTAATTTTCCTTTACCTATCCAAATCCTATAAAATGGCCCCACCCCTATCTCCTTTCGCTAACTCTCTTTTCAGACTCAGCCCACCTGCACCCAGGTGAAATAAACAGCCTTTTTGCCCAAAAAAAAAAAAAAATCAATAAAATAAAACTAATAACAATAATCTCCAACTCTGTCACCCAGAGAAAATCACTGTTAATATTTTGGTGTATATCCTTCGGGTTTTGTTCTGTACATGTTTTAATAAAAGTGGCTTATAGTCTACATATTGCTTTGTAAATTGATTTTTTTCACTTATTAGAGCAAGAATATATTTCTGTGTCACCAAATATTCTTTTACAACATCCCCTTTAATTATTGCAGAGTTTCTTTTTTGGATAACAAAATTAGGCTTAATATATCTTAAACTTCTTTTTTTTGCATGAACTTTATGAGTTGCTTCAGCTTTCACTGTCATAAAAATGCAATCAGTAAGTAACATTGCCAACTCTTTAATTTTGGCCTAAATGGCGCATTTGACTGCACCTGGCTTGTGGGTGCCAATTGGTGTTTGCTGGGTGGTGAGAAGCTGGGTAAGATAGTTGTCAAGATAGGTCTCCATGTGTTTCTGAAATGAAGGCCAATATTAATTGTCTACTGTCTTGATTTCTGCTTATTTTCAGAAAGCCAGGAGCTAAGGGGTGATGTTTCACTGACTTACCTTTAGGGTAGGGATTATGAATTTTCTCTTTCCCATCTGCCCCAAAATCAAATTGTGTCTGCTAGGCATTAGGATCACAAGATTCTAACTCTGAAAGCACTTCTTTTTAATTTTACGAAATAATTCAATTCTGTTAACTAGCACCTGTGAGCGTTGGTTGATTTTTTTTTTCCCCCCTCTTTTTACCACAAGAAATTAAGTGGGAATTAGATATCTAATTATTATGCAGTTTTCTAACTGAGGGCGAAAGGGACAGGTGGACATTGTAGTTTTTATTAGTGATGCTATTGGAGTGTTTATAAAACACAGAACTGTTTTGGAAAACTTCAAAGTATTTTAAGCCAATAAGCTCACTAATGATGAGGAAAAGGAAATAAAATTTCATTGTTTTTATATACATGCAATGGCCAAAGTCCAAGTAATTTTGGCTAATATCAACATTTGCTGGCTAGCACTTTGAAAACAAATAGACACAGTATTAGCAAGATTTTGAGTCAACAATAAAAATTTGGACTTTGGCCACACACACACACACACGCACACACACACGCACACACACACACACACACACACACACACACACAGAGGATTTTCTGGTTCTTTCTTCTTTAATTGTAAAACAAGAAGAAATAACTAGATCTGAAATTCTTTTGAGATCTAAAGAAGTATAACTATTTTTGCTTAGAAAGACCTTTCCTTATTTCATACGATATGTTACTGGCCATCCTGGGATTTCAGAGTCTTTTAGCTCCATCGCTGTTCCATTCCCAAGTCCCCTCCTTGTTGAACTGATCTGTAAGATTGGGTTTTGAGTTGCTTCCTTCTGACCCTTTTATGTATAGCAGTATATTTTCATCCCATGGTAACCTCCTGGGTGAAATGTTGGAGACAGATATATTACAGGATATTTGTAATTATACTAGAAGATGTTTTAGTGGGAAAGTTCCTTACTTATGATCACAGCATCTCTGAAAACTTTCACTGCTGTCTAGAAAAAAAATCTTTAGAGTTGTCAAATATATTCCCTTTAGAGCCAAGGACATCTTGATACTACCTAATGCCACTTCCCTATTTCTCTCTAGCTTGGAGATCTGGGACATTTCATAGATGTCATGGAATTCTAAAAGTCAACAGAATTTGTAAGATGATACTCTGGGATGATTTGATTTTGTACCTAGTATTTGCTCTAATGAGAATTCGAGTAATCCAACTGCCTTTCTCCTTTCATGAATGCCCACTGTGGCTGGGGGCCCATGAATCAGGTCTCCCATCAGGAATTATGGCCATTTGGTGACTTCCAGCTCACATAGTGCCATCTCAGAATGAGTGAACCCGGTGTGCACTCAGGGAGGGAGACATTTGAGTTCTCCAGACCTACTTAAGGCAAATATGTTCCTTATGAATGAGGTTCCTCTCCTTGTTTTACACTTCCTTTACTTTGATCTCTTGCCTCTGGTTTTTAATGAGCAGGAGCTTTGTAGGAAGGTGAGGAGAATTTTTGTCATCTATAGCCTGAGCAGAGGGGAGTTGAAGGTGAATATGTGTGGGCATATACACACACATGTATGTAAGTATATGTGCATATATATGTGTGCATCTGTGAGCATGTGGTTGTATGTGCACACTGCACGTTTGCTGGTCTAGGCATTAAGGGTATTGTCTAGATGATAATAATAATAATATCTAATCTTTATGAAGTACCATGTTTCAGGCAGTGCTCTAAGCATTTAATGCCTACAATATCTATGGCAGCAGGTACTGTCGTTGTCTCCATTTTTCAGATGAGGAAACTGAGGCACAGAGGTATGAAGAAATTTACCTGAGGTCACACAGCTAGAAAATGAGAAAGCTAGGCTTCAGACCCAGGTTGGCTGTTTCCAGCTCCTAACTTGCCCACTCAACTGAAAGGGAAGTCCCTATGGGACGCAAGACCTCCCCCATCTTGCTCCAGATAAAGCTGAATCTTGTTATAATTCAGCTCATTGCCCCATGGCAGTGGGTCTGATGTCCTACAGAGCAGAACTAGAAGTGGATTTTGGATACCTGAGAACCTAGAGCTGTAGTGTTCGTGCATTAGGGTCAGAAGACCTGAGTGTAGCATGTTGATGTGTTTGGGGACCTGTCATCCTATCTAAGGCTGCATTTCTGATAGGAAAGAGAAAGGTGGCATATCAGTTACGTGAAGTTCAAAACCAAGCAAAGTCCTCCTCTGAGATACAGGTCAGAAGAGTGATTATCTTGGGAGAGGCCTGAAGAAGTTTGCTGGAGCACTGGGAATATTCCATATTTGGACCTGAATGACCTTAACATGGCTGTGTACTTAAGTTTTATGCACTTTACTGTATGTAAGTGATATCTCAATTAAAAAGTACATAAAAATGGAGGCATTTAAATTGACTTGTGCCACTATTGTAGAAGCAGTGTGAGGGATGCCAGGGGAGAGGAATAGATATATTTGATGCAGATTTAAAGGAAAAATCAGTCAGGTGTTTAGAGATGTAGATAGCTCTTAATCTGTAAGAACCAGAAGTGATTTCCAGGAAGACATAATTGCTTATATCCGGAAGACAATAATTTTATTGCTCTTAATTTCATCTTTATTTTTTTTATTTGTATTTTGGCTTCTAATCCCCCTGAGCATTTGTGTGTTTGCCCTGCCTTCATTTGATTCTGGCTCTGCCTTTTAAAACAGTTGCTGCTGCCACCTCTCCCAAGTTCTGAAAGATTTACAAATGTTTGAACAGAGAAACAAAGACAGAAAATGGGAGACATGCTCTGGTTTGCTGCAAATGGCTTTTCCTGCCAAGCTGCGGGGAATGGTATTTGGGCCAGCTTTGCCTTCCTAATTGGAACCATAGCTCCTTGGATTGCCTTCAGATTGAAAACTTGAGGGTCTGCCACTCTGCAAGGACCATTTCATGCTGGGACACTACGTACCAGGATTCTCACTTTCATTGGCCTTTAAGAGAGAACAGCAGAGTTCCCTAATCAGTTTGGCTAACACTTGAAAGGGGAGTAGCAAACTTCTAATTTTTTGTAGGTTTTATACTTCTCTGCTACTCTCTTCATGCCCCTCTCCCCCAGAGCTGTAATAATAATACCAGCTAACGTTTATTGATAGCTTACTCTGTGCCTGATGTCACTCTAAGCATTTTGCATGTGTTAATTCATTTAATCCTCACCAACTCTGGAAGCTGGTATTGCTGTTGCTCAATATAGATGAAGAAATTAGGCACAGAGAGATGAAGTCAGTGGTCCAAGATCACACAGCTGGTTAAGTGACAGAGCCAGCATTTGAACACAGTCTCGTTCCAGAGTCTGAGCTCTTATTCACTGTCTAAATAAAATTGATTCCCTGGGCCGGGCGTGGTGGCTCACGCCTGTAATAATAGCACTTTGGGAGGCCGAGGCAGGTGGATCACCTGAGGTCAGGAGTTCGAGACGAGCCTGGCCAACATGGCAAAACCCTGTCTCTACTAAAAATACAAAAATAAGCTGGGCATGGTGGCGCATGCTTGTAATCTCAGGTACTTGGGAGGCTGAGGCAGGAGAATCGCTTGAACCTGGGAGGCAGAGGTTGCAGTGAGCCAGGATCATGCCACTGCACTCCAGCCTGGGCAACAAGAGAGAAACTCCGTCTAAAAAACAAAACAAGAAAAAAAACTTGATTTCCTGGTGAGGTGATCTCCACAGCTGTCTTTATACAAGCTAGACCCGCCCCATTCAGCCGCTAGCAAAAGATGGCTATTAAGTACTTGAAATGGGGCTAGTTGGGAGTGAGATGTGATGTGCTGTATGTGTAAAATACGCATTTGGTTTCAAATAGTACAACAAAAAGAATGTACAATATTTCTTAATAAGTTTTTATATTGATTACATGTTGAAAAATATTTTGGATATATTAGGTTAAATGTAATAAATTATTAATTTTACCTGTTTCTTTTTAGTTTTCTTAATGTGGCTACTAGAAAAGCTAACATTACATGTGCGACTCATATTGTATTTCTGTTTGTTTCTAGTGCTGAGCTAGACCTTCCTTCCAATCTGCTCCAAATACAGTAAAATTTTGTTCTAGCATAGTCATGGGTAAAATGGACTTGGGAGTAACATACCACATATTAAATTCCTATTTTCCACCACCATCACCTTGCTGACCATTTACAATTTGACAGTTTTTTATATATGAGGGAAAAAATCCAAACCTTTAATGAATGCGTGTCATGCACCAATTATAGTACCACGTCCTTTCACATAATTAATTGCATTTAATCTTTGTGACTTTTCTATTAGGTCCGTATCATCAGCTCCATTTTACAAACAGGGAAATTGAGGTTTAGTTTAGCAACTTGTCTAGATTTCTATTACTAATAAGGGGGAAGAGCAAGGTTTAGATATAGGTCAGCTGACTCCAGTTCTAATAGCAATTCTCCCCCCAAATGGTCTATCTCTTATAGTATGTATCTCATTCTGCATTGTGTTTGAGATAGTTCTGCATGCTTTACCCTCTTATATTTGTTAAATCCTTATGAAAAGGTAGTGTAACCTATAGGAGATCACAGTCAATATTCAGTGAACCGAATTGCTTTAACATATGTTGTATGAAAGACCTAATTCTAATATTCTCCTATGGAGTTTGGTATTTGCCCCATTATTTTCCTCTTAATTGCTGTGGCTAGATTACTAAACCCGCATCCTTAAATTGCTATTTTATGTCTCTATGGCTTCCTGAGTCTTTGGAGCCCTGTTGATTTATGTAATTCTTTGATTTAATAAATATTTATTAAGTATATACTATGGGACATTTACTGTGCCAAGCCATGGGAATCCATAGGAGACCAACAATTCCTGAAGGGTCCTTGCCCTCAAGGAACTTACGGTTAATTGGGAGGTAGATACATGTAAATAGGCAATTGTGATGAACATGGTTCCTGCCTTGATAGCAGTAGGTGAAAGGGTTTCGGGGGCACATTGTTGAAGCACCTCACCCAATCTAGAGGATATATGAAGGCTTCTCAAAAGAGGGGAAGGAAATGCAAAGTTTCGTTTCCAGTTTAGTGAAAATAAAAATATGATTTTTTTCTCTAACGCCCTGAATTTTATTCATGAAATTTTGCTATGTAGATAGGAAGTGGAGGCTTTACAGAGACAGGAACTAAAGGATAATCTAAATCTGGGGCCTCCCCGGTGACCCTGCAGTGGGGCCTATGGTCTCCAGTGCAGTACTCCACCATTCCCTGGGCTCAGTATCTTTCTGTGTTTTTTTTTTTTGTTTTTGTTTTTGTTTTTGTTTTTCCCTGTAATTACCCTGAGTCAAATTCTGGGCTTTCCTCTGTACTTTCTTTCAGCTTTGACTTCCAACTGTAATTGCATTTTTGCAGTGTGTCTCAGTTCACATTCTCCAGGAGAGCATGAGAGAGAGAGGCTGTCTGATCTAGATCATTTTAAAAATTATTATTTTCAAGCCACATCATTGGCTGCTTACCAGGCAATAGTTAGGTTGCCCTTGAATCTGGTGCTCACCCTTGGTCCAATCAACTATAGCATGAGAAGGGTCAGGAACAGTTGGCAGAAAAGAAAAAAGCTGCCAAAGTCACTCTTCTATGTGCATGTCTTTTCTGAGCTGTGGTAGGTTGGGCAGTTTATCCAGGGATGTGGCATGGCAGGCCACTGACCTGGAAAGTTCTTTTAATACCTAGAGAAACAATATAATGGATGACAAGTGAGCAAGTTGGAAAAATCCACAAGCCTGTCTCTTTAATTGTACCAGGGGCGGTCCCTGGATCCCTTGCTTTGAGATTATTTAGCTGTAGTTAAACCAGGCTTGTAGTGCCATGTCCCAGAACATAATCTTTTCTTCATTGTCAGGGGCTCAGAATGTTATTTCAATATTTAGAAATTTCCCTCCCCCCACCACCAAAAATTGGCTGTTGACATACAGTCTCATTGATATAGGTAGCTCACTGAGTTCCTTTTGAGCAGTCTATCCATGTGGCTTGTCTCTAGGACCAGGGGACAAAGGTTGATCCTAACCTGAAATCCACACCCCCCACCCAAAGGACCTGTGCATAGAAGGCATGGGGTTCAGGAAAAAATGACATCTTTAGTTTCACTAATTTTGAACTGGAATTTAGCATTTCCTTCCATTACAAATAAAGACAAAAATCACAGTAGTGTTAGCTGTACCTGTAACTTGGTCACTAGCAGAAATCATAGACATTTCTGTATCATGTTGTGGTTCCTATAGAGATCTCATTATTACCTCAAAATTATGATGGTATAAGACTCACTACTAGATCTTGTTATTCAATGCATTGATAAACAAGCGCACATTTTACTGTATGACAAATTTGCTGTTTAGTATTTGGATAACTTTATTTTGATACAATTGATTTGCTTTATAATCCCATGTAGTTTACCTTATACATTTAAAATAACTGTTCTGACAAGGGGTCCATTGGCTTCACCAGCTTTCCAAAGGGGCCAACACACAGCAAAGGTTTGGAACCCCTGCTCAAGGATGTAATCCTTTGATGAACAAACTCATCATGGAGGTCACTGCTCACTCTAGGAGTTCCTACTGATATGTATCAGTCTGAGAGAGGGAAATCCTGAAGCTGAAATCTTACAGTGATCCTGGGGAGGATGATTCAGGTGATTTGTAGTCAAGAGACAAAGCTATGCAAGTAGAACAGTAACTTAAAGAAGATGGCAGCAGGGGGCCTTTAATTAAAGCCATCCTGATGCACCCACACCCATGGTATGTCTATGTCTATGAGTGTGCTCCACAGAGTGCATATCTTCTTGTCTGATTGTTAATCAGCCCCACATGTTTGTATTGTTATTGAATGATATGAGTCCTTAAGTTGATGCTTCCCTTTCCTGGATTAGAAGGAAGTAGAGCAGGCAAATTTTGTATAGGAGCCCAACTCTGAGTCTTTGGAGCCCTGTTGATTTATAGGCTATTTGATAGCATTGAAGCTCATTGGTTAACCAGTCCTTTCCCACTAGAAAGCCAAGTAAAGGAAGATGCTGGGTAGATGGGATGAAGGAATAAACTCAGGGCAGAAGAGACCACAGAAAACATGGGCTACAGCAAGTCAAGAACTCCTCATGGACACCATCTGGTCAGTGGTCCTAGTCACTGGCAATCCCAGGTGGACATTCACATAGGCTACTTCTGAGGTTCTCCCGGTACCTGACTCAGAGCTACTGACTCCCTTTCTATTCTAGTCACAAGCAATCCATTCGCTCATTCTGCTAGTGGAGATTTACAAGCTCAGTTCAGCAGCTGAATGTTGGCTAGAAGGCCACTTGGTGAAAAGAACTCAAGTTTGGAATAAGGAAACCGAAGTTCTAACTTTTACTGTTCTAGTGACAGCTCTGTGATCTTGCGGGAGTCATATTGTCTCTGTCCACTTCAGTTTATTCATCTGTTAAATGAGTTCAGTATTAAGTTGCCTTCTAGAATTCCTGTGAGCATCAAAGGGTATGAAAACACTTGAAGAAGAACAAAATTTTATGAGTGCACAAGGGAATATCGTAAGGCATCTACGGACTCCATCATAAGAGCTTCATGTCAATTTCTTCTTGCTGTCTTTCCATTTGGTGTTCATTGAAGAGAAGGGCCTGAGGGACTGAGTTTGTTTCTGTGCCTAGAATACCGCTAATGGTCATCTGTCAAATTGCAATAAGAGAGTTTAATTTTATGTTCAATCAGAGCAGGGTTCCTGTTGGTTTCTACCTCTTAGAGGTTGAGCTCCAAGCTTAAGCATGAGGAATATGTGCAGATTTCCTTCTTTACATGGGTTTAATATGGCTATCCCAGAGGGTGCCAGAGGGGAGAGAGGGTTATAGGTAATAGTGAAAAGTAAAGTGGAATTGCCCTTTAATTTCCCCTCTACTACTTTTGTCAGGGGCTGGCATCCCCAGCAACTGTGAGCTGGAATCCCAGGGCTTTGGAAGGATCAAATGTAGTTTCTCATACAAAAAAATACTAGAAATGTTGGTGTTGGAAGAAGAGTTTCACAAGACTAATAGCTACCCCTGGTTACCTCCCAATAGCTAAGACAGCTCCTCTTCCTCCTTCTCCTCCTCCTCATCATCATGGTCATTAACATCACCACCACCATTTACTATCACCAACATCATCACCATTATCATGATAACATATTCCATAGCTCATTCCTATGCCAGAGAACTGTGCCAGGTGTTATGTACATAGTCTCATTTAGCTCCAACAACCATACTCAATTGAACATAGGCAACTGAGGCTTAGAGAAGCCAAGTGGCTTGACTAAGGACACAGCTGGTCAAGTGGTAGAACTGGAAATTGAGCAGGTCTGCTTGAACCCAAAGCGCATGCCCTCAACTAGCATACTACATATAGTCTCTTTGGCACTTGATAAACCTGTGACGAACACACGAGCAAATGGATAAAAGAATAAATACCAGAGGATGGAAAAAAAGGACTAGGGTTCACGGTAGTGGATTTACTGGAGTGTCATTTGTTCTATCATTGTCTCCTCACTTTCCATCCCAAATATTATTAAACCCTGTTGTCCTGTTCTTGTAAATCTCAACTCAGAGTTGAGCTGCTTTTGCTTGATGTGGCAGTTGAACCCCTCCCTAAATGCCACCATGTTGCTACTACAGGGCTCTTGAACCATGGACTGCAAGGTGGTGTGTAATTTGTAGCTAAGGCAGGCAAAATGGAGTTCTTCACAAAATTTCCTGGAGATATTTGCAGGCAAGCAGCCCCTTCCTGAGAGGAAGGAATTTAGAATTTACAAAGGGGCTGTGAGGTGCATTTTATTACCTGTCACCTCAGCCTGCCAGATACCAGAAGAGACGCTGTGTCTTTTTGAAGCAGCCAAGCTCATTTGTAGAAAAACGAATATAATATGTTTTTTTGCCCATGAAGAACTCATGTATGGAGATCTATGCATACAGACATAAATGTGTATACCTCTACACATCTTGGTTTGTATAAAATCTAGGCTTCTGGCCCCTGGGAGATCTTATGCCAAATTATAAAATGAAGTCCATTTGTTCATCTAGAAGAGTCTGGGTTATTGGTTTATAAAAATTTGCCCATTGTGAGGCCTCCGAGCCAGTTTAGGTAAACAGAGATGGCAAATAATTATCTGCAGATCTGAGATTTCAAACAGGACAAGGGAGAGAGGAAAGAGAGTTGAGCTGCTATTTTTTAATCCAACCTTCCTCAAGTTCCATGTTGGGGATCAATAAACTATAAAAACAAGAAGAAAAAGCTGCAGAGAAGAGAACCAGTTGCAGCTGGCAGAAGAAACCTGCTATTGAAACTGGTAATGCCATTTTAATTAGGCTAAAACATGAATGAGCGCCGCGTTAAGACCTTCTCCTTGGTGCCCTGGGTCGCTGGGAGAGAGAATGCACTCCCTTTGTGTGCTTTGCCAAAGCCCACCAGCTGCTACCTTGCAGGAGAGTTACATCTGAGTCACTGGTTTCCAAAAGGGCGACAAGTAGGCTATGTGTGGCTGAATGAGAGGGGCCTGTCTTTTCTTGATCCTGCCAGCTTGGGCCTGGACTCAAGCCATCACAGCAATGGCTCTGATTTGTAAATGGGTTGGATGTTTCAAGAAGCTGCTACAAGAGCGGATTGGGAGAGGATGGGAAAACCAAATAGGGTGAAGAAAGAAAGCTGTAGGACTCGGCTGGGATTTTTGAGGCCCAGAAGGCTGTTTTGTTTATCTCAAACTCCATAAGCTGAGATGTATCTTGCCCTTGAGGGGGTCAGCTTTTAATGATAATGATGATGAAGATAGTGTTGATAATAATAATGCAAACAAAAATTAACAGTGAACATTTAACAACCCCTTTCTGTGTATCAAGTGCTGTTTTAAGTTTATTATGTCAATGAGCTCAGTCTTGATTCTAGCCTTGTGATGGCAGTTATCCTATTATTTCCATTTTAGAGATGAGGAAACAGAAGAACAGAGAGGTCGTCTTAGTCCATTTGTGTTTCTATAAAGGATAACCTGAGGGTGGGTAATTTATAAAGAGAAGAGGTTTATTTGACTCACAGTCCTGTAGGCTGTGCAGGAAGCATAGCACCAGCATTTGCTTCTGGTGAGCACCTCGGTAAGCTTCTACTCGTAGTGGAAGGTGAAGGGAGTCACCTGGCATCACATATCAAGAGAGGAAGAAAGAGAGGGGGTGGAGGGAGGGGCCAGGCTCTTTTTAGCCATCAGTTCCTATGGGAACTAATAGAGTAAGAACTCACTCCTGGGCACCAAAGCATGCATGAGGGATCCACTCTCACAACCCAAACATCTCCCACCGGGCCCCACCTCCAACATTGGAGATTAAATTTCAACATGAGCTTTGGAGGAAACAAATATCCAAACCATAGCAGAGGTTAAGTAACTTACCCCAAAATCCATAGCCAGCAGACCAGGATTTAGAGCTGGAGACTGCGATATTCAAGGCAGATCTCAGAAAAGGACCCAGTGGGCTTAAGATTTAAAGTATGGAGAGCATCATATACAGTGAAGCCTCAGACTCTCAGCTTTATGAGGGTAGAAACCATGTATATTATGTTCATTGTGGGATCCAGCACAGAATGTATTCCAGGCCTGACACAGTCCTTGTGCTCTTTCAGTGCTTGTTGACTCATTGATTTTTGATAAGGCAGAGAAATGCACAACCAAGACATGAAACTTTGGTACATAAATTTAATGAACAAATGCCTATATTTATATTTGTTCTTTTATTTAATAAATATTCTATTGAGCCTCTACTATGTGCCAGGTGTTAGAAGTAGAAAAATGAATACAATGTGGTTTTTTTGCCCATGAAGAACTCATGTATGGAGATATATGCATACAGCCCAACCTTTTCTCTCAATTTCTCTCACTTGCTGTCTGGGTCTCTCCTAAGGCTCATCATGTGTTACCTGGTGTTAAAGTTTTGTTTTTCATGTGTTTGTGTGTGCATGCATTCTTTTTCTTTGTTTGTTTGTTTGTTTGTTTCTTGACAGTGTCTTGCTCTGTGTCCCAGGCTGGAGTGCAGTGGCGAGATCTCGGCTCACTGCAGCCTCCGCCCCCTGGGGTTCAAGTGATTCTCATGCCTCAGCCTGCTGAGTAGCTGAGACCACAGGCGCACACTACCACACCTGGCTAATTTTTTTATTTTTAGTAGAGATGGGATTTCACCATGTTGGCTAGGCTGGTCTTGAACTCCTGACCTCAAGTCATCTACCTGCCTCGGCCTCCCAAAGTGCTGGGATTACAGGCGCGAGAGGGAGTCTCACTCTGTTGCCCAGTTTGGAGAGCAGTGGCTTGATATCGGCTCACTGCAACTTCTGCCTCCCGGGTTCAAGCAATTCTCCTGCCTCAGCTTCCCGAGTAGCTGGGATTACAGGTGCCTGCCACCATGCCCAGCTTATTTTTATATTTTTATTAGAGTTGGGGTTTCGCCATGTTAGCCAGGCTGGTCTCGAACTCCTGACCTCAGGTGATCTGCCTGCCCTGGCCTCCAAAAGTACTGGGATTACAGGCGTGAGCCACCGCACCTGGCCTGTGCATGCATTCTTTGGGTCCAGTAATTGATTATAGTTACTTCAGGCAAACTCCACCTATTATTCACCTTTGTAACCCCAGGAGCAGTGCTACTCTAAGTTTGGTCCATGGACCAGAAGCATTAGCATCACTTGGGAGCTTGTTAGAACTGCTGACTCTGGACTCTACCCCCAGACCTACTGCACTAGTAGCTCTGGGGGTGGGACCCAGGAATTTGTGTTTTAGCATTTCTCCGGGAGGTCCCCATGCATGCTCCAGTTTGAGAAGCACTGCTAAGGATAGGGAAGCCAGGTTCTGTCATGTGTGATTGCTCAATAAATAATTTTTGCTTGATTGCATACATAAATTACTGTATGAACAGGGAAAGTGGGTTGGTCTTACTAGGTCTGGGCATGACTCCAAGCATCCATTTTGCCAAGTCTGCGGAGACTGTGAGGAGGTGGAGTCGTATTTCCTTCCCTCTCAGAAAATTTGGATGGATGTGTTTAAATGGCTGGGAAGATAGACTCCATCAGCATCAATGTGGGAAATGGTGAGCAACTGAGCATGAAACCTGATGGGAACCAAGTGAATGGGCCAGTTCGTAATGAAGGCCAGAAGATAAAACAGGGTGGAGTGATGATTTCACAGAAGGGCTGAGAACTCTGTGCAGATGGTTTGGGGCAAGATGCTAAAGCCACAAGTTTACAAGAATTGTATGCTTGGGACTCTTTTCTGTTCCAGGGACTTATTACAAATTAAGCCCTCCCTATTCCTGCATATGTGGCAGAGCCTTGCTGTAAATCTATTTCAAACTGTTTTTTCTTTCTCATCTTATTCTCCTTTTCTCTTTCTTTAACTCTTCCTTCCCTCTCTATCTCCTTTTTCCTTTCTGACCAAGAGGCTATTGTTGTCCGTGTTTTGATCAGGGCTAAAGCTACCCTGTGGCATAACATTTGTTAAGGACAAGGATGTGTGGGTTTTTGTGAGTAATCAGCAGCTGCTTTTGGAGTCATGGTTTTAAGGAATCTCCCTTCCTCAATAGTGTGATCATTCCCTCCTCCCAACACCCCCTTCCAAAAGAGAAAACTTGCATAAGAGCAGTTGGCTCAATATAATAAAATATAGCTTGGCATCATGAGCTTTATAAACAAGAGGCATTTAATACACTGCATAGAGTTTTGGCAGTGGGAGGGACAGTAGCAGCCAAGGAGACACATATGGCTGGGTTTAGCAGCATCCTGGGCTCATAGGAAGAGGATCCCCAGCTTTAGATCCCTGTTGGGGGGAGGTTGGGTGAACAAGAGGTTAGAAAGATGAAGATGGTTCAGCATCCAGGGAACACTGTTATACCCACATTTTCCCAAGTACAATGTTTATTTATTTATTTTTCATAAACAATTACCTAGTGCCTGTTTTAGGTCAGGCACTGTTCTCTAAGCCTTTACATTTTTCAGAGCAGCTTTATTAAGATATAATTTACATGCCATAAAGCTCACCTATTTTATTTTATTTATTTATTTATTTTTAATTTATAAACAAAAGAGGTTTAATTGAATCACAGTTCCACACTGCTGAGGAGACCCCAGGAAACTTAAAATCATGGTGGAAGGTGAAGGGAAAGCAAAGCACATGTTACATTGCTGCAGGCAAGAGAGTGTACACAGGGGAAACCGCCACTTTTAAAATCATCAGATCTGGTGAAAGCTCACCTATTTTAAATGCACCATTCAATGATTTTTTTTTTTTAGTGAATTTACAGAGAAATGCTACCATCTTCACAATCTGATTCTGTCACCTCTTATGCCCATTTACAGTTAATTCCAAATCACACCCCCAGCCCCAGACAACCATTAATTTACTTGCTCTCCCTATTAATTTGTCTTTTCTGGACAGCTGATGTAAATTGAATCATATAATATGTGATCTTTTGTGACTGGCTTCTTTCACTGAGAGTAATGTTTCTGTTTGTTCCTTTTGATTGCCAAATGGCATTCTGTTATATAGATAGGGTGCTTTACATTTATAACCTCAATTCATTCTTATAAGAACCCCATGAGGTAGTTGCTTCTGTTATCAGCAATTACAGATGAGGAAACTGAGGCACAGTTAGGAAGTTGAGGGGTAACGATTCAAGCCCAGGGAGTCTGACCTCAGAATCTGTGCTCTTGGGCTCTCTTGCTATGTTGCCTCTCCATAGGTACAAAATATGTATTCACTTCTAACTTGGAGAGTTTCTTTGATATAATGACCACTGAATTTATTGAATACCTACTTTGTGCGTGGAACTTTGCTAGGTACTGTGATGGACTGAGACAGGTTTTGTACCTTCAAGGAATGTAGCATTTTATTTGGTAGAGAAGACTCAGATCCACGTGATCAAGTGGATTCTCTAGGGCCACACAGAATTCCATGTGATCCAAAGCCTAAATGCACACGCCAGGTATCGAAAGTCAACAAGACAATGATGGTAGTGAGAAGAGCCAAGGAAAGCTTTTCAGGGGAGGTAACATTGAGCTAGTTCCATCTCCTTGGCCTAATCAATCCCAAATTCCATGAATGGAAGCTTGGAATTATTTAGAGCCCACCATTTGTCATCATGTCCCTTCCAAACACAAAGTCCTTTTCTTGGTGTGTTCCAACTTTTAGATCCCATGTGTGTGACTATAATTACACCAAGAAGCTTTTCCTCTTAAGCTGTTTTTAATAGACATGTCTTAAAGAGGGGTTGTTCTCTTTAGAAAAACTAGTTGCTTCACAACATCCAGTTCTTGGGCTGGCCACAGAAGCCTGGCAGACAGGGAATCAGAAGTAAGAATGGTACATGGAACTACATGTTAGACTCTACAAGGCCTGTTACAGTTAGCTTGTGCTGTGTAATAAACCACCCCAACACTTAATGGCATAAAACAACAACCATTTATTTGGCTTACAATTCTGTGGGTCATCCGGGCAGTTTTTCTGCTCTGGACTGGTTCAGCAAACCTTTTGGGCTCACGTGCATCTGTGGCCAGTAGGGCTTGTGGCTGAGCCACAGATCTGGCTTTTGGCTGGCCATTGGTCAGGGTGACTTAATTCTCTTCCATGTGGTCTCTTATCCTTCAGCTGACTAGCTTCGGCTCATTCACAAGGTAGACAGACACAGGGTTCCTAAGAGCAACAACAGAGTCCCAGTTCCTAAGCCTCTTTTCAAGCCTCTGCTTGCATTATGTTTGCTAATGGCCCATTGTCCAAAGCAAGTCACATGGTCAGCTCAGATTCAATGAGTGAAGAAATAGATTCTACATCATGATGGGAGATCTGCAATGTTATATTGCAAGGATGTTAATGCAGAAAAAGGATGAATTTGTGGCCATTTAAATAATTATCCACCAAGTTAGAGAGTATAATAGCGACAAGGTCAGCCAACACATTTATTAAATGTTTACAGAGTGTAGGTACTATTTAAGTACTATATATATATTCATTTAAGCCATACAACAGCTCTGAGAGCTAGGTGTTATTTTTTCCCTTATTTTTCAGAGGAATGACTTGTAGCTCTGAGAAGTGAAGTAAAGTGAGAAGTTGGCTAAAAATCATACAACTAGTAAGAGGTGGCCCCAGGATTCTTTTCCAGGCAGTCTGGCTTCAGAGTCTGTGGGCTCTTAACCACTATAACATCCTGCCCATTATGAGCTTATTGAAATTGAGTTGATGTGCCACCAAACTATAGGGATAATGATTAGTACGTAGTAACATTAATTGAAGACCTAGGATGTGCCTGGCACTGTTCCAAGTACTTTACATACGTTATGGTATTTAAATATATGTAAAGTACATTGAAATGTACTTTATGAAAGTACAAGGCAATCTGATCCATCAAAGACTGCTTTTATCCCCATTTCACAGATGAGGAAACCAAAGCTCCAAGAAGTAAGTTATATGTTGAAGAGGTTGCACAGTTAGTATATGGGCAATTTAAGATTCAAATCCAGGTCTGAAGGGTCAACTGTCTTATCTAATTCACGGCATCGTTTCACTTATTTACACTTTATTTCACAGTCTCAATTTACAGACATGGGGGAGGGGGATCTGAAAACTCTCCAGAACACAGATGATAATAATAAGAAAGAAGAATAAGGGGCATAGAGCAGAGCATCTAGAGTCATTGTCACAAAGCCCATGTATTTGCTGGGGAAGTTTTTTGGTTGATATTGATATTTCTTGTCCATTGTGTATGTTGGAGCTGACTGTGCACTGCCCTCACTCCAAGGGGTACCAGTAGCATGAGCTGTGATGCAAATAGCACACTGGGTTGTGCAATGTGGCACCCATGCAATGCTCCCATGCTCACTCATCTGGGTCTCCACCTTGCATAAATTAGCAAAGCAATTAAAATGGACTTAAGTAAAAAATCTGACAACAGCTTATAAGCTCATTACCATAGGACAATGAAGGAAATTTCCGAAGAACTAGTTTACCAAAAAGCACAACAACTCAAAGTAAGAGAGTTTGGGCAGTTGATGTAGAGACAAATAGCCCATAAAAAGCACCATAGCTCCTGGGGATTTGCTGGGGGGGAGGGCAGGTCATTGTCTTGCTACTTGGTATAATGGTGGGGTTTTTTTTTTTCCCCCGGAGGAAGAAAGTTTAGATTAGGTTTATATGCTTTGGTGTTCAGAGGAAGGAATTAAATAATGTAATTTGGAAAGGTTGTCATAGATGATCATGATGATGATATTAGTATTTCTTGGGTAAAGCATATCATACCCTGAAAGGCCAGATAAATAGGATATTATTGAAACTGATATTCCAGGGTTGCTGTGGCCTCTTGTGATCCCTGACTTTTCAGATTTTTGCCTCTTGATTTTGTTGGGGCCAAGGGAAAGGTTCCCTTTTGCCATCTGGAGGTTCACTGAAAATCACTGGCGAGAGGCAGATTGATTAAACTGTTAAAAAGGCATGTAAATGTACTTAATATGTATACATGGGAGCCTTCAGGATGAAGACCTAAAGATCCAGGGGAAATTGTCCATTTTTATGCTTAGGCTTAACAAAGTATGGAGAGCTTTGGAGAAACAGGGATAAAAAGGGCCTGATCGAATGCTGATAGACTGAGTGGGGAAACCCAGCAAGGCCTGTCTGTCTAGATCCTTCTTGGCCTCTCTGAGCAGCATTCCTTTCTCCTGGGTGTGGGGCAGAACCCTCTGGAATGGGGGTCTTATAACCTGCAGTCAAACAAAGTAGGTCCAAGAATTTCTTTGTAGCCAATTTTTACACAGAAAAGCAGAGTGAAAATTAGAGTTGTATTTTTAGGTTTATGGCTGGCTTTGGGGAAAAGGTGTTTTGGTTTCTATGACCTGCCTTGGGGGAGAGGAATTCTAGTTTCCATGGGTAGCCTTGGAGAGAATGGGACTGAGAGATAGAGGCAGGAGAAGGTCAGAGAAAAACTTTTGCTTCTGAGGCTGCTGCTGAGGCCTTCATTTTGGGGTATTGTTTTTTGAGTCCCACCAGTTTCCTGTAGGGTTGATGTAATTCCAAAGACAGAAAAGTGAGGACTCTCAGAGATCAAGGAGATGGCCCAGTGACCCTTTAAGACTTGTGAAAGAGCATGACTCAAGCAGCTTTCAGACTCAAGAGCTGGCTGGTTCCTCACTGGGAGGGTTTGCACCTAGCCTTGAGGGTGGTTGTGAAGAGTCAGTGCATAACAATGAGAAGCCACAGCAAACAAGTCTGTCCTGGATTGACCAGTGTCCTGAAATGAGTCCCCACCTCCACATCCCACCTCCTATAATTAAGTGATGGAAAGGACTCCCATTTCTAAAATGCTCTGAAGATCAGATAACAGAGGGAAAATGAAGATAAGGGGAGAGGTGATTCTTCTGAATCTCTAGGGTTGGTGCCAGCAGCCAGCTGCAAGAATCAACTTGGGAGATCCCAGCTTAGTGTTTCACCAGAAAATAGCCCACCATTGTGCTCAGAGAAAGCTTTCATCCTCCCTTTGTCCCACCATTGTACTCCTTTACTTTATGAGAACTTTGAGAAAAATCCTAGAGCCAGATGCCTCATGTCCCCATATATAGCCAGGTCTGCCTTTGGTCCACCAGCAGCCATGTCATGGTAGCGGTGCATCTGTAAAGGGAGAAGAGGAGGCTAGAGCCAGCTGCATGGAAATACCAGCCTGCCAAACCAAGGCGGGCATGATCTCTGATGCTCTAGCTGGCAATACATGGACACTGGTATATCGGCAAAGTGCTTTAAATTCCTGGGAAGAAAGATGTAGAACGGAAGGTGGGAACTTGCAGCCAGCTTATGAGAGCCATTACCATGGCCAGCAAGTCACTGATGCACAAATGTATATTTATGGGGGCAGCAAGGAGATCTATGTCTCCAGGTAAGTCCCTTAGAGTGACTGCAATTGTGGATTGTAGGTGTCTGGGGTGCTGAGTTTGACCAGAGCTCAGAAACTTTTGGATGGTTTTGGGAAGAGTGCAATGATACTGTGGGGCAAATAAATGGATGCAGTTGGCTGCTTGACTCATAAAAGTCTTGGTAAATGCCCCAAAGCAAAAATATGGAAGGAATTAAAGAAGCACTTTGGAGGCCTCGATTTAAATTTCTTTTCTGTGTATCATATGTGGTCAAGACAGCCGCAGAGATATTAAAGGAAAGGACTCTTTATGCCCTTGTTGGTGCAGGGCTCAGATAAGGGTGAGGTTGTTCTTTGTTAATATTTATAATGGTATTTGTGGAGATGAATAAAAAATGAAATTCCCTTTGGCTAATTTCTCAGATTGCTGGAGGAGTAGATGAAGAGGCAAGAATAGGGTTGCATGCATCTCAGAAGAATCTGCTCTTCCAGGACAAAAAAAAAAAAAAAAATTACTCCTTACATAATGGAAGCTAGAGTCTAAGAGAATGTTCCCTTTCTCTGGGAACACATCATTTTTGCTTTTCACTGTTTTATACTTTTGTGTGTGGCAATTTCTATTTGCCCTGTCTATGTTAAAGCATCATATTCATCAGTGTGTGGTTCTACTTTATCATGTGTAATGTCTAACATGCCAAAGCTGTTTTACATCCATTGCCTGAAAGAGCTTAAATCTTGCTGTGTGCTCACCCAGCGACACCCTCCTTGCCCCTGGGGAAGCAGCATTCTGCCAGTCTATTCTTTCCTCTATGGCCTACCTTCGTTATATAACGGAATTTGAATGTCTAGCATATGGTGATTAGCTGGGACACTGGGTGTGTAAGCATGCCCTGCAAAATGATGTGCATCTGCATGCATGTGCCTTCCTACAAATGCAAACAGAGCACAGATCACAGATGTGGTTATTGTGGAGGTAATTATACATTTGGTCTGAAACCAAATAAAGTTTTGCCCTCCTGCCCTGTCGGGCATCATATTTACCTCATTGACCAAGAGAGAGCTGCAGTGGGGCAGGCAAGAGGGTGAGGCTGGAGAGAAGGAGATAGAGATGCCATATGGAAGTGGTTGGAAAACAGATGGGGGAAGTCTGGAAAAATCCAATTTGTTGTTCTCAGGTGTTTAAAGGAATGTCTCCATGTTAGGACATTAGAATGGATTTCAGTGCTCAAGACAGGTTAGAATTAGATAATGCAAGGCCACTTCCCAGGTAGAATTGGTATATAACTAAGCTTTGAATAATGATGTTGAATTAGTGGCTGATCAATAAATGGAAAGGCTAGGTCTATTTAGGCAGGCTTGAGTGGAAGAAGTTGGCCAGAGTTGGGCTAGTCAAGCACCTCGTAGTGGAAAGAAGAGTCTGAAAATAATCTTATTGTAATCTTGTCAACAATAAAATGGGATGGAGGAACAGAAAGTTCTTTGCTGGAGGGTTGACAAATCTGGTTGCATCACTGGGGCAGAAGCCACTGCCAGGAGATCCGTTATCTAACGCCAGACCCCTAGCATCTCCTTTGTTATTATCACCTCAGAGGGGGGTTTTGATGCAGTCCAGAAACATAGACCTTCCTGTCCTGGGCAATGCACATATCCAACTTTTATGCCATTGTCTGTACCTTTAGAGGTGATAGAAGCTTGTTTGATGTGTTTGATCCCGTGATGTGAGAAGCTGGACACTCTCTTTGCAGGTTCCTTTCATGGGCTTCTGTTGAAGAAAATCAGATTTGAAAACAGTCATGCATAAGCTCTGGATGTCCACGTGAGCCTGCTGTTAATGTACAGAGGCCAATGGACCCACAAGGAGTAAAAGATTTCTTTTTACTGGCTCCTGTACTCAGCATCTAGTCTCAGGGCATAAGAGCTTAGCAGGCCCTGGAAGGGCTTCAGATTCCTGGTCCTCAGACATGGTAAGAAGAAGGGAACAGCCCTGGATCTCCTGCTTGACTCCTAATCCAGTGGTATTTCTGCTCTACCATTTTTTAAAATTACCTTTTCTTCTACATTACCTTAATGTTCCTAATTAATGAAGATGGTCTTACTGAAGTTGTCTTTTCTTTCTTTTAAATTCCAAAAAAAGAAAAAAAGACAGAAATGTACTTTTACTTACTAAGGGGAGTTCATCTAGTTTCCCAGAACTGTTGTTCTTTCCTTTCAGCTACAAACACAGCATCTCATCTCTTGGTTTCATTTAAAACTAAACAAATGAACTTAATAAGATTTCATGATTATAGGAGTTGGGCATACTGAGTTCCTACTACCTTAGGACTCTTTCTTGAGAATGGAGGGCCATGGAGAGGTGACATTAAATTTCATAGTGATTAAAATTAGATTTTTAGTTCATAGCAATTTAGTTTACCATTCCTTCAAATTATAATTTTGCCAATTATAATTGAACATGTTTTTAGAACCTGAATTTTCTCACTTAAAGTGATTCCCCTAAATATCATTTTAAAAATTAAATTAATTACCATTGCACTAATTAATTCCTTAATTGGCTCTTAACCCAAGAATTAGATTGCCTAGATTTTAACAGAGAAAGCAAAACAGACAAAAACAACAAAACCACACAAGGATTTTTTTCTTAACCAGAATATTCTGAAGGGATCATTTGATCAGATCTATGGTATGTAGGTGAAACTGGGATAAAACATTTTTTAAAAGACATTATATAATTGATAAGAGCCATATTTTTGACTTGATTAATTGGCTATTTTGATTAATTAAAAATATGTAAAATATACTTAGACCCTCTCCATGAGAAAGAACAAATTTGTGGATTTGAACACATGATTATAAATAATCATTTTTATTTTTGTCTCTTACTGTCCCCCACTGCCACCCCAGGGATTTGGGAATGGGCTGTCTCTGCTTATATTAAGAACATGTAAAAAATAGACTCATTGATCTATCATAACAGAGAAAGGAAACAAAGCCATGGGATTTCTAGACATGACATGTAATTCTTATACTCTTCTCACCTTCCATACCCTCTGCTGGTTTTTCCCATCATGCTATTTGCCAGTGTTAAAAAAAAATGAGGAATGAGCTCACCATGTCATCTAAAATAAAAAAAGAAAAGTTCCTTGCCATCGATCACAGTTTGTAAAGTACTTTAAAATCTTTCTCTTGGAGCTTGAGATGTGAGCCTTTGGCAGCTTCAGTCATATATGAGGGGCCTGAAAGAAGGTGTCTCGCAGTGTGGAAGTTGCTGTTTCCATTCACTCTCAGCTCATCATTTAAAGATATTGGGAGAGAGCTTTTTTTTTTTTTCTTACTGAGAACACCAAAACCGATGATCACCACAGGAAGACTTAGTTACTATCACAGCTCAGCCTCACCAAAAATTCTTTTTCATTTTTTTAAATGTTTATTTATTTACTTACTTACTTACTGAGACAGGGTCTTGCTCTGTCACCCAGGCTGGAGTGCAGTGACATGATCATGGCTCACTGCAGCCTCGACCTTCTGGGCTCAAAGTCTCCTCCCACCTCAGCCTCCCAAATAGCTGGGACTACAGGCACATGTCACCATGCCCAGCTAATTTAAAAAAATTTTTTGTAGAGACAGGGTCCCGGTATGTTGCCCAAGCTGGCCTCAAACTTCTGGACTCAAGCAATCCTCTTGCTTTGGCCTCCCAAAGTGCTGGGATTACAGGTGTGAACCACCTCGCCTGGCCTTAATACATTTTTTAAATTGAAGCATAACATACACATAGAAAACTGTACCAAAATTAACAGTATAGCTTGGTGAGTTTTACCAACGAATATTATAAGCACCCCAGAAGCCCTTCCTGTCTCTGTCCACCTGCCCTGCCCCCAGGATAGCCACTCTTATGACTTCTAACCCCATAGATTAATTTTCTTGTTTTGAACTTTATATAAATGGAATCATACAGTATGTGCCCTTTTATACCTGGTCTCTTTTGTTCCACATTATGTTTGTGAGAGTCAACCATGTCATGGTGTATAGTAGTGGTTCATTCATCCATATTCCATTCCATGGTGTGAATAGACCACAATGTATTGATCCAGTCTGCTCTCTATGGGCATTTGGATATTTTCCAGTTTGGGGCTATTACTAGCAGTGCTTCTGTGAACATTCTTGGGTGTGACTTTTGGAAAACATGCGTTTGTATTTCTGTTGGGTATATATCCAAGGGAGGAAATTCTGGATCATTCAAGAGGGACTATTCATAAATCTCGTTTTGCTTTTTTCCTCCATCTTCTCTAAGAGAGGGTAGTTATAGGATTTCAGGACTGGAGGAGGCCCCACAGAACATGTATCTGGCTGGTGTTTTTCTGATTCTGCCTCAATATCCTCTAAGGAGTTCAGGCATCTTCAGTGAGGGGAGAGGCGAGCTTGTGTGGGGCTCTGGGGCTCTGCTTCAACCAGAGCAATGCCCCCTTCATCTGATTCATAGACAGTGGTGAAATTACAAAGAACATATTGTTTCAAGAATGAGTTCTATAAGTTTGTTTGAGTCTCACTGTGTCACCCAGGCTGCAGTGCAGTAGTGCCATGGCGTGATCTCGACTCTCTGCAGCCTCCGCCTCTTGGGTTCAAGTGATTCTCGTGCCTCAGCCTGCCAAGTAGCTGGGATTACAGGCATGCACCACCACGCCTGGCCAATTTTTGTATTTTTAGTAGAGAGACAGGGTTTTGCCATGTTGGCTAGGCTGGTCTCAAACTCCTTACCTCAGGTGATTGGCCCGCCTTGGCTTCCCAAAGTGCTGGGATTATAGGCCACCATGCCCAGCCATTTTTGCTTGTTTGTTTGTTTTTTGTTTTTTGTTTTTAAGAGTTTGAAAAGAGATGATTTGGGTTTATTGTTTTCACTTGAGAAAGGGGCAAGCAGGCCTACACAGCAGACTGGGGTGGATTGATGTACGTGGGGGGTGCTGGCATTTTATGGGTGCTCTTTTACTCAACCCTGCAAATCAACTCTATGAGAGAGGCGTGTTCTTATCCCTATTTACAGCTGGGGAAACTGAGGGGGTGAAGCAGCTAAGTGACATTCCTAAGGCCACCCATCTAAACGAGGCAGAGCTGAATCCAGGTGGTATGACTCCAGGGCTTCCCCCTGCTCCCTTAATTATCCAAACCAGAGTACTCTACTCCCACGCACTGCCCGTTTCACAATCTCCCTCACAGACTGTCAAGGGCCTACATGAGCCATTATGGTGACAGTGGTTTACTCTTTGGGTTTTTGTTTCTCTGGTATGTAAAGCTATTGCCCAAGAAGCCAAGGCATAATATAGAGACAGGCCCACATGAAACTGACTCCCCCACTTAAGTTCATTTCAAAGCAGAATGTAATCCTTCGTGCTTACCCTTTCACATGCCCGATGTTATACGATTGTTGCTGGAACCCTGCGAGATAAGCATGGTAAGTACTACTGGCCCTTATTTTGCCAATCTCTCTGCCCAGGTCTCTTTACCTGCTCGCTGCACTCCAGCTACCACTGGCTTCCTAAATATGCCACAGGTCCTTTGCACTTATTGTTTCCTCTGGCTGGAATTCTCTTTTCTCAAATATTCTCATGGCTTGCTTTCTCGGTTCCTTCAAGGCTCTGCTCAAAATCATCTAATAAAGTAGACCTTTTCTTACCTCCCTATCTAAAATGACATCTCCATCATGTTCCACTGCCTGATCTACTTTACTTTTCTTCAAGGCAAGTCTGCTTCCTGACTTGTGATATATTTACTTTGTTTCGTAGCAATTGACAGACAAGGTAGGCTTCAGGTGGGATGGCAGTGGGGGGGTGTTGATCATTGTGTATCTCTGGCACATCAATAAATATTTAATGAATGAGTGAATGAAAGAAACTGGTGTTAAAATTTAGATACTTTATACCCAAGGAGGGTAGCTGGAACTTATGTTTAATGGGATAAGCTTGTAGGTGCTGTATCTCCTTACATTTCTAATATTTGTTTTGCTTTCTCTCTTTTTTCTTGATTATTCTTGCCAAAGGTTTATCTTTTCATTGAACGTTTCAAAGAACCAGCTTTTGGTTTGGTTGAGCCTTTTATTCCATGCCTTTCTTCTTGTTCAGCTCTATATTTATTTACTTTGGTTTGTATATGTCTGTTATATCTCTGCACATTAAAGATTGTTTGAGTGCAGAGACCATAGCCAACCACAGCTATGATGAGGCTTGCTGACTAGGTTAGACCTTTGAGCCACCATGTCTGGGGGTCTGTGGTTTAAATCTCTCCTTTGCCAAGCTTTCCCATTTTTGCATGAGCCACCGGGGTGGAAAAGAGCAACATTTAGATTTTTAAAAAATAACAAATTATCCAATTATCATTTCAGCTAAGCTATTTTAAAACATTTCAATTGGTATGGACTGGTTTCTAACCTATGAATATGATTGCTGTTATAGTATCATTTGTTAATTCCTTTATAACAAATGTCTTCTATAGCTTGCAGTATTACTTATATTATTTTACTGCTGTAATTGAAACCATAGGGAGATGAAGGTTATGCTAGAATGAAAAAGTTCAAACCACATTTTGGGACTCTTTTTTCCAGATCTAAGTGAAATCCGTGTTAGAATAACAAGACAGAAAATCTGTCTCTATAATTAGGGAATTACTGGAGTCAGAATCAAACCGTAGGAAGGTGCATAGCTAAGGAATGCTTCTAAGACAGTAGAAAATAAAGCCTTATGTGAACAAGGAGAATCTCTGTGCATGGACCTTCAGGGATGGGGATATGTGCTTGCAGGGCCAGGGAGGGAATTGATGGGAGCTCCATATCTAGTTAAAGCACTTAACCTCTGGGGTGAAATCTTAGTCCAGAGAACACTGAATGGTTTCACAGCAAAATGTCATCTGATGAACCCTGCTGTATAAAGTAGCAGAGAAGTGGTCGTAAATTTGTTCGGGGATTCTTGTGTCTCATTCTGACTTTGGTTTGCAATATGATAGGTTTGATTTTCCTAGGAAGTCTCCTGATGCCATGCCCACTTGTGTTAAGATCAAGGCACTTAGTTGTATGTGAAATGTGATCAGGGAATGCACCAAGGATTCGGCATCTTGGGGGCATTATCTCTGATCCTAAGGTAGATCAGAGAAAGTCAAAGGGAAGGAGAAATGATGAGGGAGGGCAAGATAGGTAGATAGATACTGAAAGAGAGAGAGAGAGAGACAGAGAGAGACAGAGACAGAGAGAGACAGAGACAAGAGACATAGCTGGGCTGTTTAGGATTATGAAAAAGCATATCTGTAGTGCCCTGTTAAAGATGAAAATTTTACCCCAACCCCATTCTTCAGGCTCCCACCATTAGATCCACAGTGAGAGAATGTGAGAGAGACAGAGAGATCTGATTCCCAATATTCCTTTTGGCTTGAAGCTTCTTTGATTCTAAATGCAGGGAAGGACATTCTCTGCAAGGCAGAGCAACTTTCAACGTACCTTGAGAGTTCAAAGGTCAGTGTTTATCTCTAAGTGCTGTTCAACTGTGAGCACAGGAAATGTTCCCTGCAAATCCTGTGTCCAGGGGAATTTGGGTCCAGCATCCAGACCACCATAGACTCAGGTTAGGGTGCTTTTTAGAGTTGGATGGGAATCAGTCTGGATTTTTTGGACCCAAAGGACACTGACCTGGTGGAGTGATGTAGCCACCATGTGCAGAACAGTTTTCATGGGTGAGTCTCTCAATGTGTGATATCAAAGGCGTGTTTCTTTTAGCAAAGGGAATTCAAGTTCCAAACAGCAACTGTAACAGAAGGAAAAGGTTGTATTCTACTTTTTCAAAGGTGTCAAAGGAATAGAGACCATGGATTAAGTACAAATTTGGGTAAGGAAGATTCAAATTTTCCAATGATTTGCAGACAGTGAAAAGTTTGAACATAAACACACATGATTTATTTACCACAGAATATCAAGACTGTCGAGCCAAGTCAGGAAGCAAGCGTGTGCCAATAAAATCTTGACAGATACCAGAAGAAAAATGAGAACCCAACTTAGTAAGTGGTGGGAAAGAATAAGTGGTGGTAGATGGAATTCTTTTTAAAGAGCCCATATAGAAATGAGTGAGTGTAGTGTTCTTGAACAGTGGCCCATTTATACTGGAAGCTATTTCTTTGACATATATGAACCAGCCAGATCACTGAGAGGGAGGATGCTTCTTCCCACAAGAAGAGTAATCTGATTGTTTTTCCTCAAATAAATAACCAATTTATTATCCACCCAGATATGCAATTGTTAAAGACACTAAGGTTGTGCTGTTCAATATGGCAGCCTCTAGCTGCAGAGCTGTAAGCACTTGAAATGTAGTTAGTGCGATTGAGGAGCTGAATCTTGAATTTCATTTAATTTTAATGAGTTTAAATTTTAAAATGGGTGTTTGATTCAGTTATTGGAAAAGTTTTTGTTCTTTGCAACAATTCTGGTATGTGAATCTACTTTTTCAACCATTTCATGAAATCTAAATATAGATCAAGTAATTCTGATGAAAATTTACCATCCAAATTGAGCTGTGCTTTAACTGTAAAAACACATGGGATTTCAAAGACTTAATATAAAAGAAGAGAATGTAAAATATCTCGTTAGTAATTTTTTTACATTGATCACATGTTGAAATGATAATATTTTAGACATAATGGATTAAATAAAACACATTATTAAACTTAATTTCACCTCCTTTAAAAATTTTTTTATGTGGTTATTACATATGTGGCCTGCATTCTTGCATTATATTTCACATGAACAATGCTTTATATTTATTTATTTATTTATTTATTTTTAACTTTTATTTTAGGTTCGGGGGTACACGTGAAGGTTTGTTATATAGGTAGACTTGTGTCATAGGGGTTTGCGGTACAGATTATTTCATCACCCAGGTATTAAGACTACTACCCAATAGTTATTGTTTCTGCTCCTCTCCCTCCTCCCACCTTCCACCCTCAAGTAGGCCTCAGTGCCTGTTGTTCCCTTCTTTGTATGAACAAGGTTTTACGTGCCACATTTGGTGGATAAGGCTAGCTTTGCCACTGAAGATTGAAATGAACTGGGAAATGAGAAAAATGGTGAATCCTTTACTCTTGTATGAACTGAAAGTTTTCCCTGCTCTTCCCTTCTGTTCCTGAGCCTAACCACTAGTGATTTATTTAATATAAGTCTTTATATCCTGAGAGAGCTAGGTATTAATGAACTTTGTCATGTGCTATTTAAGTCTTAAGCTCAATGAAGAATTTAGTTTGTAAGTGATTTTAGGACAACGTGCTTCCTTCTTACACATCCGTCTTAGGTTGGGTGCCTAGGACAGACTCTGAGATGGAGACCCGTGCACAGGAAAGCTACTGGGGAGTGCCAGTGGAATCAACACCTGCAAGGAGTGAGGGAAGCAGGGCTGGGCATAGGGAAGAGCTGAACCACCATGCAGTACAACAAAGACCTCAGCTGTGGAAGCAAGCTGGTCCTTTGGAGTTGTCCCAAATTGAGGCAAGGGGGCCTGGCCTTTGTATTTTCCAAATGACCAGTCTTTGGATGCAAGTTTCCTCTAGGTAGGGGGCAGGAGCTTGGGTGAGGCAGCTCCTTTCTGCAGAAGGCAATTCCCAGAGCAGGAAAAAGCTGTGAGCCCTCAGAAGCCAATAATCCCAGCAGTTGGGAGATGGGGTACCTCAATCCAGAATGAGAGGTCTTGGAGGCACCCCACAGCATCCACTATGACATCTCAATCTTGTTCTAATCATAAGCCCCCAGCCAGACCCAGACAGGCAAAGCCTTTCAAATGGCATCATCCTAGACCTGGGGAACTGAAAAAACTCCCTGTGCCTGAGAATGAGGAGTAGGGTATGTGTCTTCTTGCATTCCTCTCCTTCCTGCCCTGGAATGAGCCATAATTTCTACAACACAGAAGTAATAAGGGATTGGGGGAAGGGAGGGAAAAATAGAGACAGAGAATAGAAGGATGAATCAATATGACTCAACCACTTATAAATCCCCCAGTGGCATAGATAGGCAAAGAGCCATTTTACTTTCCTCTAACTTCTGAATTGGGCTGTAGCCACAACCCAGCAGCTATTCGGAAGTGTGGAGAAGGATGAGAAGGAAGCCTGGTCCCAGAGCAGACACGCTGCCCAGATCAATTTAGAAAGAAGTCAAGACTGTCAGCTTGGGCTAGTATTTCACTGACTTCTAGCCACACGGAGAACGAATGTCGCTCAGATAATAAGCCAAGAAAGAGAGCAGGCCTCGGCCTCCAGTTCTTTCAGATAATGACCTGCGGTTGCTGCAGAGGAAATAAGAGCTTGGTAGCCATTCAGGCCCTGAGAGCTTGACCCCAATTCTTCTCTGTGTGTCTGTCTGGCCATCCATCTGGTTGTTCTGTTTCCCGTTTTCTAGTTTGTCCTTTAGGACAAATTTGCATCTTAGTATGGCTTCTTCCCAAGCATCTCCCCTGCCTGTTTGCAAACACTGATTCATCAAAGATGCCCAACAGCCTGTGATCATTGGGCAGGGACATTTTCCCATAAGCCTTTCCTGCTTCTCCTGCCAGTTATCTTTAATTTAATAGCTGTGCATGTCACATATGTACATACTCACAGAGGGATGCACACATTCTTTAACTCACACACACCTCTAAAAGCACATTAGTGCAAACTGGGTTAAAGCTGCTTCCAGCTACCTCACTTCCCTTCCTGCCCCTCGCCTCGTCCTTTTCCTATCTCCAGCCACCTTGCTCTTTGCCTCTCATTTCACGCTGCCTCTGAGAGAGAAATCTCATTATTTCTGATTTAGGGGCTCCTGTGCCCTCCCCTGCTACATGTCATGCCCGCTGCCAGCTTGTTGCAACATCACAAGAGAATTCAGAGCTCTGATTTATCCGCCAGAGGAATGCCTCTAGGGAGGATGGGGGTGGGTGAGACTGGAGACCAAGAAAGGGTGTAAAAGTGGGGAGGGATTGGCAGAGAAAGCCTGAGTTTTTAGAGCCTTGGTAGCTTCAGGATGCTTGGATTAGCTGGGTTAGACCACACTGTGAATATAGCACATTTTATCAGAAGCCTAAAGAAGAAGCAGTGCAGCTTTTGTTTATTTGATTTTGGAGATGGGCTGAGGACATGTAATTGGGGCTTGGGCAGAGCTATTGAGGGATGCTGTAATGGGCTTTTTAATCCCTCCCTCCCCTTTTCCTCCTGGAAAGTAGTAAATGGTGAGGACAGTCATGTAACTTATAATTTAACATTCTTCATAAATCCATCTTTGCCCCATTCATTAGCCTAAGAGCAGGAATTAGATGTCTTGTGTTGAGCTTAACACGTGGGCACATAGTGGGATTCAGAAAATGTTTGCTCCATATGTAATGCAGGAATTAGCCAGGTCTCCCTACTGTCTTGGATTTGGTTCCCCCAGACACAGATCCTGGCATAATGATTCAAGTGAAGGTAATTTATTTTGTGTGTGGGTGTGTGTGTGGGGGTAACACTACCTGTAGGTAGTGAGAATATGATACAGGGAAGGAGGGCAACAAGTAAAGGACATTATCAAGCTGAATCCTACAGAAGGATTATCCCACCCAAGGGGCAAGGGAGCTGGAGTATTTATACACCAACCTCCCAATAATCATTGCTTGGAGGCTGCTCCTGGAGGCATTCATTAGTTCTTGGCATTTCTAGCCCACCTCGTGCATGGGCAGAGTGACCTTCTACAGTCCTGGTTCAGGAAAATTAGCCCGTAGGCTCAGAGATGCAGGCACTAGCAGTTGGAAATCTCCTGGTGCTTACCTGAAAGGTCTGAGGGATATGTGCAGGGGCACTGACAGTGTCTGCTATGGTAGCCAAGTTTCATGCATCCATTTATCCACTCAACAAATATTTATTCAACCACTCCTATGTTCCTGGCACTGTTGTAAGTGTTGAGGATACAACAATAAACAAAACACATACAGATCTCTGTTTTCAGAGAACTTGCAGTCTAGTGGAGGTGACCAACATAAGATAAATATGTTATACTCTCCTTAGGTGGTGACACTGTAATGAAAAGAAAAATAAAGGTGGGGAATAAGGATTGCTGAGGGTGCCATATTAAATCAAGCAATCAAGGAAAGCCTCACGGAGAAGTGGATATGTGAGTGAAAACCTGGAAGGAACGAGTCATGTGGATATCTGAAGAAGAGAGTTCCAAGCAAAGGAAATAGTAAGTGCAAAGGCCCTGAGGCTGGGGTGTGTGCCTGTCATATTTGAGGAATAGCAAGGAGCCCGGTGTGGTCAGAGCTGCATGGGTAAGGCATGAGCTGTGGGAGAAGAGCTCGGAGAAATCCCAAGGTGAGGGCAACAGTGCAAGACATGCAGGATCTTTTGGGTGATTGCAAGGCCTTTGCCTTTTACTCTGAATGAGATGGGGAGTCACTGGGGGGCTTTTAGCAAAGAAGGGACACATTGTGGCTTATGTTACTGTGTTGGGAACATACTGAGGCAGGGCAGGGGTGGATGGAAGCAGGGAGATCTTGTGCAAAGCACATCTTCTAGGACCGTCTATTTTACTCCATAATAAATGAATTAAAGATGAGAGTGGGAACAGGTCTCTTGAGCCCTACATGTGGAACTGGCATGATACAATTTTTGCTTCATTTTGTTGGCTAAAACAAATTATAAAGTGAGACTAATTTCAAGGGATGGAGAAATAGACTCACCTAGTGATAGGAGGGGTTGTAAAGTCCCTTCGCAAAGGGGTGTGGATAGAGGAAGGCAAATTATTGTGGTCATTTTTTGCAAACAATCTACCATGGCAAATGACCTCAAATTGAACTTTGAATATCCCTGTTCTTAAAATATCCTGGGGCTACCTCACCTCATGTTATGGAGTAAAATGGAAGGTCCAAGAAGATATGCCACGTTCACTTTAGATCCTGCCCACCACAGATGTCAGTGGGTATTCATGTGCCAGGCAGAGGTGAGGAACTAATTGTGAACCTACTTCCACTTAACTGCTTTGCTCCTTTTAACCTTAATACCATGTCCTTTGGCCAGCTTCTTCTTTCCCTTCTCATCCTTGCTTCTTCCAGTTCTCCTTGAGAACAAACACCCACTCCCTTGTGTCATGAAGAAGACTTTGCCAGATCTTTAGTAATCTTGTTCCTGAACACTTTGCACCAAGTTTCAAAGTTCACATCAAGTAGTGACCAAGGGATTTTCCCAACCAAAATCAGACCTCCATCTCTAACGTGCTCAAGATGAATTCTGTGCCAGTTGTTAATATAATCCATTTTCGATGTGCTTTATAAATGAATGGGCTTGACCTTGAAACTGACACCAAGATTCTGTGGGTTGGGTGGAGAATGGTATTATAGATGTGGTGTTGATAGAGTTCTCGTTCTATGCTCTTTTACTAGTGTAGTTTATGGCTATTGCTTCTTGAAGCCAAGGTCTGTGCCTGTTTCTTTGATTCCCCTCCCAATACCTAGGACTTTGTAGACTCTCAAGTAATGTGACCTTGAAATTTAAGGTGAGTTTCTACAACAGTCTATCTAATATTTTAGACCTTCCCCTCTTCTCAAGCTAGGAGGGAAGGATCTCAAAGAATTCCCATAGATTAACTAGATTTTTGTATATCTAGACCAGTGCTGTCCAATAGGATTTTCTGTGATGCTGGAAATGTTCTGCATCTGCACTGTCTAATATGGTAGCCACTAGCCACTTAGGGGTATTGAGCACTTGAAATGTGGGTAATGTAACTGAGGAACTGAATTTTAAATTTTCTTTAATTTTAGTTTAATTTTATTTGAATTTTTTTAATTATACTTTAAGTTCTGGGATATATGTGCCGAAGGTGCGGGTTTGTTACATAGGTATACACATGCCATGGTGGTTTGCTGCACCCACCAACCCATCATCTACATTAGGTATTTCTCCTAATGCTATCCCTCCCCTAGCCCCTCACTCCCCAACAGGCCCTGGTGTGTGATGTTCCCCTCCCTGTATCCATGTATTCTCATTGTTCAACTCCCACTTATGAGTGAGAACATGTGGTATTTGGTTTTCTGTTCCTGTGTTAGTTTGCTGAGATAGATGGTTTCCAGCTTCATCCATGTTTCTGCAAAGGACATGAATTCATCCTTTTTATGGCTACATAGTATTCCATGGTGTATATGTGCCACATTTTCTTTATCCAGTGTATCATTGATGGGCATTTGAGTTGGTTCCAAGTCTTTGCTATTGTGAATAGTGCTGCAATAAATATACGTGTGCATGTGTCTTTATAGTAGAGTGATTTATAATCCTTTGGGCATATAACCAGTAATGGTGTTGCTGGGTCAAATGGTATTTCTGGTTCTAGATCCTTGAGGAATCACCACAATGTCTTCCACAATGGTTGAACTAATTTACCAACAGTGTAAAAGCATTCCAATTTCTCCACATCCTCTCCAGCATCTATTGTTTCCTGACTTTTTAATGATTGCCATTCTAACTGGCATGAGATGGTATCTCATTGTGGTTTTGATGTGCATTTTTCTAATGACCAGTGATGATGAGCTTTTTTTCATATGTTTGTTGGGCACATAAATGTCTTCTTTTGAGAAGTGTCTGTTCATATCCTTCGCCTACTTTTTGATGGGGTTGTTTTTTTCTTGTAAATTTGTTTAAGTCCATTGTAGGTTCTGGATGTTAGCCCTTTGTCAGATAGATAGATTGCAAAAATGTTCTCCCATTCTGGAGGTTGCCTTTTCAGTCTGATGATAGTTTCTTTTGCTGTGCAGAAGCTCTTTAGTTTAATTAGATGCCATTTGTCAATTTTGGCTTTTGTTGCCATTGCTTTCCATGTTTTAGTCATGAAGTCTTTGCCCATGCCTATGTCCTGAATGGTATTGCCTAGGTTTTCTTCTAGGGTTTGGACTCTCATTTGCAATTGCTACAAAGAGAATAAAATACCTAGGAATACAACTTACAAGGGATGCGAAGGACCTCTTCAAGGAGAACTACAAACCACTGCTCAAGGAAATAAGAGAGGACACAAACAAATGGAAAAACATTCCATGCTCATGGATAGGAAGAATCAATATCATGCAAATGGCCATACTGCCCAAAATAATTTATAGATTCAATGCTATCCCCATCAAGCTACCATTGACTTTCTTCACAGAATTAGAAAAAACTATTTTAAATTTCATATGGAACCAAAAAAAAGAGCCTGTATAGCCAAGACAGTCCTAAGCAGAAAGAACAAAGCTGGAGGCATTATTTTACCTGACTTCAAACTATACTACAAGGCTACAGTAACCAAAACAGCATGCTACTGGTACCAAAACAGATATATAGGCCAATGGAACAGAACAGAGGCCTCAGAAATAACGCCACATATCTACAACCGTCTGATCTTTGACAAACCTGACAAAAACCAGCAATGGGGAAAGGATTCCCTATTTAATAAATGGTGTTGGGGAAACTGGCTAGCCATATGCAGAAAACTGAAACTGGACCCTTTCCTTACACCTTATACAAAAATTAACTCAAGGTGGATTAAAGACTGGAATGTAAGCCCTAAAACCATGACGTTTTAATTAATTTAAATTTAAACTTAAATACCATATTAGCCTGTGCATCTCTAGATAGTGCTTCTCAAACTTTTCTATTGAAGTGCTCTTGATGGTAGAAAAAAGATAATGCATACCCTGATGGTATGGGGGCTTCAATTTTTCAAGTACAAAATTACTTTGAAGTTAGTTTAAAAAATGCACGGCGATTTTGCATTTCTCTTTATAATATATATACTCTAACATGGAGCCAAGTGTATGGTCTAGAAACATGTGCCCATGACTTCCTTAGTACACGGCTTCCATGTAGTCTTGAGGGGTCATGATGGCCAGTTAGACATAGATGAATGCATTGCAAGTAAGTTGGCTTAAAGTTTAAACTTTACATTCTTCCTATTTTTAGTGCAGCCTGAGAATAAAAACATCTCATCAAACACCCATTCAGTGTTATGAACGACCTTCTTGCTGGTATGGGTTATAACCGTCTTACTGCAGTGCAAACCTCCTATTTGATTTAAAAGAAAATTCTCTCCCAGAAATCTCTTCAAGTGCATTTAATGAATAAGGCGGTGTCCGTAACTTTCTGTGACATTTACTTTAATAAGCCATGGGAGTGATTTAGTGATCAGTGGGCACTGACATTTGAGGAGGGAAAGATAAACTTTGCTGCTTCTGACATGACTTTTTTTCTTCTCCTCTTGACTCTGGTCTTGCAGCCATGGAAACTTTGTTTCCTGAGAGAGATGCTGTGTTCTCTGGCTTTTGGAAGTAATCTATTTTTTTTCCTTTAACAGGCAGCCACAAATTAATTTCTCTTTTGTGTATTTGATGTTGCAAGTGTTTCTACTGAGTAGAGTATGTTTTCCACAGTATTTGAACTTTCTGTCTTGTTTTGTCTTGTGTGTGTGTGTACATGTTTTTCCTCAACATGGAATTTGTTCTATCATGTTTGAAAGAAAAAACATGGAACAAAAAGGATTTTAAAGGGAAGATTTAAAAAAATCACTACACAAATACATATATAACTACAATTATAACCCTGACTATATATATCTGTACAACCACCATACAGACCAAGATATATAAGAACATTGTCCTCACTCCTCAGGAGGTTCTTCTGTGTCCCCATTCAGTCCATACACCCTGCCCAGAGGCAACTATTCTGACTCGTGTCACCATAGATTAATTTTTTCTTGTTCTTAAACTTCATGTAAATAGAATCATATAGAATACAGTTTTCACTTACTCTTAGCCAAAAGGTCAAGAAGCAATCAAAATGCACTTTTGATATTATGTCTATGACATTCATCCATGCTGTGTGTATCAGTACTTCATTTTTAAATGTAGGCTTTGGAGCTTCACTAAATTGGGTTCAGATCCTGCTTCTGTTACCTACCACCTGTGTGACCTTGGGCAAGTAGCTTTACTTCAGTTTTCTCATTTCTAAAATGGGGATACTAATAATATTTAGCTCAAAGGTTTGTGGAGAAAAACAAAAGGACTGCTTCATCACATGTTCCTAAGTGCTTTGAGTAGGCCAGGGGAGCTCCTGCAGTGGAATTTCTGCTGCCAACTTTTGGGTGCCCACTCATTCCCAGTGGGAAGGATAAGAGACATCTCAGGGCTTTTTTAGGGAGCTCTTGAAATGTCTCAGCAACATGACAAAGTATTAACTGCCCAAGCAGCAGTTTATCCACAGTCCCTCTCTATAAGGTGAGCTCCATTTCCTCTGCAATGCTTCAGCCTAACCAGCAAAATTGTTTACTTCCTAAACATTTTTCCAACCTCCAAAACAGCTCACAGGTGCAGACACTCTGGCCTCGAGGAATCTTCTAGTGCTGAAGGTGCCATGTCTAGGTTTTCTGAATCATAGATCATGGCAGAATATTCGTGATTGGTACTTGTTGAGGACATCCACTTGCCATGTTTCCAGGACTCCAGACATAACTGTGGCCAGTTCCTGTAGGAGTCAAAGCATGAAAGTAACTCAGGAAACACCCAGTCAGTGGGGATGGAGTTGGGAATTGCATCCGGTGCTGTCATGGATTGGAGAGCCTTGTCTGGGGCCAGGTAAGCCATAGTTAGGATTTCTGGTGGGTAAGAGAGAACACCAGGCAGTAAGCACCATCCTCCTATTCAGCGGATTTCTCTTTTAAATTTTTTTAAAGTTTTATTTTATTTTTAATTGACAAATAATACTTGTATGTACAACTCATAGAATTAGAGAGTAGAATGGTATTTACTAGAGGCTATGGGGAGGGGATGGGGAATGGAGACATTTTGATCAGTGGCTTTCTTGATGTTCTGACACCTCGTGGGGACACGGAGCTGAGACTTTTCCAGGGGGCATCTGCTCCACTGCTATCACCCAAGTAAGTCTGTTAATGCCCCAGAAGCTGTGAGAATAATAATAACGATAATAATAAAGTAGCTACCATTTTTAGTATCACTCCAGGGATTCTTGTTGTTTGTTTGAAATATGGCAATCTAGTGAAACCTATGGATCCCTTCTCAGAATAATGTTTCTTAATGCGTAAAGTATAATACATAGGATTGCAAAGGAAGCCAAGTATATTGAAATACAGTTATCAAAGTATTTAAAAAATTCCAATATTATAATAGATATATGCTCCTTTATTACTACATTAAATAACAAGAGTTAGTGGTGAGTCTAACACACATTATAATTTGAAGTAGTGGTGGTGTAAATAATATTTCAGTACAGCAACTTTAATGTGATATGAAAATATCTGTAATTCCTATTGGTAAGAAACTCACAAGTACTGCTAATACCACCGTGGTTTGTTACTTTCACTTATAATTGAAGGAAATATTAAATTTCAGTTACAAATGAATGAAAAATATCTGTTTGTGGCTCTCTTGACCAGTTTAGGAACTCCTGTTTGTGTCAGGCATTGTGCTATTCTCTGAACGTACATTATTCCTAGCCTTACAGTCCAGCAATGTCGGAGTTCTTATTCCCATTTTACAGATAAGTGCACTGAGGTTTGGAGTCAGACTAACTCAGCCATGGTCACATAGCAGTGGAGCTTGCTGTCCAGGCCAGGGCTTTGTGATGGCAGAGCTCAGGTTTTCCCTCCCACACCTTGCATGCCTTGAACTCCTGAGCCACATTTCCCCCTGAGAGACATTGGCATAAGAGATGCCCAGGGACTTTTAAAGGAACGTAGTAAAGGCACTCTTTCCTAGACTTTCCATATTTCTCCAAAGAGAAAGCAAGCTCCTTTCTTCTTCTGAAAGCCTGTCCTGTGGAAGTATCAAGCAGCTTTTCTCTTGGATCTCCAGGGCCACATTTTGGGAATTCCCTTGAGTCTCCCAGCCAATGTTAGGTGGTCCTATTCCATTGGTGTGCCAGAGCTGACATGTAAAGGCTTGCAAGAGCCAATTGTGTACATCTCTTCTCACATTGGTAGCTTGAAATCAACCATGGTAGAACTATTTACATCATGGAATTCCTAAACACTACTAATGAAAGCGTTTTTATTTTAAAAGCCAGTTGTTTAACATTTACTCTTGAACATGCTTCTTTGTCCCTCATGTGTTCCCAGTCCTCACTCCTCCAAAGGAAAGGGTTTGAGCAACCAACCACCACACAGTTGGAAGAACTAGCTTGCCTTGGTAACATAAAGTCTTGGCTTACTTGCTTGCTGTCTTCCTCCTTCCTGGGTACTGAAGCTGTTTTAAAATGTAGGTTTTATTATTATTCAGGTACAGTGAGGCCAACAGATCAGGAGATGGACAATTCCATTGAAAAGACAGTTTGTTACTCACAGATCCTCCCAAGAGGAGGGGCTATACCACATCATGGGGGCCCACACGGGGAAGCACTAGGGTGGGTCAGGAGACAGGAGAGGGTACAACTGTGGACAAGAGTCTTACTTGTGGTTTTCATGGGAAGGAACAGGCAAGGCAGGGTAATCAGGCTTTGGATTGGCTAGTTTCAGGAATTTCAGTGGGCTCTGGGGCATCCCAGGGCCAAGTACCAGACAACTAAGGACATCTATGCCTTAGTTGTCTGGTACTTGGCCCTGGGATGATTAGGGCAGGTGGATGGTGACCTGGAGTGTGAGAGCTGCATAAAGGAAGTGGTTGGGATGTGGACTCTGGATTGGTTGGTTCGCATATGAAAGGAGCTCTCCCAGGTGAGTTGTTTGCTATCTCTAGGAATTACCTAGCCCTGGGAGGTGCAGCTCCTCTAGGGTGAACAAGGCCCCAAGATGTCAAAGCATCAAAAATACAGAATTAATGCAAAAGCCAACACTGTCCTCAGAGTGGATGGCAGCAGCATTAGATTGGAGTGATTTCCCAATAAGTGGTGTGAGAGGCTCCCCTCTTCATTTAGCTCCAATGGCGAGAATGTTTTACATTGCACATATTGGCAGCTCCGTTGTCCTCATAAAAAGAAGCATGATAGAAAGTAAAAGCTGAGACTTAATGGCCAATTTAAGCTTGAGATAACTCTGCTATGGTAGATCTAAAGAGGCTCCCAGGTTACCTACGTAGCACCAGTCTCAACCTTATGTGCACTAATTCAAACTTCAGGGGACACACATTTTGCATTTCTACAAACTAAGCGAGTATTAGGAAAAATAAACACTCACCAGTTCTTTTTATGCTATCACATTCTATGTTGCACATAAGAAAAAAATATGCTTTCTAGAGAGTTGTAAACATTCTGCACACAACATCCATTATGTTATAGCTGGCAATGGGGTCCAAATGGAATAATCTGCAGACTAAACCCTTTCTTTATCCCCAGAGCTGAGGCTGAGGTCAGTAGGACAGTGTGGGTGAAACAGCTTCTGAGGTGCCCTCCGACTCTGAAATGTGCTGACCTGGAGTTTTGCCAGTTGGCCCAGGTTGGATAATAGACTGTTAGATGGCCTACATCTAAGGGATGATAAAATAGCAGCCCAGACCTTGATCCCTGCTCCTGCCAGGTTCTAAAGCATCAGCTCTGGGTGGTGGGGGTGGGGTTCCGGATGGACTGCTTTTCAATTTTCCCAAGCCCCAGAAAAGCAGTCGGCTGTTACAGACCAGGATTGCTTTAGCCTGAAGGAGAGGAGAAATGCAACTTACTGCCTTTCCGATCGTAGGTTTGTGCTGGGTTGTATTGAGCAAAAACATGGCAGCGTTTTGGATTCTGAACATCAGTGGCAATTTGAAGGCTGTAGAGCTTTCTATAGGGCTGAGAGGATCCTGGCCACTGACAGCCTTCCTGTTGAGCAGACACATGGCTGGCTAAAGACTTTGGTGGATTCCAGTGGTGATCATGGCATGCAAGCCTTCCTCCCCTAGCTGGGACTAATATATCACAGGGCACAACTTGGCTTCTAAGAATCAGCATATTAGGCAGCAAAACGTGATTTCACTGCAGGAACTAAACGGAGATGGTCCTGAAGCATGTGTTTCCCCAGCACCTAGTGTGACATCTGTCTGCATGTAGTAGGTGCTCAGTAAATGGTAGTTGAGTGAATGAACAGATGCTCATTTTATGTATCCTACAAGGAAAAGACAACAATTCCTCCTGTTGTTTCTTTTAATAATGAGAGTTGGCCAGAAATGGAATGGAGTGATTTTTAAGATTTAACATTACAACCTCAAAGTATACAAGCTGTAGCTAGATAGTAAAAATAACAGTAGCTATTGGTCACTCATTGCTGTATAACAAATAACTCTAAAATTCAGTGGCAAGTATCTATTGTCATGTTTTCAGTTTTGCAGATCAGCCATGGTGACGCTGCTTCAAGCTGCAGGTCTGTGCATTGATTAGCTAATGTACGCTGGGCTTGGTTCTCATCTTCAGGTTTGGTTCCAGTCTGTTCCACGTGGCTTTCTTGCTTCTGGGACAGTGGGCTCTCCAGGGCATGTTCTTCTTATGGCAATGGCAGAAGCACAGGAGGACAAGCCCCACAGAACAAGCACATTTTAAGCTTCAGCCCACATCGTATTTGCCAGCATCCCATCAGACAGAGCAAGTTATATGGCCAAGCCCAAAAGCAATAAGTAGTAAAATATACTTTGCCTTCAGTGGGAACAGGAGGGAAATTAGTTATCACTGAACAATAATAAGCAACAACAATAATAAATGAGCAATAAACAAACTACCTACCATTTATTGGATGTTACTGTGTGCCAGGCACTGTTCTAAGCATTTTCCATGCTTAGAACATTTTCTATATTCATTTTCCAATAAACTTATCTAACCACCATAGCAACCTAACGGGGTAGGTGCTGCTATGGTTAAGCTCCATTTTACAGGTAAGAAAACTGAGGCACAGAATGACTGATGAACTTGTTGCAGGGCACACACCCAAGAGGCAGTGGAACCAGGATTCACACCCAGTTAGTCCAGCCCCAATGCCTACTCTCTTAGCCACTCTACGCTCCTGCTCCAGAAAGCAAGAAGCATGCTAAACAACTTTGGGGCACTTTGAAGTTTGCAAAATGCTATCACAAATGTCTCATTTAATATTTCATGGAAGCCAGGATAGGCTATTTCCATTTACTAAGCACGAGGACACTGAGGCCCAGAGAGGTTAAGGAACTTGCCCAAGTCACACAACTGGGAAGTGACTGAGCCAACATGGAGTCCCGGGCCTTGCTTCTAGCAGGAATTCCACTCTTGTGAATGAGGAGCAACTCAGCAGTTATCCAGGGTTTTTTTCTGCCTTTGGGCCTTGGGAGGCTTCTAATTTAGGGCGCCCACCCTCCAACGCAGCCTTTTACTTGACTTATTTATGTATTTTCTGGCTGGAGGATTTGTGCCCTTGTTCCTTGGCATGGGATTGATGTCATGGCAAGATAGCTGTGCTCTAGTTCTCACGGTCTCCAAGGCCTTAGTTTCTCATGACATGGCATGTCCCTGAGTGTCCCCTTCTCTCCCTGATGTACCCGCCCTTGCTTTCTTCCTCTACTGAATGCTGGGACAGCCTTGGCTGTCCTATGTGTCTGGTTACAGGCTCAGAAGGGCAAGACCAGCTCAGAGGCTGTAATTTTAGTCCTGGATGAAAGGCAAGGGGAAGCAAAGGGGACTCTTTAACAGGTGTACCCAAGCCACAAGGCTGTATCTCCTGAACTCTGGTAGAAAGCAGACACTTAGGGAAGAGTCTCAATGTGAGCAATATTTTCAGGATCCAAAGCCCCCAGTGTGGGGAGTGCCAGGGAGTCAGGAGTTCCCAACACCAAAATAAAAAGTGCAGATTGACAGCTCTGAACAAAACCTTGTGCTTGCTGCTCTCTGCAGTGTGGTGGGGCACAGGGGGTGGAGGTTTATGCCAATATATGCTCCCATTCTTGCAACCAATTTGAACAAGTCTCGAAACCAGCAAAAATCCTATTAATGTGTTTCTCCTCACCTGTATCCTGCCGGCATCCCACCTGCCTGCCTTTTCCTCCCACCTCGCCGCCTCGCTTCTGGCAGAATCTGATGGCTACACAACTGTCATTCAGGAGTTTCCGCTACGGGTAGAGATTCCCATACATAAGGCACCAATGAGCCAGAAAGGACAAGCAGAGAATGTTACATTTTATTTGGCCCACTGCCCAACATTTCTTACCTCATTGCCTGAATTCTGTCATACTAGAGTCAGGGCTTATCTTCAAGACACTGGAAATTTCCAGATGCTTACAGCTCCCTTTCCCCCATTCTGAGCCCTCCAGTCAGGGTGACGTTTGGGCTTGAGGGCTGAAGGACCTGCATTTTTTGGTGCGGGAAGGGATGGGAGATGTCCTGCAGCTACAGGCAGGAGAGGCCTCCTGTGGGGTTACAGGGGTGATGTAGGTATGCAATCACCACATCCAGAAACTTGACCTAGACCTGGAAACTAGAGCCAGCATTTCTAACTTTTTCTATGCCATGGACCCCTGGGCAGGCTGGTGAAATCTGGACTCTTCTCGGACTGAGGTTTGAAAATATGTAGAATTACAAAGGACCTACAGTTACTATGTAAATACAGTTATGCAAATATGAATTTGTGATATAGTAAAATATGTGCTTCTTATTAACCCACGAATTATCAAGATCTAGTTGAAGTGTTAAAGTTGTACTATTTCCAGATATCTGAAACAACTCTTTCTGTGATGTGAAAATATCTATGTATTCTTTTTTTCTTTCTTTCTTTTTTTAAATTATAATTTAAGTTCTGGGATACATGTGTAGAACGTGCAGTTTTGTTACATAAGTATACATGTGCCATGGTGGTTTGCTGCACCCATCAACCCGTCATCTACATTAGGTATTTCTGCTAATGCTATCCCTCCCCTAGCCCCACACCCCTCGACAGGCCCTGGTGTGTGATGTTCCCCTCCCTGTGTTCATGTGTTCTCATTGTTCAACTCCTACTTATGAGTGAGAACATGTGGTGTTTGGTTTTCTGTTCCTGTGTTAGTTTGCTGAGAATGATGGTTTCCAGCTTCATCCATGTCCCTGCAAAGGACATGAATTCATCCTTTTTTATGGCTGCATAGTATTCTACGGTGTATATGTGCCATATTTTCTTTATCCAGTCTATCACTGATGGGCATTTGGGTTGGTTCCAAGTCTTTGCTATTGTGAACAGTGTGGCTATAAATGTACATGTGCATGTGTCTTTACAATAGAATGATTTATAGTCCTTTGGGTATATACCCAGTAATGGGATGGCTGGGTCAAATGATATTTCTGGTTCTAGATCCTTAAGGAATCGCCACACTGACTTCCACAATGGTTGAACTAATTTACACTCCCACCAACAGTGTAAAAGTGTTCCTATTTCTCCACATCGTCTCCAGCACCTGTTGTTTCCTGACTTTTTGTTTTTCTTTGTTGTTGTTGTTGTTGTTGTTGTTTGAGATGGAGTCTCGCTCTGTCACCCAGGCTGGAGTGCAATGGCACTATCTCAGCTCACTGAAAGCTCAGCCTCCTGGGTTCACGCCATTCTCCTGCCTCAGCCTCCCCAGCAGCTGGGACTACAGGCACACACCGCCACGCCCAGCTAATTTTTTGTATTTTTAGTAGAGACAGGGTTTCACTGTGTTAGCCAGGATTGTCTCCATCTCCTGACCTTGTGATCTGCCCACCTCGGCCTCCCAAAGTGCTGGGATTACAGGCATGAGCCACAGCGCCCGGCTCTGTTGTTTCCTAACTTTTTAATGATTGCCATTCTAACTGACGTGAGATGGTATCTCATTGTGGTTTTGATTTGCATTTCTCTAATAACCAGTGACGATGAGCTTTTTTTAATATGTTTGTTGGCCGTATAAATGTCTTCTTTTGAGAAGTGTCTGTACATATACTTCACCCACTTTTTGATGGAGTTGTTTTTTTCTTGTAAATTTGTTTAAGTTCTTTGTAGATTCTAGATATTAGCCCTTTGTCAGATCAATAGATTACAAAAATGTTCTCTCATTCTGTAGGTTGCCTGTTCACTCTGATGATAGTTTCTTTTGCTGTGCAGAAGCTCTTTAGTTTAATTAGATGCCATTTGTCAATTTTGGCTTTTGTTGCCATTGCTTTTGGTGTTTTAGTCATAAAGTCTTTGCCCATGCCTATGTCCTGAATGGTATTGCCTAGGTTTTCTTCTAGGGTTTTTATGGTTTTAGGTCTTATGTTTAATTCTTTAATCCATCTTGAGTTAATTTTTGTATAAGGTGTAAGAAAGGGGTTCAGTTTCAGTTTTCTGCATATGGCTAGCCAGTTTTCCCAACACCAATTACTAAATAGAGAATCCTTTCCCCATTGCTGGTTTTTGTCAGGTTTGTCAAAGATCAGATAGTTGTAAATGTGTGGTATTATTTCTGAGGCCTCTGTTCTGTTCCATTGGTTTATATATCTGTTTTGGTACCAGTAGCATGCTGTTTTGATTACCGTAGCCTTGTAGTATAGTTTGAAGTCAGGTAGCATGATGCCTCCAGCTTTGTTCTTTTTCTTAGGATTGTCTTGACTATACGGGCTCTTTTTTGGTTCCATATGAAATTTAAAGTAGTTTTTTTCTAATTCTGTGAAGAAAGACAATGGTACCTTGATGGGGATAGCATTGAATCTATAAATTACTTTGGGCAGTATGGCCATTTTCATGATATTGATTCTTCCTATCCATGAGCATGGAATGTTTTTCCATTTGTTTGTGTCCTCTCTTATTTCCTTGAGCAGTGGCTTGTAGTTCTCCTTGAAGAGGTCCTTCACATCCCTTGTAAGTTGTATTCCTAGGTATTTTATTCTCTTTGTAGCAATGGTGAATGGGAGTTCACTCATGATTTGGCTCTCAGTTTGTCTATGATTGGTGTATAGGAATGCTTGTGATTTTTGCACATTGATTTTGTATCCTGAGACTTTGCTGAAGTTGCTTATCTACTTAAGGAGATTTTGGGTTAAGATGATGGGATTTTCTAAATATACAATCATGTCATCTGCAAACAGAGACAATTTGACTTCCTCTCTTTCTATTTGAATATCCTTTATTGCTTTCTTGTGCCTGATTGCCCTGGCCAGAACTTCCAATACTGTGTTGAATAGGAGTGGTGAGAGAGGGCATCCTTGTCTTGGGCCGCTTTTCAAAGGGAATGCTTCCAGCTTTTGCCCATTCAGTATGATGTTGGCTGTGGGTTTGTCATAAATAGCTCTTATTATTTTGAGATACGTTCCGTCAACATTATTGAGAGTTTTTAGCATGAAGGGGTGTTGAATTTTATTGAAGGCCTTGTCTGCATCTATTGAGATAATCATGTGGTTTTTGTCATTGGTTCTGTTTTTGTGATGGATTACGTTTATTGATTTGCGTATGTTGAACCAGCCTTGCATCCCAGGGATGAAGCTAACTTGATCGTGGTGGATAAGCTTTTTGATGTGCTGCTGGATTCGGTTTGCCAGTATTTTATTGAGGATTTTTGCATCGATGTTCATCAGGGATATTGGCCTGAAATTTTCTTTTTTTGTTGTGTCTTTGCCAGGCTTTGGTATCAGGATGATGTTGGCCTCATAAAATGAGTTAGGAAGGAGTCTCTATTTTTCTATTGTTTGGAATAGTTTCAGAAGGAATGGTACCAGCTCCTCCTTGTATCTCTGGTTGAATTCGGCTGTGAATCCACCTGGTCCTGGGCTTTTTTTTTTTTTTTTTTGGTTGGTAGGCTATTAATTACTGCCTCAATTTCAGAACTTGTTATTGTTCTATTCAGGGATTCGACTTCTTCCTGGTTTAGTCTTGGGAGGGTGTATGTGTCCAGGAATTTATCCATTTCTTCTAGATTTTTCTAGTTTATTTGCATAGAAGTGTTTGTAGTATTCTTTGATGGTAGTTTGTATTTTTGTGGGATCAGTGGTGATATCCCCTTTATCATTTTTTATTGTGTCTATTTGATTCTTTTCTCTTTTCTTCTTTATTAGTCTGGCTTACAGTCTATCTATTTTGTTGATCTTTTTAAAAAAACAGCTCTTGGATTCATTGATTTTTTTGAAAGGGTTTTCATGTCTCTATCTCCTTCAGTTCTGCTCTGATCTTAATTATTTCTTGTCGTCTGCTAGCTTTTGAATTTGATTGCTCTTGCTTCTGTAGTTCCTTTAATTGTGATGTTAGGGTGTTGATTTTAGATCTTTCCTCCTTTCTCCTGTGCACATTTAGTGCTATAAGTTTCCCTCTAAACACTGCTTTAGCTGTGTGCCACAGATTCTGGTACATTGTGTCTTTGTTCTCATTAGTTTCAAAGAACATCTTTATTTCTGCCTTAATTTCGTTATTTACCTGTTAGTCATTCAGGAGCAGGTTGTTCAGTTTCTATGTAGTTGTGCAGTTTTGAGTGACTTTCTTCATCCTGAGTTCTAATTTGATTGCACTGTGGTCTGAGTGACTCTTTGTTATGATTTCCATTCTTTTGCATTTGCTGAGGAGTGTTTTACTTCCAATTATGTGGTCAATTTTAGAATAAGTGAAATGTGTTGCTGAGAAGAATTTATATTCTGTTGATTTAGGGTGGAGAGTTCTGTAGATATCTATGAGGTCTACTTGGTCCAGAGCTGAGCTCAAGTCCTGAATATCCTTGTTAATTTTCTGTCTCGTTGATCTGTCTAATATTGACAGTGGGGTGTTAAAGTCTCCCACTATTATTGTGTGGGAGTCTAAGTCTCTTTGTAGGTCTTTCTATTGGTGATGGAGTAACAGGTTCTGCTCATACCATTGTGGTTTGTTGCCTATGATCATAACTAAAAGGAATGCTACATTTCAGTTAGAGATGACAAAAAATAAAATTTTAAATTTCTCTCCAAGTTTCTGGACCTCCTAAATTCTAGCTTAAGTTCCCCTGATATAGGATCAAGCTACATGGTGACTTGTAAGTTCTTGGAGGGCAGATATTATGTTCCAACCACTTACATAGTTGAATTCTGTTTTTTGTTGTGGAAAATGTCAAATATATAATAAATGGAACAATATGATGAACCTTTCCTAGGCACCTATGAACCAGCTTCAACTATTACCAACTCACAGCCAATATTGTTTCACCTATACCTTTACCCACTTCCCTTCCTGTATTATTTTGAAGTCAGTCTTAGACACTGGATCGTTTCATCCCATACTTTGACTTATACATAGTAGGTGGGCCATTACGTATTTGTGGATTGCTGATGGCTTAATTTAGAAAGGCCATTTCAGGTGCTTGCTTCCAGTGATCATGGGTCAGTGTCCCAGAAGTGTGGACTGGGGTCAGAGAATCCCCTCCCTGTCCTCAGTCATGGTCTATTCCATGCTTCCCAGCACATACCTGATGCTGCATTAGTTATTTATTCATTTCCACATCTATTTTCAGTCTTTTTCCACTGCAGTGTAAATTTCATGAAGGAAAAGACTTTGTCTGCTTGTCCACTGCATCGCCAGTCCCCCAGCACAGTGCCTGGCATATAGTAGGTGCTTAGTAAACTCAGTACATTTCGAATGAGTGGATGGCTAGGCCCCCTGAATTGAAAGTGAATGAGGAAAGGGAAGTTATGGAGATGTATGCTATTTCTACTCAAAAGTAGGGTCCCTGTACCACAGCATCAGTATCTTCTGGAAGCTTATTAGAAATGCAGAATCTCAGGCCCCACGCCAGATCTACTGAGTCAGAATCTGCATTTAAACAAGATTTTTAGGTGATTCTGTAGTTACATAACAGTTTCAGGAGCCCTGCTTTGCCACCTTAACCTGCAAGGGAGAGAATGACAACCAGGAAGAGCTTTCCGCTGACTTCCAAGATATTACCAACCAGGAGGGCAGGGCAGGGCAAAGGAATGCACTCATTTGTGAGTTAGGGATCCTAGTTTTGAAGTTTGGTTCTCTGGGCCTCAGTTTCCTCATCTGAAAGGTGGGTGAATAAGACATTGCTGCAAGGGTTATGGGAAGATTAAATGAGGCAATGGCTCTGGTGTGAAGTACAGAGCAGGTCCTGGATGACTTTTTTTTTTTTTTTTTTTTTTGACAGAATTTCACTCTATCACCCAGGCTGTAGTGCAGTGGTGCAATCTCAGCTCACTGCAGCCTCTGCCTCTTGGGTTCAAGCGATTCTCCAGCCTCAGTCTCCCCAGTAGTTGGGATTACAGGTGCATGCCACCACACTCAGCTAATGTTTGTATTTTTGGTAGAGACGGTGTTTTACCATGTTGGCCAGGCTAGTTTCAAATTCCTGAGATCAAGTGATCCATCTGCCTTGGCCTCCCAAAGTGCTGGGATTACAGGAATGAGCCACTGTGCCCAGCCCTGTATGACTCTTGAACTAATTCCACATGGCTGTCTTTCCAAAATATGAAGGAATGACATTTGTTCATTTTTCAAATGCCATTTGATATTTTTGACTTCTGACTCCAAACTTGTTCTGGGAATCCTCCCCCTTCTGTTTAATCATAACTGTGGAGAGTGCTTGGAAAAAGTGTGAAGTGTGAGGCTCACCTTTGGTGCTCCCAGCCATTAACTTCTGTACCCTTTCTCCTTTTCTGGGATATCCTTCTCCCTATGGGGCATCACAGACCCTCTTCCATAAGATCCTGCTCCCAGGCAAAACAGCCAAGATCACAGTCACATAGCATTTCATTCCCTGAGAACTGGGGGTCCTTGATGGTAGAATAAAATTGTTTTCCTTGATGTAGGTATCAGAGGGCTAGTGGGGGAATTTTTTAAAAACCCAAAACATTTTGCATGTGCATGCCATTGAGGAAGGGACTTCCCAGCCATTGAAATATTATAACATCCCATGGATAAGTGCTTGCTTTGGCCTTGGGTGTTAAGAGTTCTGATGGTCACAATCACTTCTTTGTGTTGGAGCCATGGACCAACAAGGTTGGGTCAGTTCAGCTCGAGAACAGTTGGACAGATTGAGGCACTTCTTACTTCTAAACTCACATTTGGCTGTTCTAATCTGGACGTATTCAAAACAACTGGCTGAGGCAGGGAAGCGGAACTGAAGCTTTTTAATGCTTACAGGGAATATTGATAGCCCAGGTGAATGCTCCTCACCCCTTGCCTCCAAATACTCCCCAGCCTTGCCTCACACATCCATTACATGATACTCTGTGTTTACCCGGGGCTTGTCCCAACAGAACTTAGTAATCCTACTTCTATCTTGGTCTGGCTGTGTATTTACATGGTAAACATTTCTACAAAAGACAGGGAAATATTCACTTCAAAATACCCTATAAAAATTGCCCTTTAGAGATGAGTGGATAGGAAAAAGCAAACATTTCATATTTATAAAATGAATCATTTTTATAAAAATGTTACTCATAGACCAAAAACTTAATAATATTGTTGGTAGCACAGTAATACTTGTATAGGTTTGTTTCGCATTGTAGAGATATATAGATGTATTCTTTCATATACATAATTTCATCTAAGCTTCTCAGAATCCAGTAAGGTAGACACCATTATCTCTAGTTTTAAAAATGAGAAAACAGGGGCTTAGGAAGGTTGTATAAATGTCCAGTATTATGCTCCTAGGCAGCCTGAAGATAAGGATATGAGGCTAGGTCTTCTCAGTCAAAACTAAATGCCTATTGGCATATTTCAGCCAAGGGTACCTTAGAAGCCAGTTGTAAACCCATTGGCACACAGCTGTCTCAAAGTATCTGTACCATTGAGTGTCTAACCAGGAAAATGAAACTACTGCAGATATTTCACACAGAGGGAATTTAATATAAGGAATTGGCTCCACTGGTGATGGAAGAGCTGAGAAGTCACACAGAGAATGGTGAGGTAACCTGGAGTTTAGCAATGGTAGTAACCTGCTACCTCTCTCAAGCTGGAGGGACATAGGGAAGGGGCCAAGCTAACAGAACCTAAGGGCTGGTGGCACTCTGGAAAGGCTGGAACAATGGTGAGCCAGCCTGGAGGGAGTGGAAACCCCAGAGGATACATGGCCATGGTCTCTAAGAGGGAAGGGAGGAAATACCCTACCTCTTCCCTTCCTCCTGCCCTCCAATCTCCTCTGGGTGCCTCCTCTTGGCTGAGCCCAGCCAAGCCCAGCCCAGCCCAGCTAGAAGCCAGTAGACCTGGGATATGCAGCCTGCAGGGGTAAGCAAAGCAGTAGAAGGTGAGGAATGGATCTAGGGGAACAGGCCCAGGGCAGCACAGCATCTTTTATTCCTAGGTATGGGTGAACTCCTGGAACTAGGTTTGTGCCATTGAATTTTCCTCCTCCAAGGACCCCTGATTTAGCCTGTTTCTTTGGTGACACCTACCTCCTAGTTGCCTCCCTGACCCACCTCAAACAGGCTTGACAGCAATCCGTTTTTGACCACTTTCTGGGATAAAAAAGGAAGAGCTCAGAAGTTTGTAAAGGTGAGAGAAAGTGGTTTAGATTTGCCCAGTTATGCATTTGAGACCCAGATAGAAACTCCTGTTGATTTTGGGACACAAAGACCAAAGCTCCAGTCATTCAACAAAGGGCTGTGTCAGTGAATATCTTGGCAAGCAGATGTCAAAAAGAGCACTGCCAAATGTCCTGCCAGGAGAACTGGTTTGGCAACAAGCTGATAGACCCAAAGGACTAGAATACACCACCCGTTCTTCTTCTAGATACTACTTAATCAGCTCTGATTAAAATAATAATTTCAACCTTTGTTATTTTGCAAAACCCTCTCCCAATTTGCTGGATTTTGCAGGACTGTTGTCTTCCTCTATCCACTGCCCTCCCTCCACCCCCAGGATCCCGCTTTCCATAGATATTTCTCTGTTAAAGGTAAGTTTGTTTGCAGGACTTTTTATTGCTGTCGTTCATTCCACAACCTTCTATGTAGATAATTGGAGATATCTGATGCCCTTAAACTAAAATGGGAAAACCCTGGCGGAAGAAAAATTGTGTCTGTGGTTCATAGCAGTTTTGCAAACTTTTATCAATGAAAAAAGAAACTCATGGTTATTTGGGTTCATGATTGCGATGAGATAAAAGGGAAACCCTACACCTCATTCAGGGTTGGGTGCACAATAGGTTCTCATAAAAGAAATGCTCGCTGAATGGATGGGAACATGCAAAATGTACAGTACCCTGTTCATTCCCTTTGACAGGTGCCTTTTTGTTTTAAATACACATGGCAGCATTTGATAGCATGCAACTAATGCCTTGGAGTTTTTCTGGGGACTTAATAAAGCCCAAATAGTAAAAGGTCTTCAAGGTTTTGTTTGGTTTCTTTTAAGGGGTTGCTACCTCTGTCCTCTGTACTGTTGAGTTTATGATGAATTTGAGGCTTATGTGTATGTTGAGTCACTTTATCTGCTTGATCACTTTTATATTCTGTAGCTTTAAATATTTATTATGCAAGCTTTCAGAGAATGACATAACAGTCATGTATCAACCATTCAGTTCTACCAAAGCTAACGTTTCTCCCACGCCTGCTTTCTGTTTAAAGAAATAAAATGTTAGTTAGAATTGAAAGCCCCTGCTTTCCCATCCTAATCTAATTCTGTCCTTTCCCCAGTGTTAACTTTTATTCTAACTTTTGTATTTCCTCACCTCGATATGTTTTAATATTATTACTATGTATGTATATATTCAATAATAGTATTAACATGTTTTTAAATTTTGCAGAGCTCATATAATGTATGTGTCATTCTGTAACTTGCTTTATGATTTAAACATATCGATACACATGGTGTACTGTATTCATCTTTAACTGCCCTGAGGAATGCTATTAAAGGAATACAGTACAATTTATTTATGCATGCTCCTATTGATGGGTATTTAGGTTACTTCCAATTTCTTGCTCCTGCAAACAGTGCTGCCATAAATAATTATGTCAAATGTCCTTATGGCACATGGGGGAAAAGGTCTCTAGGGCAGTGGATCTCAATCTTTTGTACACATCAGAATTGCCTAGGGATCTTTGAAAAGTCCCACTGCCAGGTTGCACCCAGACTAATTAAATCCGAATCACTAAGGTGAAGCCCAGGCACCTGTATTTTTTTAAAACTCCCCAGATGATTCCAATGTGCTGCCAGCATTGACAGCCATTGCTTTAGGTCACATAACTAGAAATGAAGTTTCTGGGCCAAAATGTTTGTTCCTCTTCAGCTTTCTCGATATTACCAAATTATTCTCCAATGTGGTCTTTCCAATGGAAACGCCACCAGCAGGGTATGAGATCTCCTGTGCCTGTGGCATTATCTCCTCACCTAAACTTGATTAATCTTGTCCCTGCAGGGATCTCAAAGGGATGTGTCGAGAGATATCCCTTTGATGGCCTTCCCACACCTGCCTCTATCTGATTTATCCCCTGGTAAAAATTTTGCCTCGCCCAAAAGTCATGGAGTAGGAACCGTTCTCACAAAGTATAACTAAAAACTTGGGGCATCCAACACCACCTGATTTTGCAATTCAGGGTGTTGCAGTCAAGAGGTTGTTGCCATTAATTCTTGTTTGTATAGTCTAACATTCATTTCGTGGCGTGATGTGGTGCTTATCTGTGATATCTAGGTTTGGGGGTAGAAAATGACACAAGCCTTGTTGCTATGATGTTGCTATACCTTCCATTTAGCCACAGGTCCAATATGATAGTGCCCTGAGCATCTGGAAAAACAAGATGCTCAGCCCAAACTCATACTTCCATGATGGTTAGATCAGAGTTATTGCGGAGAAACAACAAAGAGATCCTAGCCTTGACCTTAATCAAGCTATAGCTGTGTCGAAATAAATAATTTCTAGCCATGATGTCCTCTCTCTTTGGACATTGTGGACACTTGAGTGAGGTTTTTTTAAGCTGCTCACATGCTGAAAGCTTATGTTAAACCCTCTCCCTGTGTTGATGCAGATTTAGAAAATTTCATGGATAAAAATTGATGGGGTTACAATTGTTACCCACTTTGAATTTAACAACCTTAAACATAATACAGTAAACTTCCCTCATAGTATGCAAGTAAAATGCCATGCCATGAAGTTGATGAAAAATTGGGCAAGTCTTCATAGCTACCTGGCCAGGAGTTCCAGAAGTCTGACTGTGTGATCAAAATCTGTTCTAGCACTGGCTGCAGTTTCTGGTGGCAGTGGACCTCTCTGGCTTAAATATTCATGGGGATGATTCTGGGTCCTATGGTTGGCTAGGATACTCCAGGAATCTCCTGGAGAGTTGGCACTCTTTCATTGGCCTATTTGGGGAGATTGGGTCAGAAGAATACTGGGGACTCAGGGACTTACTGTCTTCCTCCCTGCATCACTTGCTGACACAGGGTTGCCTGCCATTTCCCAGTCCAGCCTCACCTTCCCCTACACAATTCTATCCACTTTCCCCTAAATAGAAGTTTATTTTGCCCCTTTTTGAAAGCACAACCCACCACTAACTGCATTAAATCCAGAATCTTGCTATCATGGGTGACTTATTGCAGGGTTTTACTCTTGAACTTATCTTTGCTTCCAACTCTGTGTCTTGGATTGGGTTCCCGAGAGACAGCACCCGACACAGGGATTCTAGTGCATGTGATTTATTGGGAGAGAGTTCTCGGGGGAAACCTGTAAGAGTATGAAGGAAGCTGAATGGGGCACAGGACACTGCTGAGCTGGAATGTGGTCTCATATGGAGCCTAGCTTTGCTTTTATCTGCAGGGAGAGAGCTTTTGTCATGGGAAAGGAGTGACTTACCTTCCAGGCAAGGTGGCTCTCATCGGCCAAGGAGAACTCTCCTGAGAAGTGAGTAGTTGTGAGACACTAGCAGCCACCACTCACAGTATCTGGAGAATAGCTACACAGGCTTGGTAAAGGGGATCCGGGTGGGGCACCCTGTCCTGGGTGCAGGGCTCTGAAAGGAGATGAACTTTCAGCTCTCACACATTGCCATGCAGGGCTCTGAAAGGAGATGGGCTTCATGTGGATAGTCAAATAACAAGCATGACATCCATGGGTATGGAGTGCTATAAAATGACTATGTTTAATAATGCGTCTTTCTTCTGGCTACAGGTCTGAGTATATTTTGCTGTTTTAATCTTAATCCTGGAATTGAGTCTGGGACTTCCTCCGTGCCTGTAAACCACTTTGATGTTATGTTGAGAAGCATTCTGAGGCACATGTGTGAACTGATAACCAGGATAAGTGGCATGATGAAATTAATCCCCTAGTAGATGGGAAAGGAAGGCCAGTGCCTTTCCCAGTCTGGGCTTCTAGAGATGATTCACAAGCTGGGGCTTTAAGGCATGGAGAACAAACAGTAGACACAAGAGTGTTGGATGCAATTACTTCCTTAAGCCATAAAGCTGGAGAACCCAGATGATTGAAGTGAATGTTTGTTAGGCTGAGGTCAGGTTTGATTTTGCTGGGAGCCTTCCTTGATTCTGATTGTGTCTTATCATTTGTTTGTCTTCTGAAGGTTGTGGAGGAGGAGGGAAGGGTTCATAGAAATGCCCTGGCTGTGATCCCATTGTTGCTGGTTGTAATGTCTGGCCACGTTTCCTCCTGCGGTGTCTGATTGGAACTTCCACTCTGATCAAGCAGCAGGAGCAATAAATAGCTAGGTCTGTGCCTCCTTTTCTATGTGAAGCTAGGGAAAGGACTTTATGAGCTTTAAGCGGTAACTTGATGGAAGACTTTACGCCTCTGCACATACTGTCAGATGCTCCCTCAGAAGAGAATGACAAGGGTTCAAGGTAGCATGGAGTAGGGACAAGTGTGTGTGGCTTTTGCGTTAGGCAGACTGGGGTTTGAATCTTGATTCCAGTGCTTATCAGCTGTGCGAACTTTCTTAGTTGAGTCCCTTACCTGCTCCCAGACTCAATTGTTTCACCTGAAAGTGGGGATAATAGTACCTGTTTTAAAGGGTTATTTGAGAGATTAAGTGAAATAGTGTTGTGTAAATTGCCTGTCATTGTAAATACTCAATAAGTGACATCTATTATTAGAGCTTTCTTTAAAAGTTGTGCTGCATTTCTGATTTATGGGGAGGTCAGAATAGACCAGAGCTAATAGCCCTTCTTGAGGAGATCAAGAAAGGGATCAGGCCAGGCAGGGTGGCTCACAGCTGTAATCCTAGCACTTTAGGAGATTGAGGAGGGAGGATTCCCTGAGCCCAGGAGTTTGAGACCAGCCTGGACAACATGGCAAAACCCTGTCTCTAGAAAAAAAATCAGCCATGTGTGGTGGTGCATGCCTGTGGGCCCAGGCTGAGATGGGAGGATCACTTGAGCATGGGAGGTTGAGGCTGCAGTGAGCCGTCATTGTACCACTGCACTCTAGCCTGGGTGACAGAGCAAGACCCTATCTCAAGAAAAAAAAAAAGTGGGGGGATTAGGATATTTAGAAGGACTTACTTCCTTGAGACCATAGCCAAGGTGGAAATAAGAGAAGGTCAAGGTGTGTGGGTGGGGCCCGCACAGTGGCTCACACCTGTAGTCCCAACACTTTGGGAGGCAGAGGCAGGAGGATTGCTTGAGCCCAGGAGTTTGAGACCAGCCTGAGCAACATGGGGGAAACCCCATCTCTATAAAAATTAGCCAGGCATAGTGGTGGGCGCCTATATTCTCAACTATTCAGGAGGCTGAAATGGGAGGAATGCTTGAGTCTGGGAGGTCAAGGCTGCAGTGAGCCATGATTACACCAACTGCACTCCAGCCTGGGCAACAGAGCGAGACCCTGTCTCAAAAACAAACAAACAAACAAAAAGATGTGTGGGCTGGGTAACAACAAGTCTTGAATGTTCCAGGACGGTGATGATTTCAGATATTCCCTTTCAGCGAGAAACCAAGTATATAGATTTGGGGTTCATAGAAAACATGATCACTATCCTTGTGAGAAAATGCAGCTCTAGGCCAACTTGCTTGGGAATATTAAGAGTCTTTGGCACATCTTCAAAGAAAAGTTTCCCCATGGGGTTACTTCTGACGTTTATGCTTCCAGTTTCAATTGTTTGGTGGAGAGTCCATTGAACTCAGTTAATTCTTTTTATTTACCTCAATGTTCGATATGACAGGCCAACATTTTAAGTGCTATTCTAAATTGTAGCTTGTGTACACTCGGGAAAAAAGGGCCTATTTGTCTCCTCGGGTCTCCTCCATTTTTTTCTTCCTGCATTGGTTAATGTTCCCTTCTCCTTGTTGAATATTTGGAAGTTTCCTTCCAAAGCTTGGGAGGGGCTAGTTTCACAGGAAGGTCACATGAACACGATCTCATGGGCAGTTCATTGACTCTGCCCAGCTTTAATCTCTGCGGTTGGAGCAGGAGAGTGAAGGGCAGTGGACAGACACTGCCCTCTCCCTCTCCATTTATTCTCCTCCTTCCATGCCCCTTTTCTGCCTGGAACCTTCTCCATGCTCTAGTTAACAAATGTGCATTTCAGCATTCAGGCTGAAACTCAACTGCCAGCACAAGGCAAGTAATGCCATTTGACTTAAGAACAATCTGCATTTAAGAAGTCAGGGTTGGCCGGGCGCGGTGGCTCACGCCTGTAATCCCAGCACTTTGGGAGGCCGAGGCGGGCGGATCACGAGGTCAGGAGATCGAGACCATCCTGGCTAACACGGTGAAACCCCGTCTCTACTAAAAATACAAAAAATTAGCCGGGCGTGGTGGCGGGCGCCTGTAGTCCCAGCTACTCGGGAGGCTGAGGCAGGAGAATGGCGTGAACCCGGGAGGCGGAGCTTGCAGTGAGCCGAGATCGCGCCACTGCACTCCAGCCTGGGCGACAGAGCGAGACTCCGTCTCAAAAAAAAAAAAAAAAAAAAAAGAAGTCAGGGTTTTCTAGTCTGCCCGATGCTTCTGCTTTAGAACAAATTAAAGAGGGGGACCTCAGCCCATCTTTATATCCCAGCTTTATCCATTTACCTGTCAGAAACACACCCTGTTTTCCTTTGAGTTTCTCTACATCCCACTTTCAACTCTTCCCTCTCTTGTGCCTCCAGTATCCTGAGTCTACAGTTCCCACCTCCATAGCTCCCAATGCACACAGTGAACATCCTCTTTAAAAATGACCTAATCTTTCTAGAACCTTAAGGCTGGCAAAGAAAAAAATATCAATGCATCCCTTGCCTTCCTGGCCCTTATAAATTTTTAAATGACACAACATGTGTTTCTAGAAGGGAAAGTGTTATTTGAATTCTTGGGTTTTGCCCTGGCAATGATGGGCCTATTAACCTCCCATTAACATTGGCTTTTTGATGATGGCCAAACCATTATCCTTTTCATTTCACTTTTTAAAATTACTGCTTGATTACAGTGAAAGTGTTGTATAAAAATGGTAATGTTGGAGTGAGGATGCCCCACTTTAGGACCTCAAGATCTCAGTGACTTTATTTTGCTTAAAGAAACATTGATATGGTACTTACTATGTGTCAGGTCATGTCCTGTGTGCTTTACAGCTACAAACCCACTTAATCCATATCACAATCCTATGTGATATAGACTACTGCTATCTTCATTTTACAGATGAGGAAATAGAGGCCCAGAGAGGTCAGGTAACTTACTCAAGGTCCTGTAAAATGCTGGGGTTTGAACCTACTCATTCTGGCTCCAGAGTCCCAGCTCAGAACCACTAGCACTGTTTTCTCTCTGTTGAGGATTATCTGGGACACCATTTCTTTATTTGTACAATGAAGGAGTTGAAATGTATAACTTCTGAATTCATTCCAGGACTAATATCATGGGGGACAGTGATAATTTCAGGGTGTTTTGTAGGCCATAACACCTGGCTTTTATAATTTTTGTCCTGATCCATGTGTTGAAATAATTATTTTGGGTAAAATATTCTGTGCATAGCTCTTAAGTCCCATGCCCAGCCATTCTGTGATCCCAACATTGAGGAGGAGAAACAACCCTTGAATGAATTGACTTCCCAAAGCACATTCCAAGACCCACCAATGCAGTGCCATGTTTGAAAGAAAGGGTTCCCCAGACAGGAAGTCTGGGAAACACTGCATATCACATCTCACCCTTTTCAGGAATCATAGTACACTGAACATATTGGAGGAACCTAGTTGTTCTGCAATTGGGAAACCAATTCAACTTTGATTATTCAAGTGTTTACCACCCTTGTCTTACCAGGAAATCTACTCTTTGAGCAGCATTTTATTAGCATCCCCTACAACCAGGCTTCTGAAAGACACTAGGGGCACACTGGCTGACACATTTTTATAAGTGGTTTCTACAGCTTTTAATCTGCAGAGATGCGAAAGTTTTACTCTTTTGTGCTGGTACCCATCTGTGTATATATAGCTGTATAAATATTAGGAACAACAGGAGTCTTCTGTAAAAAGATACATATCTACCACCTCTTGAGATTCTCAGCTAACAAGATATGTATACTTCTCCCACAGCCATCCTTATGGTGAAAATATTCACTTAAATACAAACTGTACATGTAAAGATGTGAAATTGACCCTCAAGCTGTCTCTCTCTTCACAGTTCCATGCCAGCTAGAGAATGTGGTCAAACGTTGACTTTCTCTCACCCTCTTCTTACATCATCTTTTCTTCCCATATATTCTTGGGCTTTTTCTGTATTTATTTCCTTTGGCTTTCCATTTCTATTTTCCCCTCCTTCCTCTACCTTTCATAATTCCCAAAGACAAGGATGTTCAGGAGAGAGAGGACTGGCAGCTAACAGAACAATGTCCCTAAACACTGAGGCTGGGTCACCACATGTGGCAACGCAGTGTTTCCATTTGCTGATTTATTATTTTTACAATGCCCACTTGCAAAAAGGGTTTCTTTACTCCACTTGCTAGTTTTCTTTTATGGTGTGTAATTTTGAATTAAAAAATTAAAATACATGTACACTGTTAAAAATAAAACCTAACTCTAAAGAAAGGAATAAAATAAAATGAAATGTGAAAGTCTTCCTCTCCCCTGAGTTCTAGTCTTCTCTCCAAAGATAAACACTGCTAACAGGTTCATGTGTATCATTTCAGAAAGGTTTTATTCAACTACCTATGTGTGTGTGTGTGTGAATATATATGTATATATATATAATGTAAATAAATCTATCTCATACTACACACAATGTTCATTATCTTGCTTTTTAGTTGCCTTAATAACAAACCTTAGACATCTTTCTAGTTCTAAATTAGCTACTCATTTTTTTCATCAGATGCAGAATATTTAAAACTTTATAATATATTGAACCAGTACCCAATGACAGATGTAGGTTTTTCCATTTTCTGCTATCAACATTGCTGCATTGTGTATTCTTTTACATATAATTTGGCTTACTTTTGCAGCTATGTCTGGGAGTAAATTCCATACAGTGGAATTGCCAGTTCAAAGGGTGGTATGTTTTCTAACTGGAGAAAAGTTTGCCAAATTGCCCTCCAATTAGGTTGCACCATTTGTGTTTTTACCCTGTGTGTATGAGAACCTTCTTCCTTCCAACCTGCAACAACCTTAGGTATTACCAAGCTTTTAACTTTTGCTCATCCGAAATAGCTGATACAAGTTATATTTGCTGATTTAAAATGACAACTGTCATTTTGATTGTGATTTACTTTACAGAATACAGATTACGCCTTCTTATTTAATCTGCATAATGAATAGTGACACCGGGATCAGTGTTTTTTTTTTTTTTCCATATGAGGAAGCAGAGGCTCAAAGAGGGAAAGTGACTTGCCCGAGCCAAGCAGTGAGAGAACAGAGAATCAAAATCAGGTTTCCTGACTCAAGATTGATTGATTGACTGATTTTTCTAAATCGCACTGTCTCTCCAGCAGGGGTGAGGGTGAAAATATTGTGTGGATATGTGTGTGTATGAGTGTGTGTGCATGTGCCTGTATATGCATGTGTGTGCTTCTGTAATGGGGAACTGGGGCCTGAGGAGGGAAGATGACTGAATGTAGGATCTTTTCCCTTCTTCTCTCCACTAGTCCCCCTTAATACCCTGAAAAAGAATCACATTTGAGCATCAGGTGCTTTCTTCAACATGATCAGATTTAATTCTCACACCCAGCATCATTCTTCCTCATCTGACTCTCGGCCAAATCCTCACTTTGTGGATCCCACAGAAATAGAACTGAGGAATATGGAAATAAGAGGCCATGTGTGAAATTTAAGTTAGAGCCAAGTCAGAACTTTGTCACCTCACATTTCTAAAGCACTCAGTCCTAGAATCGGCACCCACAGGCTGCTTTTCTTATCTCTTATTCACACACACCCCACTTAAAGTCAGGTGCACTTGGCTGGGTGCGGTGGCTCACGTCTGTAATCCCAGCACTTTGGGAGACCAAGGTGGGCAAATCACCTGAGGTCAGAAGTTCCAGACCAGCCTGACCAACATGGCAAAATCCCGTCTCTACTAAAAAATACAAAAATTAGCCAGGTGTGGTGGTGGGCTCCTGTAATCCCAGCTACTCAGGAGGCTGAGGCAGGGAGAATTGCTTGAACCTGGGAGGTGGAGGTTGCAGTGAGCCGAGATCACACCACTGCACTCCAGCCTGGGCGATAGAGTGAGACTCTGTAATAAATAAATAAATAAATAAATAAATAAATAAATAAATAAGTAAATAAATTCAGGTGCACTTGTCCTGATGGTACTGAGAGACTTCAGGGACTTAGAATCTTTGCCTCTTTCTCCTTGTGACTGTTGGTAATTCCTTGAGAGAGAGGGTAACTACAGAAATGTCTGCCTTTTAAATTCTCAACAAGATAGTGGATTGGCCTCTAGCATCTATTCTCACATCCTTCCAGCATATCTTCCTATAATATGCTAGAGAGGCTGGAAAGCTAGAAATGATGTTTTTCAGACTCCCTTGCAGCTAGGTTCCAGTTGGAAAGTAGATTTTGTTAAGTAGATGTAGCTACTTAATCCACTGGCAGATTTTTCAGGTTCACTGGCTTCTAGGGCATAAATCTGTGACATATCTTCTCCCTGGCCACATTTAAGGCTGGGGAAAAAAACACCAGTCAGATTAGATGACTAATCTTGCTAAAATGGAGTATAGTTTGAAATGTCTACTTTTCAGATTCCTTACTACCTTTTGTAGTTGACAGATTTTTTTCCAGTCTGTATCTGGGTTGTATTACAATCCCATTGGCCAGTCTTATTAGGCTTCTTGCTAAAGCAAACAATCCCTAAGTAGCCAACAAACAAAAACAGGACAAAAGTTTCTACTCTTCCTTTGTAAAAGGTGACATCTTCAGATGCCATATATTATGGGCTTCATAAATGTATACTTAGTTCATGGATCATTAACAATCATGAAATGAGTGGAGAGATAATGTTACTGATGTTTTGACATCTGGGGTATTTCTGTGGTGAGATATTTTCTGTTGTAACTTGGGTGCTCCTGTGAACTTGTCTGTCACACCTTTCCCGCCCTTCACTTGTGCTGGAGTTTTGCTTTGAGATGGAAAAACACAAATACCTAAAAAAACATACCTCACCCCACTGTAATGAAGATCAAAGTGAAAAAATGAAGAATGGCAAGACATCCCAGGTGTGTTTTTAAATTCCCAGAAAATTTTGCCTCTGGGGATTCTCCGTGCTTCTTGCCAGAAAAGGTTTTCCCTTTTAGAACGTAAGGCACTGTTGCTTATTTTTCAGTTACAGATGGGGATTTTTAGTAAAGACCTGGCCCCCTCTCACCATTGTTTACCCGAGGTGTCTGATCACTTTCTTTATTGGCATATTGCCCAAGACATAGACAAAACTGCTAAAGGGTTTTGGATGCATTAGCTGAGCAAAAGGTGTGTGTTCCTCTGTCTCTAGAGCACAAATTTGATTAGCCCTTTTTATTAGGAGTCAAGAATGACATTCAGTCTTAACCTAGCTCATCTCTCACACTGTGGCTTTGGTGTTTCACCTTCTTTCTCTGAAAGATGGGGGCAAGCATGATAAAGGACAGCATTTCTTGGGTGTTTACTCTGCCAGGCATAGTGCTAAAGTGTTTTGCATATACTATCTCATTTAATCCTCATAGTAAGCCTGAGGTTGTTATTGTTATTATTATTATTTTGGAATTGTATATTTTTTCATTGAGGCGAAATTTGCATAACAAAATTAACCATTCTGGAAGTGAACAATTCAGTGGCATCTAGTACATTCACAATGGTACAACCATTGTGATGAACTATGGTACAACCATCACCTCTAGTTCTAAAACATTGTCATCACCCCAAAAGGAAATCCCATATCTGGTAAACAGCCACCCCACCATTCCCATTTCCCCCAGCCCCCTCCCACCACCAATCTACTTTCTGTCTCTATGGATTTGCCTATTCTGGACATTTCATATAACTGGAATCATACAATATTCATTCTTTTGTGACCAGCTTCTTTCAGTTAGCATAATGTTTTCTAGGTTCATTCACATTACAGCAGGTATTAGTATTTCATTCCTTTTTATGGCAGAATAACGTTCCAGTGTATGGATATACCACCTTTTGTTTATCTTTTTTGTTGTTGTTTGTTTGTTTGTTTTTGAGACTGGGTCTCACTGTCACCCAAACTGGAGTGCAGTGGCATGATCTCGGCTCACTGCAACCTCCACCTCCCAGGCTCAAGTGATTCTCCTGCCTCAGCCTCCCGAGTAGCTGGGATTACAGGCATGTGCCACTACTGCCCGGCTAATATTTGTGTTTTTAGTAGACGGGGTTTCACCATGTTGGCCAGGCTAGACTTGAACTCCTGACCTCAAATTATCCGCCTGCCTCAGCCTCCCAAAGTGCTGGGATTACAAGAGTGAGCCACTGTGCCCGGCTCATTTTTGTTTATCTATTCATCTGTTGATGTACTTTTGGGCTCCTTCTACCTTTTGGCTATTGTGAATAGTGCCATGTGAACATTTGTGTGTGTATTTGCTTGAGTACTAGTTTTCATTTCTTTTGGGCATATACAAGGAAAGTCAGCATGTGGAAGTGTGGGTACAGAGAAGGTAAGGGGTTGGAGATAGGATTCAAACCCAGAGCCTTCATGTAACCACCATGTGGTGCTGCTTCCTATAATACAGCACTGTCCCTGGAATCCCTCTTAGGGAACTAGCTTATAACAAAGTCTCTTTAGCATTTGGTAATGAAAGTCCTGCAGGCATGATGGGGTTCAGGTAGAATCCCTTTAAAGTATCAGCTGCTCTCCAGCAAATGGTGGTGTTGGGAGGCATTCTTCTTTATTCTTGAACTTCAGGTAATAGTTACAAGTAATTTATTTATTTATTTATTTATTTATTTATTTATTTATGAGACAGAGTCTTACTCTGTTGCCCAGGCTGGAGTGCAGTGGTGTGATCTTGGCCCACTGCAACCTCCGCCTCCCAGGTTCAAGTGATTCTCGTGTCTCAGCCTCCAGAGTAGCTGGGACTACAGGCACCCGCCATGATGCCCAGCTATTTTTTGTACTTTTAGTAAAGACGAGGTTTCTCCATGTTGGCCAGGCTGGTCTCAAACTCCTTACCTCAGGTGATCCACCTGCCTTGGTCCCCCAAAGTGCTGGGATTACAGGCGTGAGCCACCACGCCTGGCCCAGTAGTTAGAAGTAGTTTTAATCTCTATGGCATGTTACTCTTAAAAAATATTTTTACCTAGGGTTTTCATTTGGCCATTATAACAACCATCTGAGGTAGCCAGCTTTATAACTTGCATCTCCATTTTACAAATGAAGAAACTGGGACTCAGAGAGGTCAAGGAACTTGCTCAAGGTCACACAGCTTAAAGGTAGACAATCCAGGGCCTATACTGGGTCTTCTATGGCCTTGTTGCCTCTCCACTTAGCAATAAGAAATGGTTAGAAAACAGGCACATGCAAACTGCCTTCTTTACATCAAAAGCTAGTTGTAATAAAGGAGTGAAGTTTTATAGCTATCATGCCATAATAATGGTAACAACAGCAGCCACAATAGTAGCAGCAGACAATTCCAGCGTCTCTACATTGTGCTTATGCAGCAAATATAATCCAGCACACAGTAACTTTCTACTAACATTTTTTAATCAGTTCACTTTAGTATGTGGAATAAGCATCATAAAAGCTCTCAATCCTGAAATGTGTACCCTGGTCTCCCAGGGTCTACCTTGAAGTTTATCCCCGACAGTTGTTCATCCTTGGTGACCTTACCGTTGACTACAACTAGAAACTGTTATTTTATTTCTCTTTTTCAGTGTCTCTTTCTATTTCCCACTATCTCAGATCATATGAACCATCTCCTGTTTTGTAGTTAAGCACCTGGAAGTGAAACATCAAGTGAGCAGAAAGAGCTAGGCACAGAATTCTGGGTGCCTTTCTAGAACTTTCCAAATTGCCTTGCTTTCCCTTGGAGGGCTGAGCCCACCACACTTCTCCCTGAGTATTGGTCATGGGCCTTTACACAGCCTCCCAGTCTAGGTCTCATTCCACCTCATGAATTTACTGGTCTGCAGATGCCCACCTCCTGCTTTCTTGTTGGAATATTTGTTCCTAAGATGTCACGTGAAGATGATTTCAGTGTGAACCACTGCTAGTGAACAATGGGGAAAGCATTGCTTCCCAGGATGGCCAATACATACCCATGCCCAAGGTTAGCACTATTCCTATAGCAGCAGCTGAGCTGGTACTTAAGTAGTGAGGTTATAAATCGAGTGGTGAGGCTGTTTAGATTTTCCCAAAGTAGCCTGGGTGGCTGGTCTCTCCATTTCCCTTTATCCATGAGGGATGGTTCTGTCTTTCTGATTCAGACATTGTTACATGTAAAAATAAACTCCAGCCTTATTACTCTGACATTTTATATCTGGACATTTTTTGATGTGGGCATAAGGCTTCGTGGCCTATTTAACTGAAGACATAGATTTATTTACTCATCAATTCTAAAGCAATATTCTCCATCATTCAGTTTCATAGATGAGGGCTTTATTCATTTGACCAGCCTCAGAAATTAGCCATATTTGGGGTTAAGGAAAAATAAGGAATTGAGGCTGATGCACAAGAGATTGTCCCTGGTTGTAGATGGACTGGCTGGCTGCAGAATTCCAGTTCTGTGTTCAGCCATGGGTGGTGAGGTGGGATTGCCTTGGCCTTAAGCTCTAGGAGATTAAATGTACAGCAATTTCCTGAAGCTGAGTTATCTCTAGGAAGAGAGAAGCTGTTCTGGGGCCTTAAGTCACCTTACTTGTGGGTGGGCAGGATGTGACCTTGGCTGGGAGGCCCTCATGCCTGCCCCCTCTAGCTCTCTATAAACCACTTACTGCCATTGAAGATTAAGGGAAGAGACAAATGACCATAGCCTGCCTGCCACCTCTTTGTTTTCTGATAGTGGGTGCAGTTGGGGGCTGGAGGGGCTGAGCACCACCGTAGGTCTCTCCATAGTGATTTCTAGGCACTCTTCTGCCCCTGTCACATAGTATAGGAACTTCTCCTGAGGCCAGTCAGAATCTGGCAGAACTAGTGTATTATTTGTTTGGCATTGTTTCCCAGGCTTGCCAGATAAGACAGTCACCTTTGGAGGCTGGCAGTGGGATGGGGAGAGGTTTGTTCATGATAAAAAAAAGCTTCTTAGGCCCTTCCTCTAGAGAATTTGATTCAATAGATGTAGGGTAGGTCCCAGGAATCTGTATTTTAACAAACCTTGTGTTATTCCTAGTGCCAGGCAAGCTTGGAAAACACTGGCTTACAGTAAGAGGTTTTGAAATGTGCAATCCCATCTCTTGTCTTCTTTTCTTCTGCAGTATTTTTCCCTTTTCTGCCTTGGTGGCAGATGCTCATAAGAAGATGACTCGTATCCCTTGGATCTTACCACTTCAGTGTGCTCCAGTGGGATTTCCATCTATTTACATCTCATTGCCTTCCTGGGGACTCAGGAAGGAGGGATCCATGAGGGATGGTTCTGTCCTTCTTATTCAGACATTCAGGCTGGAATTACCCCAGGAGCAGCCCTCAACCAGGACACAAGAGGAGTTGGTGTATAAATACCCCAGCTCCATCACCTCTCAGCTGGGATAAATCTGAGCCATGTCCTGCACCATTTCCCAGAATTTCCCAGTGGGATTAAACTCTAGTCATGCACAGTAATAGTATGCTTGACAATGCACTCTTTATAGGCTGCCTTTCCTTCCTGTCTCACTTACTTGCTTCTATATTTCCTTACGAGCATTTCCTTGCCTCTCAAATAAACTACAGTCAGTTCTGCTATAACATGACAAATGAGTTTCTAGAAAATCACCATGCTATGCAAAATTATGCAATAAAAACCACAGGGCTTGTGGGATAAATGAGATTAGGGGGCACAACACTTAAAAACGTAGTGATATATAAAAAATAAGATAGGAACCTAATAAAAATTGTAGTTTTACACATAATGTATGTTTTAAAAATGCATAAGTACAAAAATAGATATGGCATTTTACCTAGAAAAATCCCTGAAGGTGGCTTGTGGAAGTGGTCATTGGAAGAGTTGCAGCTTGTGACTTACCATGCAAGAGTGGAAGGAAGGTGGTCAGAAACCCGAAGGAAAATTTTAACACCAGATATGGATGGTTGTGGCTTCTAAGGTGAACTGAGGTAGCTGGTCGATGTTCAAGGTGTGTGTATGTGTGTGCATTTTGTAAATGCAGCTCAATTCAGCTGGGTGCACTTTTCTGTGTTCACCTACTATTTCTTTCAGACAAAATGGCACATAAGCAAATGTGAAATTTGCATGATGCCCAAGTCATTTCCTAATGTATCAGTCACACTGGAACAAATTTTTGTTTTTAAGACAAGCGTTTAGAGCAGAATTTTCCATACTTGTACTAGTGTTCTTGTTGCAGGGCTTGCTTCTAAACCTAGCTAAAATTACCTATCAATGACAGCTTGATGGTGGTTTTATTTTTTAAGTGGCCCTTTCTCCTGTTGAACAAGGCTGATAAGCAAAACACAAGCCCCTTCACACCCAAGTAAGTTCAGTAGAGACTGTGGCTGGATATAAGAAGTGACAACTTAAGCCAGAATGTCCCTGTTGGAGGCTCTGCACTCCAAGTTACCTGGTCTCACCTACTCATTTTCTTGTAACTCACCTGGAGACTGCAACCCTGTTTTACAGGTCTTGAGAATCTTGGCTGCCTATTTACAGTTTCTTGGAACGGGCTTAAACCTAAAATCAAATGTCAGATTATTACGAGCTGAAGCAGAATTCTGTAAATGCTCGGTTTCTTCATTAGGGGAAAAAATTAACGTGGAACCTTGGTAGATATATTACTCACCTGCATTCAGTGCTTCCCAGGAGGTAAAATTACAGTATGAGCTCAGTGCATTCTTAATTTCCCATGGTAGGTTACAAATGGGCTCTTTTCTATTCTACAACTTCTTTAATCTCAATACCTTATTTCTCCCACGTGTAGCTCTACACAATCAAGCAACTTATACACCACATGGCTCATTTGTCTAACTGGTTCTGCTTTGGTTTCAAGTTCATGCTTTCTATAACCTTGATTTTGACCTGGGTGTGCATGCAGGCTGCAAGTTCAATGTTTTTCAGAATGTGGACTTCAGATCAACCACATCAGAATCTCCCCCAGAGAGCTTGTTGCAAGCACAGCTTCTTGGGCTCCACCCTAGACCTCCTGAATCAAACTATTTTGAGAGTGGGGCTCAGGGATCTACATTGTTTTCTACAAGCTATTGGGTGATGCTTATGTGCACTCAAGGTTGAGACTCACTGGTTTCGACCAGTGGGTCTCAACTGGGGCCAGTTGTGCACCACAAGGGGACATTTGACAATGTCTGGAAATGTATTTGGTTGTCACATCTGGAGGGAGGTGCTACTGCCTAAGTAAGTAGAGGCCAGGTGTGATGGTTAATATTGAATGTCAACTTGATTGAAGGATGCAAAATATTCTTCCTGGATGTGTGTATTAGTCTGTTTTCTGCTGCTGATAAAGATATACCCAAGGCCGGGCAATTTACAAAAGAAAGAGGTTTAATGGATTTATAGTTCCACGTGGCTGGGGAGGCCTCACAATCATGGCAGAAGGCAAGGAGGAGCAAGTCATGTCTTACATCAGTGGTGACAGGCAAAGAGAGAGCTTGTGCAGGGAACCTCCCCTTTATAAAGCCATCAGATCTCATGAGACTTTTTCACTATCACGAGAACACCATGGGAAAGACCTGCCTTCATGATTCAGTTACCTCCCACCAGGTCCCTCTTCCAACACATGAGAATTCAAGATGAGATTTAAGTGGGGACAAAGCCAAACCAAATCAGCATGTCTGTGAGGGTGTTACCAAAGGAGATTAACATTTGAGTCAGTAGACTGGGAGAGGCAGACCTATCCTTAATCCAGTGGGCACCATCTAATCAGCTGCCAGCGTGGCTAGAATAAAGCAGGCAGAAGAATGTGGAAGGACTTGACTTGACTTGCTGAGTCTTCTGGCCTTCATCTTTCTCCTGTGCTGGATGCTTCCTGCCCTCAAACATCAGACTCCAAGCTCTTCAGCTTTTGGACTCTTTGACTTACACCAGTGGTTTGCCAGGGGCTCTCGGGCCTTTGGCCATAGACTGAAGGCTGCACTGTTGGCTTTCCTACTTTTGAGGTTTTGGGACTTGGACTGGCTTCCTTGCTCTTCAGCCTGCAGAAGGCCTATTGTAGGACTTCACCTTGTGATCATGTGAGTCAATTCTAATCAACTCCCCTTCATCTATACATATATCTGTTAGTTCTGTCCCTTTAGAGAACGTTGACTAATACACCAGGGATGCTGCTAAACTTCCTATAAGTGCACAGGACAGCCCCCAGGACATGTAAATGGTGCCAAGTTTGAGACACCCTGGTTTCAACCCTGAGAGATTTCTCCAAGGTCTGCTGCACTTATAGGGCTGTTTCCTTTGTCATTATTTTCTTTGGTTTCTCTGCAACTGGATGGCTTAGAAGCAACAAAGTTCTCTGGATAAGCAGAAATGTGTGGGGGGGCAGACTGGCAGCTTTATGTGGGTAGAATCAGGGTCGGTATGAGTGATCACTGACTCCTTGAAAGATGCCTTCCCCAGAATCCAAGAGTTGAACTATAAATCAGGTCAGCTTAGGTCATCCTAGAGATGAGGGGCCCTTGCAGATTTGGAGCAAATAACACAAATTTGGAGAAGCAGAATGGGCTTTTCTTTCAGTGTGTGTGGATTCTTTGTCAAACATACTCAGTTGTTATTACCTGACATGTACATGATACAGTGAAAGCTGGCCCTATTCATCACCTAGGGCAGTGCCTGTATGACCCTTCCATGCTTCATGTGTTACTGACCTGTGCTTACTAAAAACTCTGCAAATATCTTCTAAATCATCAAAGAGGGGTTAGTGTGTTTAATACCATTTCAACATTGGGAGTATTCCATTGTGCCATGAATCTTTGAAAACTGGTAATTCATGTATAGGATAAATGGTGATTCAACTGCCAGCTCTGAAATTCTGAGTCTATATTATATACCAAGGAATATTTATCTGTTTTATAAGTCTATTATTCAGTGATAAGACTTGTCCACATTATGTACAAAGAAGGATGTTTTGACTGCTAACTAGTGAGATTTTACAAGTTCATGTATATTATTGAAATGTTTTTGTATATGCTGTAGCTTGAATGTAGAACCTCTTTCATCTATAGCCTGTTGAAGTCTGGAAAACCTTTTAGGATCCTTTAAAATGACTAAAATGTTAACATGGTTTGGATAATTATAATGCTTAACATCTATTGAGCACTCACACCTGCCAGATGCTCTTCTAAGCACTGGACATTTATTTTGCTCATTCAATTCTCACAACAACCCTATGGGATAGAGGTATGATTATTACCATTTTACAGATGAGGTTAAATATGAAGGACACGCAGCTAGTAGGTGGCCAAACTACAATTGGAACTCAGGCAGTCTGGGTTCTTAACAAGAGTATTATTCTGCCTCAATTACTTCAAATGTAGTCAATAATTTGTCACATCTGACTTGAATCAAGTGAAATAATCATTAAGATGATTTTCCTGGTCCAGCGTAGAAATGGGATGCAAGCCACATGTATAATTTCAAGTTTTCTAGGAGACAAACTGTTAAAAGATGTAAAAAAAAAAAAAAAGGTGAACTTAATCTTAATAGTATATTTTATTAACCAACATATCTGAAGTACTATAATTTGAACATGTGATCACTATAAAACATTATTAGCATTTTACATTTTTCTTTTGTAGTATGCCTTTGAAGTTCTGTATATATTTTACACTTACAGCATATCTCAATTCAGACTAGCCAAGTTTCAAATACCCCAAAGCCATATGTGACAACTGGCCACCATATTGGACAGTGCATCCTTAGCTGATACTTGGTGAGAAGCATTAGGCTTGGAGAACTGAGTTTGAATGATTTTTTGAAAGGCAGGAAGATTGTTTTCCAATCCTGCTTATTTAGCTCAAGTCAGAGAGAGGCCTTAAATGTTTTTCCATATTTTGACAGACTTCAGTGGCTACTTCTTTCCAGGGTCTGGCTTCTGCAAATGGACCCAAGCATTTATACCCTCATGTGCACACATGCCCCTCCTCTGCCAATAAATATTCTTGAAAGGGGATTTAACTTACAACACACACACACGCGCACACACACACACACACACACACACACACACACACGAAGAAAACACTGACCATCTTTGTTACCAATGTGTTATTTTCATTAGATTGAGGAGTGTACAGGAGGGGAGAGATGTTTCATTTGTGCCTGTGTGATATCTTCCTATGTCTGCTTGACCTTTCAACCTCCACATACTGCCAACTTGGCCCCAGTGTAATTCAAATGGCACACACACACACACACACGTGCACATACACATTTTAACCCAGGAATGGGAATATATGGATCTACAGCCTTAAAAGCAAAAGCTTGTTGCATGGCTAGCCCAGAACTCAAACAAAGCTCCCACATTTGTGTCATAATGGCATCAAGTTTGATGAAAGACATCAGCTCAACTCAGAAGCATATGGGGCTGCTTTAAAGCCTAGAAGAGCAAGTGCCTTTTGGGTATCTGTCTAGTGGAAGACGTCTGTCCCTGATTGCTGGATAAAATGCACAGAGGCGCCCCTTGAACACTCAGACCAACAGGAACATTAGCCATTGGTATTGTCATCTTTCTTTTAATTAAATTCATGGGAGCAAGTGGTTCTTCTAGAAAAACACAATCATTGAGAAGCAACATACTGCAGTGAGAAGATCACGGATGAAAGGTTTTAGTCTTGACTTTTGCCATTAACTAGCCATGTGACCTTCATCCCTCTAAGCCTTTGAGGTAATAAAGGGACTTGGGATTAGATTTCAACCCAGGATGCACATTAGAGTCACTGAGGAGTTTGTTGTTAAATGTTGATGCCCAAATCCAATTCTAGACCAATTAAATCAGAACCTCTGAGGTTGGAGCCAGGTTGAGAATCACTGGATTAAATGATCTGTAATTTTCCTCTAAGTCTTCAATGCTATAGTGAATCACCTGTTACAGATAGTATAGCGTATTACCTACTTCCAAGCCTTAGGAAGGAAAGTGTCATTTGCATTGTGTGCCTCCTATTCCTTTTGAATCAGTCAGGGCCCTGGTTTCAGGGTGGGAAGTCAAGTTGGGCTGCTATCTGCCTCAAAATCTTCATTCCTAAGGAACTACTAGTATTGGGGAGAATGTTAGAGGGCTTATTGTGTTGTAAATGGGCCCTCACTCTTTTGGTGGAAAATTAGGGGACCAGAGAGAAAGAAGAGGAGGATTTAGGTGTCTAATTTCAAATGCTATTTGTTTGTAAGAGAGAGAAAATCCATTTATTTTAATTCAATTTCATTTAGTTAGGCCCTTTCCAGTCTCAGAAATGATTTAAGGTATCAGGGGAGAACTAATATTAGGTGTCTCCATTCCTCCCTCCTGAGAAGAGTTCCATGGAGAAGGAAATGCTCTGGTGTGTCTCATCCATATTCCCTAGAGTATAGATGAAATCAGAGTATTTCAAGGGTGGGTGATTGTATCAGTCAGGACCAGCCCAGTAACAAATGACTCCCAAATCTCACCAGTTTACAACAGCAGATGTTTTTTTCTTGCTCATGAAAAATGTCTGATACAGGTCAGCTACAGCTCTCTCCTGTCTCCTTCACTCCAGGACTGGGGCTGATGGGATTGGTCTCTGCCTAGAACACTGCTGGCCCAAGTGACAGATAAAAGAAGAGAAAATGGTGAATCACACACTTGATCTTAATGTTTATGCTCAGAAGCGACACAACCCTTCTGCTCACACTTAATTGGCCAAAGCAACTCATGTGGCCCAGCCAACTCTGAGTTCAACAGAGCAAAGATGGGGATGTGTCAACCTTCTGCAAGGATAAGGATGAAAACAGTAATACAATCTACTACGGTAGCAAAAGATGCTGTAGTAAAGAGAGTCACAAACTCCCATCTACACAAGGAGTGAACGCATGGCCACAACCCAAGTTAGCTCATAGCTGTCATGGCCTGCCTCTCCCCGCCCCTCCAGTTGATCTACCAGAGTTCACTTTTGCCCTGAACACACCAAGCAAGAGCCCTTGGGACATACTGTAACAGCAATTCCTGTCATGCTGGCCTCTGCTGATCTTTGACCTTTCCAAAATCCTTCCATCTGCTGAAAGATGCTTGTTTGCTCTCCATGCAGATTTACTGATGACTTGAACAAAGATCTAGGATGGGCTCAGCCTTTCTACCTGGCGGCAAGGAAGCATGGTGGCTGGGAACAATGGTTCTCAAATTTGGCTGCACACCAGAGTCACCTGGGGAGCTTGAGAAAATACTGATGACTGGGTCCTACTCTCTGAGATTCTGATATAGTTGATCTTGAGTGCAGCTTGGGCTTGGATGATTCTAACGCAAACTCTGAGAACCTCTGGTTAAAAGCACCAGCTTCCCAGCCAGCTGAGACCTGGGTTCATAACTTGACTTTCCCATTTCTCAGCTGTGTTGCTTTTGCCCAAGTTACTGTATTTCTCTGTTGCTTGGTTTTCTCATCTGTCTCTATGTCATAGGCTTTTGTTGTGATAATTAGAGGAGGGTGAATAAAGCACTAAGTGTTGTGCTTAGGTTCTAGTAAGTGTTCAATATGTATAATAATTGTTGTTACTGTCATCATGCTGCAGCTTCCTGTGCTGCACGAATGCCTCCTGGAAAAACCAGCTGTTCTACTAGATTGGCCGTTGAAGAAATGGTTGTAAAAGCCATACTGTGCTATTAAACATGATTACATTTAGCAATGGTCTAAGCAATGGGAATGAATGCAGCTTTTGGCTTTCCTTGACATCTCGAGACCTCACAGCAGAAAAAATCCTCTGGACTTTCTGGAACCCTCACCACTCATTCTTTCATCTCCAGTATGGAAGGCTTATTTTGGGGGAAGTGTTTATGATGAAACCAAAAAGTAAAAAAGAAAGAAATGTAACAATTTTGAAATGTGTCTTTCCATTGTTTTGCGGCCCATTTTAGTTTCCAATATGAATGAGCAAGCTGTTGAGAAGTAAGGGGGACAGCATGTTGCTGTCTTCCCAGGGCCTTACACAACAAGGAGGCTTGGGCCAGCTGGACTGAGACCCAGGAGCACTTGCACACGCACACCATCCGCCCGGATGTTCCGGAGTGTGTTTGGGTTTCACTTTGAAATAAAACATGAAACATGGGAAGTGCCAGGAAGGGGCAGGGTGGCTATCAGATTAAAAGAGCTCTAATACCACTTGACCACTTGCTTCTAGCTATAGTCGTATTTCTTTGTGGTTTAGGATAACCCACCGGGACCACCATCCTGAGGGACTTAGGGGAAGGAAGAGAGATGATCACTGGTGTACCTCCCATCATCATCATCGTCATCATCATCCTCATTTCATTTAAAATAAGGATGTAGGGCTCTTCAGTCTTTTAATTCTGATTTAGCAAGTTCTTTGCCTCTTAATCTCTCAATTCCCAACATAAGGCATTTCCCACTCCCCACCCCCACCCCCATTTGTGCTTATGGAGTTTTTAATGATTTAATGAGCAAATGTCAAGACTTACATTTCTGTTTCCAGGAACTAGTTCTTGATCATTCCTAATTCTTTGCATATGACACACACATCAGAGTTAGTTCCATTTGACATTTGTGAATTTATGGGAAACCTCATCTTTGTGGACATTTAAAACTTGGCTGCACCCATTGAATCCACCCTAGGGAATAATTTTGCAAGGTTCCCTAAAGGATTAGGCGAGATAACCAATAACATGCTATTTCTGTAAATTCCAATTCTGGGGGGGCTTTGATGAGAAAGGCACTTTTTCATTTTTGTTTTCTTTCTCCTGCAAACATGGAAAATAGGAATGTCTCTGAATGATTAAGATCTAAGAGTGGATAATGAAAGCACAGACAGTGATAGTCTTGCTGACTGCCAAGAAAGCAAGCTCTGTAGGGATTTGGGACTGGCTCGGAGGATAGCATGGATTGCTCACATTCTGTTTGGACAGAAAGCAGAATTGCTGGATCTGAAACATTTTACCCCTTTTAGGAATTGCTTCTCCAGTTGTGGACATCCAGCTGGGTTAACATGCTGTCTGAAGGGCATCATGCTTATTGTCATGTTAAGAGGGATTGTAAGGGAAGAGAGGGAGAGACTGGAGAGAAGAAAATTAGCAATTTTTAAATGGAATTTCCCTAAGCATGATTGGGAAGTAGAAACACATTTCCATCCATTCTAAATATTGCCGTCATTATTTGGGTGAAATTGTGCAAGCATGAACCCTCTTTCTTAATTGCAAGTGTAATTTCAAGATGGAGAAGAGGCTGTAAGTAGAGGGTGTTTTCATTTATTTGAACTGGGATGCATACCCTGCCACCACTCTCTTTATTTACAGGTGTATTTTAGAGCCTGCTTTCTCAAAGTGGGATCCATGGAGCCAGCAGCATCGCATCGTCAGGGAGCTCATTAGAAACAAAGACCCTCAACCCCACCCCAGACCCACTGAGTCAGAATCTGCATTTCAGCCAGGGCCCAGGATGGCTGGCTCGCACGCACAGTACAGTCTAAGAAGCATTGCTCTTGAGAATTTTAAAGAGTTATAGGTTCTTTCCTTGCTGCGTTGACTCTCTGCAACCCAGTTACATGAAGGAGCCCAATTTGGCCCTCTCTAAGGAGCACAAAGCTAGGGGCCTGTGTGCTCAGAAATGTTATATCCATGGTGGGAATAGAAATGTTCTGTTCCAGAAAGTCTAGTTGGAGGGATGGCAGGGGCAGGGTGGCAGATCTGTTTGAGATGTCTCTTGTAATGTGTGACCAATGAGACCTTGCAGAATTAAGCTGGGTCTCCCATTTCTCTATGCTTTTGCTACTGAGGAAAATCTCCAGTGAGTTCTACCTTTTTCTCCCTTCCCTCTTTTTTTTTTTTTGAGACAGGGTCTCACTCTGTCAACCAGGCTGGAGTGCAGTGGCATGATCTTGGGTCACTGCAGCCTCGACCTCCCTGGGCTCAAGCGATCCTCCTACCTCAGCCTCCAGTATACCTGGGACCACAGGTGCACGCCACAATATGTGGCTAATTTTTTTGTCTTTAGTAGAGACAGGGTCTTACTGTCTTACCCAGGCTGGTCTCAAGTTCCTGGGATCAAGTGATCCTTCCACCTCAGCCTCCCAAACTGCTGGGATTACTGGCGTGAGCCACCATGCCTGGCCTATCCCACCCTCTATTGTCCTACAAATATCTATTACATCTAATGCATTATATGTTTCCAAAAGTGCTTCTTTGGGAGAGATGTCTGCTCAATTTTTGCTGCTTAATTTTCTTCTTTTAATCATTCATTCATTTTGCAAAGCCAAATGTATTTTTATTTGCAAGTGCTTCATTTTCATTATTAAGCTAGCTAAGGCCTGGTCACCATAGCTGAAGCAAAGTGGAAAACTAAGAAACGGTCTTCATTTAGCTGAATGATGTTGGAAAATCAGGGTTTGGTTCCAATTCTCTGGATAATTCCCTGGTTGCTTCGTTTTGGTTTGGCAGAGGAAGCAGCCCGCATGCTCAGCCCTTAACTGGGTTTTGTCAAAGTCAAGATACCTTGCTCTCTGCTCCCCTGGGGGCTGTGGCATGAGGCCCAGGCTTGGAAGACAGAGACAGGTAGGTCCTGGGCCACAGCCATGTCCAGCTACAAGGGCCACTTGAGAGATGGTGTCCACTATTCTTTGTGGCATTTTAAGGTCGTGCTTTCTGATTCTCTGCTTTGTGCTGCCTCCGAGTCACCTGGAGCAAGCTCTTAGTTAGTTAGTGTGTGGATTCTGGCCTCGGAGGAATGCAGTGGCTCCTCCAGAGCCGCCCCACTGACCTGTAGGATAAGGGGGCGGGAGGAAGAGCTGGAGAATATTTCAACCTTGGCTTTTTCCAGATGGTTTGGCCTGGTTGGTGCCATAGCCTCTGAAGAACCTGTCTTGGGAGTGGGGCTCTGTGTCAGGCCCACAATTTCCCCCTGGGGGCAGCTCTGACACATTTGCTCAAATAGTAGCCAGAAGCCGCCCCCCCCCCCCCGCCCCATCCCCCCCATCCGGAAGCAGCCCAGGGCCGTCTGTGGTCCAGGTTTCAGGAGCTGCAGCCGCCTGGGTGTGGCTGCTCTTCCGAAGTTCCCGGTGCTGCCATCTGGAAAAGCCGGACTGGATTTCAGTTCAGGCCTGGCTCAGAGCAAATGTGGGCTTGCTGTAGCAGGGAAGCTTTCTTTGTGAGGTGCTGATTTAGAGACCCCGAATGTTAATTTGTGAAGTTGGTGATTGGCCTGTTAGGAGCCATCTTGTGACACTGCCCCTAAATCTTTCCTTGTTTTTCTTAAGATAATTCCTCTCCAAGTTATTATGTGAGAACCCAACAAGGCCACCTTCAGTAACTGCAGTTGGGAAACTGATGTGGCTCCATCATGCAGTTCTAATTCATCTTCTTCCTGGTACCTGCTCTAGTTACATCAAGAAGTCAGGTTTGCACTGGTGTATGGTTCTATGTTGGAGGTCAGAGGTCGTCTCTGAGGTTACATTGTCCATCACTTGCTAGGAAAAAAAAAATGGATAAGGAAGACTCTTTGAAGAAAAACTCACATTGGTGACTGTCTTTTGAGGAGTTGTCCATGGTCAGCAAGGCAGTTCTGTCGCTAAGTATCATGAGTCTAGCATGTGTGCTCATGGAGCTGGAATATGGTGAGTAGGGGTGGTAGTGGGGAAGTACAGAGTGCCTGATGGCTCTGCAGGGAGAGAACTAGGGCACCATCAGGCTGAGTCTTAGAGCCTGGCAGGACTCAGGCCTGACAGAATGCAGGAATGCTGGAATGGAAACTGAGGTAGCAACACAGTCACATGATTGGGTGGACACAGCAGCAATTAGGAAACTCAGCAGCAGGTGCCACTTGAGAGGCAGAGACCCAGTCTTCCTGCCAGGGATGTCTTTCCAGGGCCCACCCCCCAGGCCTTGATCTCTGCTGCTGCCAAAAATGGCAGGGCTGACACAGCAGGATTGCTTATCTCTACTGAGCAGAGCAGATGAGGAAACCGAGGCATAGAGCCGCCATGAGACTCATCCCAAGGCTCCTGACAGTCCAGAGGCAGAGCCAGTAGTGGGGGCAGTCTCCCCAGATGAGCTGACCTCAATGGATCTCTACACAGAAGAGGGAAAACAGATAGGGCGGCATCCAGTAAATACCCCAAAAGCTCATCTTGGAACCTGTGAGTCCCTGCTTGTGTTTCTTGGCTTCCCAGGTCCCTCACACCTCAATAAAAGCCCAGTCTTGTCTTTCTCTCCCAACAGTGCCGGCAAAAGAAATAAGACCTCCAACCACCACAGTGGAAAACCTGCAGGAAGAAAATGTTCATAAAGAGTTGAACCATGGCCCGAAGTGGTTTTGGTTTTCTTTCAAGGCCTGCAGCATCCTGGAGTGCCAGGGGCCTGTGGTCACAAAAGCTTCATCTCAAAAGAAGCTAAGAGGGGGTCCATTCTGGGGAATACTCTGGACAGTGCTATGAAGGGCAGCTGGGAAGAGAGCTGGCTCTCTGCTGCATATTGACTACTCGGGGGTACAATTTTGTCTTGCCCTTACCCTTATCCACCCATAGCAAGCTCCGCATTTGGTGATGTTTGCTTGTTTCACTTTTTATTTTGAAATAATTAAAACTTACAGGACAGGTGCAAGAATAGTGTAAATAACTCTTGTATACCTTTATCTAGATTCACTAATTGTTCATATTTTGTTGCATTTATCCCTTCTCTCCCCCACACTAATTCATGTTCATATATATGTGAATTTTTTTGCTGAACCATTTAGGAGTAGGCAGCTGTCATCAAACTCCCTTTACCCCTTGCATTTCCCAAGAATGAGAATATTCTCTTGTATATGTACAGCTATCAAATTTAGAAAATATAATATTTATTTCATACTTTTATGTAACCTGTGTCCCAATAATGCCCTTTATCACAATTTTCTTAAGGTTCACAATCTAGTCCTGGATCCCACATTGCATTTAGTTGTCCTGTCTCTTTTGTCCCCGTTAATCAAGAACAGTTCATAACTCTTCCTTTGTCTTCAGTGGCCTTGACATTTTTGAAGAATACCAGCCAGTTGTTTTATAGAATGTTCCTTAATTTTGGTTTCTCTGATGTTTCTTCACATTTACATTTGGATTTAGGCATTTTTCAGTTGGAATGCTATATAGGCATGTAAGTGATTTGTTCTCTGGGGACCATATCAGGAGGCACAGATGTCCATTTGGCCCTTGTTGGTGAGGTCACATTTGATTAGTTAAGCTGGTGTCTGTGTAGCTGTTCTTTTTCCTTTTGTAATGAACAAATATAATTTGTTGGAAGATATTTTGACATTATGTAAATATCCCATTCCTCATCAAACTCTCTCCACCTAGCTTTAGCATTCATTGAGGATTCTTGCCTGGATAATGATTTACTCTAATGGTTTCATCCATCATCCCTTCTATATTTGTTAGTCCAAAATAGTCTTTGATTGGGTGGGAAGGCATACTAAGCCTGCCGATCTTAGTAGCTGAGCTCACAGGGAGGAAGGGCCTTGATTTCCTCCTTGGACTCTGACTGACAGCTCTTTTGAAGCAGTCCTGTTCTGTTGGGTGTATGTTTTGACACATGTAGTAACTCATTTTGGAAATACTTATTTTTTACTAGATAACTTTCAAATAAGTTTTTAAATACTTTACAAAAAAATGGTAGGATGTTGGTTGCATATGTTATCATTTATTTTTGTGGCATCTGCTGGAAAATTGCACCTGGTTCTTTTACACAGTGTTGATCAACAGAAACCTGATCATGATGATAGCAATAATAATATCTTCTCACCATCTGAACCCTGCTCCAGAGAAAGGGATGAAATTAGAGAGATTGTTTGAATTCTGAGAAGGATGGTTGGACTAAAAAGGAAAACCAGCTATTGGAAGCAGATGAATTAAGTAAAACATGAATTTCCAGGAATGTTTCAAAATACTTGTGTGGGAGTTCTTTTTGGAATGTTAAAGCAGTGAATGGCATTGCTTGGAATTTTGTTTTTTTCTTTATTGATTTTGGTTCAAAACGAATCCTTAATCAGTTTCTAGCCAGTTCATTTTTGTCTATTTTTTGCAGCAATTTACTGTTTTGTTTTTGTTTTCTTTTTTCTTTCTTTTCTTTTTTTTTTTTTTTTTTTTTACTACAGTGGAAGGGGTTTTTATGGGAGAAACCTCTGATTATTGTTTTAGTGGGCCTAGAATATTAAGTTCTTGGTTTTGATTTTTGTCTTTTTAAATAGCTCTTTATAGCCCATAGTAAGAACAAAGGACTAATGGGGGATGTTTGGGAGGTTTCTCAGCTCTTATATGTTGTTATAACACTGGTTGTTACAGTTGCCATTAAGGTTAATGTTTTCAGAACAGCACCAAAAGCTATAAGCGGACATGAAGGAAAAGCAGCTGTTTTTCATAAAACTTACAGATGAACCAATGCTAGTTACTCCTGTGATGAGTGATCTAGAGCAGCCTTTCCCTAGTGTGTGTGTTCCTTGGAATGTGCATGTGTGTATACACACAGAAGAGAGAAAAGGGAGAGTTAAGTTCATGGTCAAAGAAGTTTCAAAAACATTGCATATTGTAACTCCATATTGGAGAATCACAAGGTTAAAAGAGTATAGTTAATGCTTTGAATGTTACACCTTTGCTAGAAAACAAACTACCCCAAAATTTAGTGGCGCTGAACAACAAACATATATCTTAGTCTGTGGTTGAGCTCAGTGGTTGTTCCAGTCTGGGCTAGGCCAGGCCAGGTGGTTGTAGCTGGGCTAGCGCATGTGTCCACAATCAGTGATAGGTCAGCTGAGGCCTAGCTGATCTAGATTGGCCTCATCTGGGATGTTCCCCCTGGCAGTGTCCTCTTATCGTCTAGCAGGCCAGCCTGGGCTTGTTCATATGGTGATCACGGAATTCTGAGCATGCGAGCAGAAGTGCGCAAGGCCTTTCGAGATCCAGGCTTGGAACTCAGACAGTGCCACTTCTGAATTGCATTGGCCAAAGCAAGTCACAGAACCAAACCCAGATTCAAGGGTTTGAGAAATAGACTCCACCTCTCGATGGGAGGGCTTACAAGGTCTCATTGCAAATGGATGGGGAGATACCGAAAGGGGAATGATTGCAGCCATTTTGACAATCTAGCAGAGAGATCAACTAATACGTGACTGGCTATTATTTCTATGCGCATTTCTGGGTTTGGGAGAATTTGTAGGGGAGGAGGAAAAGAGATACAGATCATTTATAATTGCAGAAAGTAAAAATAAGACTTCAGTTGAGATTTAATGAGCTAATCTATTTCAAGTGCTTTGAACTCGCATGTAGTAAGAGCTCTATAAATGTTGCTGTTATTATTATCATGAATGCATATGTCACTTGAGGTCCTCAACCTCACTTAGAAGTGAAGCAGGAAGATTCATTTGACAACAAAATGAACAAAACTTCAGATACTTGTGCAAAACATATAATCAAGTGAAGGAATTTAAATAAAATACCCCCAGCAAAAATAGTCTGGAGCACAGAACAGACATTTTCCTCTGGGGGTTGAAGGTGGGAAGATGTGTCCAGTTTTGCCTTCTGTGACCAGTTCACCCTGTTGGGCTTGTTTCCAAGGTAAGGTCAGAGCTTGCCGGGTTCTTGCTAAACTGGAGTCTGTAATAAAGAGGGTACCCAGGTGTGAAGAGTTTTATGTTCTCAGGACTTGTTCTTTGTTTATTTAGTTAGCCTTTATTAAGTGCATTGGAGCCTTGGAGGGCTCTGCAGTGGCTTTTGTTGCATGATAAAGGTGGCACATAGCTTTTCTTTGGCTGACTTGGGCTCCCAAGTGAAAAAGGCAGAGAGGGCCCTGCCAGCTTCCCTGGCTCTGCCCCTTCAGGGCATTTCAGGGAGCAGTCCAGTGACTGACGCCAAATGCCCTTGAGCACTGTGCCAGCCCTCTTGACTGGAAGCTGGGGAAGGAAACTTTCTCAGGCCCTCTCTCTCTTTGCTTCTATTTCCCCTTTCATTTTGTGGTCTGAGCAGCCCCCGCCCCTCCTTGCGTAAACCCCTCTGCAGTTAGCATCAACAAATCCCAAGTTGTTTGTATGTGTGTCTAAAAGAAAAATTCTCTGAGGATTAGAAGCAGACACAATAGAGGGAGTGCTCCCTTTTGCTTTAATCACTTCAGGCTCCTACGTGTTGACAGGAAGTTTTGTTAGTATCCAAGTTTAAGGAAAGGAGCATTCAGGGGTGGCATTTTTTTTCCTGCGTTGAATTCTTAAAGTAAGTTTGATAAGATATCTGGTAAACTACAAGCCGCTCCCTTTTTAAATAGGCTTCACTGCCCCCTTGGCCTGCCTGTAAAAGCGCTGCTCCCTTCAAAGGGACCCATAATCACGCCGAGTCTGTGGGTTGCACGACTATACCCACTGTCTTATCTGCAAGTTGAGTTTGATCTTCCTGGCTGAAACCTGTGAGATGTTCCTTTATGTCTCCACATTCTTTTCTTCCCTTTCTGCTCCCAACCCCACCCCCAAATTAATTGGTGTCTGGTGACTTTTTCTACCGCTTCCTCTTGTTTTCTGTGGCTTTTGTCTAGGGCAGTGGGGGAGGGTGATTCTTCCCTCACCCCCAGGGGACATGTGGCAATGTCTGGAGACATTTTTGGTTGCCACAACTGGAGAAAAGGGGCATCTGGTGAGGAGAAGTGAAGGATGCTGCTAAACCTCCTACAATGCACAGTGCAGCCCCCACAGCAGAGAATGATCCAGCCTCAAATGTCACCAGTGCCACCACAAGGAGCCCCTGATCTAGCAGGTTGCTTTCTGGTAGGGTGCTCCTGCTTCTGATATGGCTCCTCCCTCTCTCTCTTCTTCCTCAAGAGGACTGTTCTTGTGTCTAGTATTGGTTACATCACCCCTGCCCTTAAATAACTAAACTCACAGAAGGAGAAAATTTTTCCTTAAGGATGCTACTGACTCTGGAATCCTTGAGTTACATGTGAATAACTGGGTCGTGCATGTCAGCATTAAGAAATAATCACAGAACTCCTGATTCTGGTTTGCTCTGGGTGGCAGCTGTGCTGGGTTTACCAATGGAGGAACTTCATGGCTGCTCATCTTTGACTCTTTTTCTGAGGAACCAAATCTCTCTGGGAGTGCTGGCTAACTCACCCCTTCTTCAAACACGCTGTGTGGCTTCAGGATATGGCTGCTGGCTTTAAAAAAGAAGGAAAAATAAATTAAGACACCCACACTGCAAGACAACCCCTGTGAGTATATGTTATACTGGGAATGCCCCATTTCTCAAATATTTATAAATATATGGTCTCTTGGAGTGTTCTAGGTCTGTCATTTGGGAAGGTTAGACAGCCCTGGGCCACTATCCTTTTTCGTAAGCACAGGGCACTTTCACAAATACCAGATTGACAGCTGGGTGATGCCAAGGGAATGGTGATGTGTTGCCCTGTGTATATCTGGGATGTGTTAGACATCCCTCCCTTCCTTCTTTTTCTTTGTTTTCCCTCCCTCCTTCCCTTCTTCCCTTCCTTCTTTCTTTTTTCTTCCTCCCTCCTTCCCTTCTTCCCCTCCTTTCTTTCCAAGCACATCAGTGAGAATGTAGCACAGCTTGGTTTTCTGAAGTCCGTCAACTACTGTGTACTGCTTGTCAAGAAGGGTGCTATATAAGCTGAAATGCTGCTCTAAATTTCACATTATCCCTTCCTGCTGCTCATTGAGTTATTTAATTAGAAGCTGCCATATTTTCTAGGGAAAACACTTTGAACAGAAGGCCTGATTTCACTGAGAATGGATGCCTTTATTATGTGTCAAGGAGCTAAAAATTGCTAGTAAGATGTCAGTGTGTATATGTATATGAAATACAGAAAAGTGCATGTACATATATGAAGAGCAATCAAAAGAGAAATGCGAAGGGGTTGGAAAATGAAGAGGTGTCAGATCCAGTCGATGATTTGGTTCCTGCTCAGGAGTGTGTAAGCTTCAGTTGGCTCCAGTTTGGCTAACACTGCAATGCCTTTAGTGTCACTGAAGCCGACAAAGAAAGCTGACGCGTTGTTTTTCTAGGGGGAAAAAAAATGCTCTCCTTCCACATTCCCAGTGCAGACAACAGCAGAAAACAGAAATGAGACCGTACTGCCCAGAGTCCACACAGACTCCAACTCAAAGTCTTTGAATTATGTATTCAATTCTTGCCACTTTGCACATTTTCCCTTAAAGAAAAGAGAAAAAAATCAGTTCATAGTAGCTCTTAAAAAGCATGGAGGGGCATTCAGGATTCAATTCATCCTGAGAGGCAGATTTTAAGTTTCATTCTTAGAAGGAGATTTCGTGTTTAGGGTATGACAGTGTGGAGTTCATAGGAAGGGATGTCAGCTAAAACCAACTGCATCCTGTCTTTTGAGTTTGTTTTACCTTTGGTGTCCCCTGTTGACATGTGCCTTTCACTTCGCTTGGAGACTCTCTGGATGTGCAGGCTGCTTCATGTCCTTTAGGCTCTTCTGTGGCAGCCAAGGGGGTTTCCTTTTTTCTTCCCTCTATTTCTGGGCCACAGAGAGGAAAGAACAAAGATGCTTTCCCTGCACTGACTCCAAGTTGAAGCTAGTCAAACTCCCCTCTGAAAGGGGTTAATCATTTTAAAATAGCTCGAGAATAACTTGAAAGTGACTTTCAGTGAACGTGTCCAGAGATCTCTGGATTTAAATCCCCTCCCCTCCTCTCCCTCTCCAGCCAGGTCACCGGATGGGAATGGCTTATTTCTATCTGCCATTAGGTTTTTCAGCCCTGCCGAGAGAGACGCCAGTGCTGGACTTTAATGTGGAGGAAATTCAGTTAAGGAGCATGACATTTCTCAGGTTTCTGGAGAGATGGATGTTTTGGCTTATGTTGAGTGCTACCGACCCCATTTGTCACCAGCAAGCAGGTGGATAGTCCCTTAACCTCTCAGAATGGGGTGAAGGGATGATTTGGACCCTTGCTACTCAAAGTGTGGTCCTTGGACTAGCAGTATCGTCTCCCCTGGGAGCTGGTTAGAGATGCAGAATCAGGGCTCCACTGCTGACCGACTGAATCTGAATTTGCTGTTTAACATGATCCCCAGGTGATTCAGACGCACATTAATGTTTCAGAAGCGCTGGTCCAGGGCAGTGGTTATCAAATTTGAGCATATATTGGAATTTGTTTCAACAATCCTATTAAAACACAGATTGCTCAGCCTTACTCTCAGAGTTTTGAATCTATCAGGTTTGGGTCAGGGCCAGAGAATCTGCATTTCATCCTTTTTTCTTTTTTTTTCAGACAAGGTCTCACTCTGCCGCCCAGGTTTGGGTACCGTGGCACAATCATAGCTCACTGCAGCCTCAAATTCCTAGGCTGGTCTTGAACTGCTGGCCTCAAGTGATTCCCCTGCCTCAACCTCCCAAAGTGCTGGAATTTCAGGCGGGAGCCACCCTGCCAGCCAAATCTGCATTTCAAACAGGTTCCCTGGTGATGCCCATGCTTCTGGTGAGGTGGAGGAGCACACATTGGGAATAGCTGCTCTCGAGGAACCCTGGCCCTTCTGGCAGCCTTTATTTCTCTCTCCATGGAAACCCTCGCACCAGCCAGGCTACCCTTGCCCCCTGCCTCATGCTTTTAATTCCCTTCCCCTTCCTCCTTTTGGAGAGGCCAGTACCTCCCCCTTATAAACCTCCCCCATTTCCTAGCTGTGAATCCAAACCCACACTTTCCTTTCCTGGCCACTCTGAGCTTTCTCATCCCCCTTCAGTGGCCCCCCAGTTCTTCCCCTGGTGCCCCAGCCTTCCCAGTTAGATTGCAAGCTGGAAGTGGGCCTCCCCCTCCCTCACTGTCCCCCTAATCCATCACCAGGATCATTCATTTCACTGCCCAGTGTCTCTCAGATCCCTCTTCTGCCCTCTACCCTAACTACCACCCCTGTGGTCTAAGCCCCATCTTCTCCTGCAGCTGTCTTTGGAGGTCTCCTTGTAGCCTCTCTTGCATTTGTCCAGTCTCTTTTCTACTATCAAGTCCAAGTGACCTATTCAAAGTTTCCCGCACCATTATTCCCCCCTCCTCCTCTGCCACTGCTTCAGCTCTTTCTGTGACACCATTGGTCGTAGCCTACAATCCTGAGCATGGCCCTGAAGGCCTCTAGGGTGGGCCCTGGCTATGCTTCTGTCTTTCTCTCTGCTGCCCTCCCTTGGCTTTGTGCTGCAGCCACGCTGGCCTATTTTCAGGCCCCCACAGGGCCTTTGCACAAGCTGAGGTGCTTTCTCCAGCCCCACCTCACCTGCTTAGTGCCTCAGCATCCTGCCAATGGCCCCTCAAGCTTCCCCAGGGAGGCTTTCTCTGACCTTCTCCAGCCAGTGAGATTCCTTTGTTGTTGACCCTCCTTCTTATCCTCATAGTGCTTTTTGCCCTATGCAGTTATATATCCAAAGTGTGACAATTGGATTAATGCGTGTCTCTCCTGCTAGACTGTAAGTTTCATGGAGTGAGGACCCATTCATTTGTGTTGATTCTTGTCTCCCCAGGAGCTGGTATCTAGAATGCACCCAACAAATATTTGTTGGTGAAGCCAGTGGGATCCTTTGCAGCTCCATGCAGTGGTTCACACCCCACATAGACTCCTAAAATATGACACTGGAAAATGAAAACTTTTTAAAATTGTTTTAAATATATAAGAATTCAGCTCTGAATGTCTAGATAATTGGTAGCATGAATTGGCCCTCGAGGTCAGGAAGACTTCTTTGCTCTGGTTTTAATTAGTGCAAAGCGGAAGCCATTTCTATGTAAATGAATCAATCCATCGAGGCACACTTCTTTAGCCCTGATTATATGCCAGGCACTGGACCGGAGCCCCAGGAAACAAAGATGAATGATATAGTCCCTGCCCTTGAAGGGAGGAAAAGCAGATGGCTGGTCCCTGGAGACCTTCCTAGCAGTAAAGAATTCAGTAACAGTATGGACGATGGCACCAGAAGTGTGCCTTGAGTTTCGTATCAACCTCAGTGCTCCCCTCACTGTGCATTTGAAGGCTTCCTCCTTTACAAAGACAAGAGCAAATTCAGAGAGCCTGAGACGTCACCATGAGATATGGTCTATAGAATGTCTCCCAGGAAGGGATGAGATCTTGGCCCTTCAGTGAAAATGCCAACATTATTGGAAGAAAGCCCAGACCAAGGCAGGGGCTAGGGCTGGGGTTCTGGAGTAAACTAACTGGCATATAATCAGGGCTAAAGAAGTGTGCCTCGATGGATTGATTCATTTACATAGAAATGGCTTCCGCTTTGCACTAACCTGGGTTCAAACCCTGGCCCGGCCACTTACTGGTGGGCAACTTGGGCCCTTTTCTTAACTTATCTGAGCCTTAGTTTCTCATCTATGAAATGGGTATAATAGCTTCTACCAGTAGAGCCATGGGGAGGAATAAATAAAATCCTGAGTGTGAGGCATTCAGCACAATGCCTGTAGTATAGAGATGCTGAATCTATTGTTATGATGAGTATTAGCTCTGCAGAGCAGGGCCTACCAAAGACCTACGTGGATTTTTCTATAATGAACAACAACCATCACCAGAAAAGGCCAGTAAGTTGCTGGCAAGTGTCTGCCCCGCCCACCACACAGGAGTGTGGGGGCAGCAAAGACATGGGAGAGGGCCAAAGCTCTTAGAGAAGTGAAAGTCATTGGCATGGCTCTATATGGAATCGTCTCCAGTGTGTGAGTCTGTGTGCTTAAGTCCTTTACAGATTTTTCGGCAACCTTTTTTTGTAAGGTTGCTCGTTGATTTTTATTTTTTTGAGTGAGACAGGGTTTTGCTCTGTCACCCAGGCTGGAGTGCGATGACACGATCATGGCTCACTGTAGCCTCGACCTCCCAGGCTCAAGTGATCCTCCTGCCTCAGCCTCCCAAGTAGCTGGGATTACAGGCATGCACCACCACGCCTGGCTAATTTTTGTATTTTTTCTATAGAGACAGGGTCTCTGTATGTTACCCAGGTCTTGAACTCCGGAGCTCAAGCAGTCCACCTGCCTCTGCTTCTCAAAGTGCTGGGATTACAGGTGTGAACCACTGGCCCTGGCCTTGTTGACTTTTAAAATTATGACTTTTAAAGCAATCAGGGAATAATCACTTTCAAGTACTGAGCACAAAGTGATGACTCCTGCTAGGAAGATGGACAGGGCTGGGGTCATAGGCATGGTCTTGGGTCTTGGAGAACTGAGTTTGCTTCCTGACACAGCCCTTTGGGTCCCATGACCTTGGGCAGCCCCCACAGCCTCTCTAAGTCTTGCTTTCATGGCCTGCACTATGAGGTTAATAGTAATGCCTATTCTGAGGGCTGTTTTGAAGATTACATGACATAAATACAGAAATGTCTAACACTATGTCCAATAAATTGTTGTTTCTCTTCTCTTGCCATTAATATGCACTTTTCTTGAGCAAAAGTCTTGTCAGCACTTAACAGAATTAATTACAAAACCTAATTAAGGGAGTCTATAAGTGTGATATTTTACTGTTTTCTCCCTTTTGATGATGAGTTCTCTAACCTACTGAGAGGAAGAAAGCCTTCTTCGGACTGTTGCCTGAAAGGTCATTGTGTGTGTGTGTGTGTGTGTGTGTGCATACACACGTGTGTCTACTCTCACATTAACACACTTTGCCCAGGATGCATTCATGATGCCCTGGCAGCCAGTGGGTCTTTGGAAGGAATTCATAGGATTGAGACTATGAGTTGATTTCATGAGCAGAAAATTGTATATTTTGATGAGAGAACATTAGAGAATGCCTCCTGAAGAAGAAGGTCACAAGGAGGCCAGTGTGGTTAGCGATGCCTGGGACATTGATTTTGGGAAGTAATGCCATGTTTTTCTTCCCCCAGGCCTATAGCTACCTTTGCTTAGCCAGCACACGCCCTCATGTTGGAGACCTAGGTGGCTCTTGGTGGATTTTTGTGTTGCTGTAGCTTTCCTGTTTTGAAAGTTAGGGACAAGAGCTCAGAAAGCAGCAATGTCTTCAAAGAGAGAAGTTAAAATTCTAGTTATGACTCTAATGACTCTAGTGGCCCCATAAATGGCAACTCCCCAGGGTCTATGGCTTCATGAGAGACCCTTGGCCAAATCCACTGTGGGGTTCCAAAATTTAATTGTATGGACTCTTCCAAGCATAAAGGCAAGTTTATAAAAAATCATTTCCAACAATTTCCACAGGCCCTGGTTGTTTGATTCAGGAACTGAATAAGTGCCCAGATTCATGTTCAATGTTTGTCCTTGCTTTTCTAGCAGATGCTATTGGTGCCCACCCACAAGTTCTTGGCATCTGGTGTCCCAGTGCACACCTGGAGAGTGTCCTACTCCAAGTGTCTGCAGTTCTCTTCCTGAGGGCTTTCTGTCAGCCTTCGAGCAGGGCAGGCCCAGAGTGCCTGGGGATTAATGTTCCTGAACAGCCTTCAGTCAATGAAAGATGAGAGCTGGAGAATCAATACCCTAGCTTCCTCACTTCTCAGGTGGGCCAGCTCTGAGCTGTGTACTACAGTGTCTCCCAGAGTCTCCAAACAAGATTGAACCTCAGTTGCCTGTGGCAGAAACCTGTTTCATAACCTACCTTTATAGCTTCCTTCCCTTCCCCGTCTCACTTACCCCCTCTCCCACTATGTTTCCTGAAAGCATCTCCCAAACATATCCCACCATTTCCTCTGACCTTGGGGATTTCTTGAGATTTTGTCCCTCTTCTATAAAATGATGGTCACAGGTTGCTTCTGCTGGGGTGTGATAGGTGGATCAGGTGGAACAATGATTTGTTGCATGGGATGAACTGAGCATTCCAGGTCATCTAGAATCTCTGTGCCTACTAGAAGCAGTAAGGAAGGCCCTCTCCTAGTCACAACCAAAAGCACCCCCAACACTGCCATATACCTGTAGGGGGCAGCACCATCCCTAGTCAAACACCGCTAACAGATATTTCTCGTCTGCTCTAGTTTTGACATCCTAAGGTGAGTTGATTGATCAAGAACCTCAGACTGGGATAGCGCCCACCATGGTATATTTCAGTCTGGGGAGTGGTGAGGAGTGGCCGAATGCTAACTTTTTCTTTTAGAGACAGGGTCTTGCTCTGTCACCCAGGCTGGAATGCAGCAGTGTGATCACAGGTCCTCACTGCAACCTTGGACTCCTGGGCTCAAACAATCATTTTGCCTCAGCCCCCCAAGTAGCTGGGACCACGGGTGCCCACCACCACACTCGGCTATTTTTTAAAAAGCTTTTTGTAGATATGGGATCTTGCTACATTGCCCAGGCTGTTCTTGAACTCCTGGGCTCAAGTGATCCTCCCATCTTGGCTTCCCAAAGTGCTGGGATTACAGGTATGAGCCACTGCACCCAGCTGGTAACTCTTGAATAGATTCTGTATTGTCAGAAATAACCACTGACTTGCCTCCTTCCTGAAATGTCGAAGAAGGGAACATTTAACTCATTCCCTCTGCTTCCCTAAACTCCTTGGCCAAGTTCCCCCTTCATTCATTTGACAGGTCTTCCCTGTGTCTGTAGCTGGTGATGAACTTTAAAAACTTGCATTTGGGCTGGGCGCAGTGGCTCACGCCTGTAATCCCAGCACTTTGGGAGGACAAGGCAGGCGGATCATGAGGTCAGGAGATCAAGACCATCCTGGCTAACACAGTGAAACCCCGTCTCTGCTAAAAATGCAAAAAATTAGCCAGGCGTGGTGGCGGGTGCCTGTAGTCCCAGCTACTCAGGAGGCTGAGGCAGGAGAATGGTGGGAACCTGGGAGGCGGAGCTTGCAGTGAGCCGAGATCGCGCCACTGCACTCCAGCCTGGGCAACAGAGCGAGACTCCGTCTCAAAAAAACAAACAAACAAAAAACAAACAAACAAACAAAAAACTTGCATTCGGACCTATGTGTGTTCCAAAAGCACTGGCTCTTTCTTACAGCCAGCTCATCCCTGGGCAATAACATCTCCAGCTGTCTCTACCTAGTCAGAGATCCATGTGTAGAGTATAGAGGGAAGGAAAAAGTACTGGAAGGGTTGCTCCTTCTGAGTCAGAGTCAGATTTGTGATTTATTGATTTATTCCTGAACCATTTGTTGTTCTGCTAGTGGGGTGGTTTGGGATTTTCTCTTTCTTACAGAAAAGTTAGAGGAACCCAATAAATTGCTTCTTTTTCTTTAAGAAAATCTAAAAGTATATTCTTGTGTGGGCAAGATAGGTCTCACTTATGCCACACACCTAACCACTGTCTGACACGTAGGAAACTTTCTATAAATGGGTACTGTGTTGACTAATCAACAAGTTGTTCTTGTTCGTTGCATGAAACCTTTGAGAATGTTTCTTTGCAAAGCCTCTTTTTTTCCATTCTAAGACGGTATTTGAAGACCATGCTACCAGGCTTTTATGGTGTATGGTGAGTTGAATTTTTCCAGGAAGGAAACTTTTGGGGAATTCTAATCTTGATTTTCTATAAAGTGATTGAACTGTGGAGATAAATTGAAATATGAGTCATGAAATGTATTGAAATAGCAGCAAAGTCTTGCCAGATGGAAAGCAAAGCAAAGACTCTTGTCATGTCCAAGCAAGACAAAGACCAATTTACAAAAAAAGGATAAGTGGGGCATCTTCCTTCCATCTGTCCCATCTCGGGCACGTATATGGCACCAAACTTGAAGTGAAGTTTCTGGTAGATGTTTTGCCTGTTCTGTTAGGTTTTGGAATCAGCAAAACTGACCAGCTAAGTTCGATCAAAAGCACCATTAGGAGATGAGAGCTTTATCTTTAAATGTGATCCAAGCATAATGAACAATGAAATTCCTGTGATTAAAGGTTTAAACTGGAGCAAATCTACACCTAGAAGAAGACAGAATCTCTTTGGATGAGGAGGAGAAAGCAAAGTGAATTGGAAGTAAATTATGTAGCTGAAAAACTTCCAGTAATATGCTTCCTAGCCTGCCCCAGGCAGAGATAAGGACAGGGTCCTGCCTGGTGCTATCCTGAGCTAACTTCTCAAAAATCAGACACTTTGGAGGTGAATTTCTGTAAAAGGACAAAGTTGAACTTCAAAAAAGAAAAGTATCAGGTCCCCCCAAAATGGAGGTGGCCTGTTGGCTCAGCAGAGTGGCTAAGTCAAGTAGGAAATGTGGTGTCTGGCCTAGCAGTGACAGGAGACTATGTTGCATTAGGGGTTAGACAAAGGTCAGCAAAGCCAAAGGGTTTAAAAGAGGCGGGAGTGGGGACTGTCCTGCTCAGCTTCCTGACCCGCCAGGCTGATGTCAGAGGGTTTATTCAGATTTGAGGGCTTTTGTTTGGGGGGATTGGAGTGATTCCTAAGAGACAATGCCCGACTGGAGGCTGGGGGCACGCGACGCCTGAATTGAATTTGGGCAGTTGCTGAGCAGATGGGGATCAGAGGGGAAAACAAAAGGGAAGCTGTTCCCAGCACATCCACAGGAAGGGAGAATTGCAGAGCCAGCCACGGGCAGGAGGGCTTCCTGCTCAGCCTGGCTGTGGAGGCCTCCAGTGCCCCCATCTTGCGGAAGGCCAAGCATTCCCAGGGCTAGTGGGACTTTGGCTCTTTCGCAGAGAGGAGAGAGGGTGGAATTGGAGGCAGGTCAGGAGCATGAACTTCTTGAGTTCAGATTTCAGGTTTGTGCATTTCCTCATCTGCAGGCTGGCAAGGTTCCTGGACTCATATAGTCTCACACCCTCATTTTCAGGTGCGGGAGCTGAGACCTGTAAAAGTGCACTGCCTTTCCTGGACTCTGTCAGTGTCTTAGGTTGGCTTCCTCTAAAAGCAGACATGACATGAGGAATGGAGCAAATGCTCTTTGCTCAGGGGGGTCCTGGAAGCAGTGGTTAGGGCCTGGAGAGGTAACACAGGGACGAGAAGGAAGCTGACATAGGTGCACTAAAGAGTAGGCTCCCAGCGTGGGCAATTGGGGCTTCGTCCTGTTGGGGACCTCTGGGAAACTAAGCAGAACACACGTCAGAGTTTCCTGCCTAGGAGGTGAGGAAGCTGGGGTGTTCTTCATAATTCCTGCCCTTTGCTGATTGCTCCCAGAGATGTTGAGTCCTGGCACTTCTGTGCTCCAGTGACCAGAGAAAGCCCTCAGGGAGAGGGTCATAGGTGTACGGAGCAAGAAGCCATGAACACGTGCAAAGTGGGAAGGGGCTTCACCGGATAGATTTCTGGTCATGCTCTCATCAATTTCCTTAGCTTGTGGGGAAGCCAACCTTTCTGAGGCCAGGAAAGCATTTCTCTGGGTGCCCAATGTTGCACAGACAGATCAAAACCGCTTTTCTTTGCTCTTAAGTGGGGCGTACACTTCTCTTCTTCCTGGGAGCGCATTAGATGTCCAGGTTGGATGTACAGTGACTCTCCCTCTCTCCTGCTTCCCTGTCTAGCCACTGCCCTTGTCTTTCTGCCTCCCTTTCAGCCAGGCTTTTTGGCTTTCCATTTTATTTCCAGTAAAAGCCAGAGTCCCAAGCACCTACAGGAGTCTACATGATGGGCACATGCCCTCTACCCACATGCGTCTCTCATGACACCTCTACCATTTTTCCTCTTTCTCACTGCATCCCCACTGCATTGCCCCCTTGTTGCTTCTTAAGCCTACCATATATGCAGGGTCTTCCTTCAAGGCCTTTGCCCTTGCTGTTCCCTCTGCCTGGAATGCTTTCCCCTGAAAGCATGGCTCTGGCTCTTTCCTCTTTAGGAGAGAGTCATATCTTGCCTTATTGGTTAGTGAGGCCCTTCCCAACTACCCCATTTAAAACAGCACACAACCACTCCCTTTCTCTGTCCTCCTTCCCTGCTTGATGGTTCTCCACAGTCCTTAATGCTCTGCGACATAGCATATAATTGGTTTATTTAACTTTACACCATGTATCTGCTTCTCTGCTTGGCCTTTCTTGAATATAAGCTTCATGGGGTCAGAGACCTGTGTCTGGTTCACTGCTGTATCTCCAGTGCCTAGAATTGTGCCTGGCACATAGTAGATGCTAAACAAAATTATCGAATGAATGATCAGTGGCAATTAGAACATGTTTTCTCTTTTTCCTCCCTTCTCTAGCTCCTAGCACATGTCTGGGACCTTTCTGCCCTAAAATTGAAGCATCCCCAGGGAAGTTTCTCCTTGTGCAGTAGACAGAACAGAGGCTTTGGACCCTAGCAGACCTTGGTTGGAACCCCTAGGTTCAAAATCCAGCTCCTCCAAAATTCTAAACATTACCAGCTCACCAATATCCAGCTCTCCCCTCCTTTGGGCACATGGAATCTTACACTCCTCAGTGCTCTTTAATGGGGCAGGGTCACATGACTAGTTCTGGCCAGTGGGCTTTCAGTATAGAAGAGCAGGTGTGAGGTTTCTGTTTGCTCTTGTCACCTGCCTCAGCAAACCCTGAAGCCACATGTGGAGATGGTGGAGCCTGTGTCAGCCTGGATCCCTGAGTAATCATGTGGAACAGAGGCTTCCACTATCCTGCTTTGGACATGTGATGTGAACAAAAAGCAAACCTTTAATATTGGAGTTATTTGTTGCTACAGCATAACCTAGCCTATTCTAACCAATAGAATTAAGTACTAGTGGTGTTGCTATGGGAAAGTCATTTCACTCTGAGCCCATACTTTCTCATTCGTTAATAATCTTTGTACCATAGGGCAGATGTTCAACATGGTATGTTGAACACACTCATACTTTAACTTATGACTTCCACAGTAACCCTAGGGAGGAGTTGCTGAGGACTCCATCTCTCTTACAGATGCAATATCTCAGCCAGGTAGACATAGCATTATGCCTTTACATTCAGAAAAGGAAGCAAATTCTGTGACATGGGACTATCAGGGGGTTTCTTGGTGCATTTGGGCCTTGACCTGGGTTCTTTAGAATGGCAAATTTTGCCACCAGGAAAAGGCAGAAGAGATTGTGAGTGATAAAAGCTAAAGCAGTCTGGGCCAGAAGAGCTACATATGAGTTCTGTGTCTATACAGCATGTGACTTTGTTATTTGAGAAAGTAGAATGTCAGGTTGAGGGAGAGAAAAACAGATCAGGCCAAAACTACTAGGCATCTGATTTGGGTGGTGGAGAGAGGGTGGGCAGAAGAGAACAGAAATGATGAAATCTGGATCCTAGTTCTTGATAAACCGTCAACCCTCTGAAGAACTTGGGAAAATTAATTTCACTTATCTGAACTCTGGTTAGGGCAAAACACAAGTCATTTCCCAAGAGTCTTTAAATAATGAGCATCATCACAATTGTAAGGGCTCACACTGATTGAATGTTTATTGTGTGGGCTGGGCACGGTGGCTTATGCCTGTAATCCCTGCACTTTGGGAGGCCAAGACGGGTGGATCACTTGAGCCTAGGAGTTCAAGACCAGCCTGGGCAACATGGCGAGACTCCGTCTCTACAAAAAATTAGCTGGGCATGGTGGTGTGTGCCTGTAGTCTCAGCTACTTGGGAGGCTGAGGCGGGAGGATTGCTTGAATCTGAGAGGCAGAGGTTTCAATGAGCCAAGATTGCACCAATGTACTCCAACCTGGGTGATGGAGTCAGATCCTGTCTAAAAAGTAAATTAAAAAAAAAATTTATTATGTACTCCTTGCCTTGCCTTTAGTGGATTACTTGAATCAACCCATGTGACTTTCTCCACAATGCCATGTGATAGACACTGCCATTGTTCTCATTTCACAGATGAGGAAACCAAGGCACAAAGAGGTTAAGAGACTTGCCTGGAGTTAAGTAGCAGAGTTGAGAGTCAAACTCAGATAGTCTGACTTCAGAGCCAGGTTTGAATGTGACTGGTTCCTGCACAAGGCTTTTCTATGAGATGCGTAAAATGCTTTAGTGGACAAATCTTTCCATTTTTCCCTCTGGAGGGGGTTTAAGTGGTATTTGTCTTCCTTCTACCTCACAGGGTGATTGTGAAGGTGAACAGCTTAGTAACATACTGGGAGTGGGAGTGGTGATACAGCCCACTCTGCAATGCAGGGTGTGTGGTTAAACCTGTAAATTGAATGTTGATAATGATAATGATTTTTACTTTACAGATAACATTTATCACATGTTAATAAAATATAAAGTAAGATGCACGTAAGTAAAGAATGTAGTTACTCTGTCCAGACCCTCTGGAATTTTTTAAGGGTCTTTCCCCCACTTCAGCTTTGATGGGCTTTCAGCGGCCAGCCCTGCAGCTCATCTTTGGACTATTGGACCTGCATTGATCCCAGGATGAAAGAGCCCAAGGTATCTGAGTTTGCGAACACACACACACACACACACACACACACACACACACACACACACACACTTTAGCCAAAGACTGATGGGTACAAGAGCCCAGCTGCCTTACCTCAAATTGAGACAACTTTGAGGTGTAAACTCACACTCTAGAGTTCCCTGTGCGACCTCAGTGGAACTTTGCTGGAGACCTTCGCCTTGCTTAGCTCTTGCCCTTCTCTCTTGGGAGCATCTCTTATCCAATAGCTTGTAATCCCAATTTCCTTGGGAAACAATGAGAAGAGAAAACATTGAAAAACAAACCAGTAGGGACATCTAAAGCTTCAAAAGAGGCATGGCAAGGAGGGCTTGATCTTCTTGGTTTGACAAGTCATTGTTTGCTGATTGCTTGACATCCATTACAGAGCCAGGCCTGCCACAAGCCATCTCTGCCCTACCTCCCTGCCAACATTGTCCTGCAAGACGGCCAGGGCCTTTTGAAGCAGCCTGTGGAGAGCCTGCCAGGGTTCTGTGTACTTGCATGCCTGCTCTCCGGTTGCAGAGGAGCAGTTTTTACATTTCTGCCACTTGCCTGACCTGCTGCGGCAAAGCAGCCCACTGGGGAAACTTGGCATCACTGCCTGGCACTGGTGCTTATTCCTTCCTGGCATTGGCCCATGCCAGCAGGAACAAGGACAGTGCCAAGCATGCCACCATGGTTGTGCCAACCAGTTCCACTGCAGCAGTGCCCTGAGGATGCTTGAACCTGCCTGGCTGTCATTACAACTAATGCCAAAGACATTGAAGGGGGTTGGCCATTTCCTTGCAATTTTCTTTCTCCAAGCAATTGTGGCTTGCTGGGTCAGCTTCAGAAGCATTTATTATTCACATGTCTGAATCCAGAGAAGGTAGAGCTTCTACAAAGTGACACAAAGGGAACTTTTCCTTATGGAAGTCCTGAATCCAGAGAGAGAGAGAGAGAGAGAGAGAAATGGGTGAGAAACAGACCACAGAGACAGAGAAAGTTGAGGCGTGTAGTACTCAGACCTGGGTTCAACCTCAAAATCCATGACTTCTAGGCTGGATAACCTTGGGCAAGTTATATGAGCATTCTAAGCCCCAGTTGTCTCGTCTACAAAATTGGTAGAATAATTATATCCAGCTTGTAGGATTTTTATGAGGAGTAAAGGAGATATAAGTAATAACACAGTATATAACACACAGTATTTATTCAATTAATGTTAGCTGTTATGATTACTTGTATATTATTAATAATGTCCTCATATATGTTTTATCCTCTGGGGGAGGTGGTATAAACCAGTGCTTCTCAAACTTTAGTACATAATAATCATCAGGAGAGTTGGTCAAAATGCAGATTTCTGAGCCCTGCCCCCAGAGATTCTGATTCTACAGGTCTTTATTTGTAACAAATTCCCTGGTGCTACTGGTGATGTTGGCCCACGGGTCACACTTTGAGCGGCAGCATTGGTATAAGCCACAGGGCAGCATTATCCTTATCTGCAACAGATATTCTGATGCATTTGAGGGATGGATACAGTGCGTTTCGCCTTAGTTCTTGCTTTACCTGCCTGCAACTCCTATTCCATTTGGCTGCAGAATGAATGCTTAACATTGTCCTAAGCACTGATAAGATGAAAAGGCAGAAGCTAATGCCTGGAAAAACTAACATAACTAGGAAATGCTTAGAGCTTGAAGGTTGATCCCATTGCTGAACCTGACGCTACTTAGAAGTCAGAACATATTCCAGTCACAGATAAGTATGGGTTCCTCTTCCCAGGGAAGGCAGACGGAGCTGATGGAAGGAAAACATGCGCATTGTCTGCTTCTCTTGTACAGAGGTCATGCAGGGAGGAAAATAAGGGTGCTTCAGAAATACTCTGTAGGCAGTTCTTGTTTTTTTTGTTTTGTTTTTTGTTTTTGTAGTTATGAGACATGAAATCAAAGACTATTACTATCAAAATAAGAGGCTAGATGGCTCTCCATGTCCTGTCAATTTCCCCTAACATCTTCCTGTGTCAGTGCTTCTCTTCAGAGTTCGGGATTTTGCTCCCTTTTCCATGCCCCCTCCTCTTTTTCCTTTTGATACCAGGAGCTACTTCACTTAAAAGTGCCTGGATTCTAGGAGTACCTTGGTTTGGGGCCCTTCAAGGCCAAAATGAAGATAAAGAGATGGAGCTGCGGGGCATATATAAATCATGGTTTCTTTCTTATAATTTCTTTCCAGATTGTTCTAATTGCCCACAATTAGGAAATGTCACTTTTATAGTCAGAAAACCTAGATAATATTTTCTTTCAATCAAGATTGATTAAGTCTGTCCATAGCCTATAACAATAGCTAATATCTCTTAAGTGCTTTGTCTCAGCCAGGCAGACGCTATGCTAAGTATTATCATGTATAACGTCATTTAATTCTTGCTACAAATTGAATGAGATTAGAATTGTTGTCCCCATTTTATAGATAAACAAATGGAGACACGAAGAAGTGAAGTGACTTGTTCAATGTTGTAGGGCTGGAAAGCGACAGAGATAGGATTTGAATCCGACAATTTGGACTCAATTTTTAACCATGATGCTTTGTGTATAATCCCCACCATGTAAAAAATATAAGCCAGGCAAAAATTCAAGAAGGAAATGTATCAACATTTGACATTGATTTGTCTGGATGGTGCAATGGTACGACTATGGACTTTTTTCCTTCTGCTGATTTTCTGATTATTTTCTCAATGACCATATACTATTTTTCCAATAAAAATACTTTATTTATTTATTTATTTATTTTTATTTGAGATAGAGTCTCTGTCTGTTGCCCAGGCTGGAGTGCAGTGGCGCGATCTTGGCTCCCTGCAACCTCTGCCTCCCGGGTTCAAGCGAATCTCCCTGCCTCAGCCTCCTGAGTAGCTGGGATTACAGGCACCCACCACCATGCCTAGCTAATTCTTGTATTTTTAGTACAGACGGAGTTTTGCCATGTTGGCCCGGCTGGTCTTGAACTTCTGACCTCAGGTGATCCACCTGCCTCAGCCTCCCAAAGTGCTGGGATTACAGGCATGAGCCACCACACCCAGACAACACTTTATTTATTAATTGGAAAAAATCACTTAGCTCAGTCTCTTTCCTCCAAGTTCAATGTCTAAAGTCATCCCGGGCAGATGATCTTTTGTTATTCTGTGAAGAGTCCCAGCGACACTAACTCTGCAGGAGCTAGTCAGTTTGGTTAATCATTCCATAGATTTACCTATGTGAGGCCCCAGAACTGGCTGACTCCATTTTCAGGATGGAAGGACTGCTTGTAATCATGTGCTCTCCCTGCTGGGCAGGGACCTGCTGTCAGGAGGCTGTGCCCTTTGAGCTGTTCCTCCAGGTGTTGAAATGAGCTTGTGCTGATCATCCAAATTCCTGCTTAGCCACCTTCATGCCCCAAAGCCTGCATTGAAGAGTGTGATGGCCAGGGCTAGAGATCAAACTTGTGCCCTTGGCCTCTTTATTGATCTGGGGAGGCTAATTGCTGGAACAAGCAATTCCCAAATCTCAGCAGCTTAATACAATAGACATTTATTATTTGCTCGGCTAATAGTCCCATTTCAACGTTTTCTGTTTCAACATTTGGCAGGAGGTCCTCCACCTGGTCGTTCGGAAACCAGGCTCTTCCACTCTAGAGTTTTCCGTTGGATCGTCTATACCTGGCCAGTCCACAGAGGAATCTTACCGGTAGGAGATGTCTGTGGGCCAGGTTTGGAAGTGGTGTACATCACATTGGCCAGGACTCATTCACATGGGCACCCCTGACTGTAAGAGCAATTGGGAAATGTAGTCCAGCTCCTGCCTGGGGAGTCCATAGCTGTCTCTGCCATGGGCCCATTCATTTGTTCAATAAATATTTTTGGAGTGTCTGCTGTCCAGGTACTCCATACATTGGTCAGTGTCCAGGCCCATGGACATTGTTTGTGTCCTGTTTGCTGTAGGAATGAGGCATTTTGTCTGTTCTCTAGGTCAGAGCCAGATTTGGAAGGGTCCTATTCAAGTCCAAGCGGAGGTCACTGTGCCTGACTTCTAATCTTTTGGAGGAGTGCACAAGGTGCTGTTACCCCTACAAACACCATAGTTCCCATATCAGTTGGGATTCAGCCCAGAGAAGAGCAACATGCCAATTATTTTAACAGAGAATTTAGCAGAAGGCATTGGTTAAACAGATCTTAGAGGATGGAAGAGGCAGAAAGTGTAGCAGAGATGGGAACTGCAGAAAGCAGAGAACACCCTTAAGACTGGGCTGACAAAGGGAAGGGATTAAGGTTATGAGAACTTTGGAGTTAATACCCTGCAGAGCTGAGACCCAGACACCTGAGGAGGAAGTGCTGCCTGGCTAGTGCTGGTGTCTCAGAGGGGGTACAGTGAGACTGGCTCAGGGACTGCCAAAAAAAGGGACTAGATTCTGGGGCCAATTGCCACTGCCTGAATGTAGGGCTATTATTAGGGAATGCTCATGGAAACAGGAGGAAAGGGAGGCACAAGCCCCTTCTTCTTCCTCCATCCTGCCATTCTCTGTCTCATTCCCCTCCTGGCAGGGCCAAACAGGGTGCAGCTGGCAAAACAGAAATGAGGTGTGCAGAGTCCCAGCCCTAGTATCACAGGGCAGAGTATAGAAAAAGTGGGTTTGAAACTGAGAGACAATAACTTAAAAAATGGTGCGGGGGCTTTGTTTCAAGCTCACACAATTTATGTTTTGGCTACATGGTGCAACCACAGTGGAGCTTCAAGGGGTCACTCACCCAGAGAAACCTCTGAGTATGATCTATTCATTCATTCATTGGTTCACTGAGCACATAACTGAATGCCAGGCATGTGCTTGGTACTGGAGATAGAGCTATAAATAAGGCAGTTCTTGCCCACAAGGAGCTCACACCACACCTGTACACACATGGCACACACATGCACACATATATGCACGTGACATAAATGAAACAAGGAATGGAGAAGCACTGAAAGATCTGGAATTAAAGACACAGGGCTTTTTTATTCTTGGCTGCTGCCACTGAAAGATTGCGTAGAAATGAGTTTAGCTTTTCTCATTGAAGAAAAATGAGAGGAGGAGAAGGTGGCATTTAACACGTCCTTGGCATGGCATGATCATTGATTGTTCTGCTGCCTGGACTTGTTCTACTGATCAGGGGTCAGATCAAGTGGAGGTTGACCTTGACTCAACAGAATGAGAAAAGTATAAAATAAATGAGGGCAGTCAATGTATGCTGGCCTCTTGGAGGCCTCTGCTTTCCTCCCTGGGGTCCAGGAGGAGTCTGCTCCTTTTCTTTGCACCCTTCAGGCATTTGCTGCAGGGTGCCCAGAGCTAAACTTTTTCTTGCATTGGGAAGGTGGTACATTTTCCATGATTCTGTGTGAGTGGAGAAGAAGGGCCCTGCAGGTATGATTTTTTCCTTTAGTGTAACAAGTTTTCCACATGGGTGTCCTCATTTGACATTAATTGAGCACCTGCTGTGTGCCAGTCACAAACAACCAGACAGACTCTGTGGATTCAAAGCAGTGAGCAGTGGGCGCTGCTGAGCCCATCCCTACCCCTCTGATCCAGGCAAGTCACGAGTCATCTGGATACCCCCTTTTTTCGTGTATTGAGCATCATGTTGCAGGGAAGCCACATACTTTCCTTGAGCCTCTGTTTTCTCATCTGTAAAATCGGAAGTGAGATTAGATGAGCTCAGGAGTCCAGCCAGTATTCATTCAGAGCCCACTCTGTGCCATACTCTGCATGTCTCTAGGCTGTCATTATGGTGACCCATTTAACTTAGCATCTCCCATACAGTCCTGATTTTATATAGTTTAATTCCTTTCAATAAAGGGACGTTCTAAATATATAACCAAATGTGATTTAATGTTTTCTGTTTTCTTTAGACATTTTATCTGAGTTGGGAAAAATGAGGCTAAGTGTTAGAGGTGGTGGCTATGGGGAAGTAATGCAGGTGTTTCTGTTATCTCTTGCTGTAACTTAGTGACTTACAGACACATACACTTATTCTTTCTCATGATCCTGTGGGTCAGCTGGGCAGACTGCCAGGTCTGAGCTGACTCAGCAGGGCTGGAAGGTCTAGGATGGCCTCACCTCCATGGCTGGCGTCTCAGCTGCAGCAGCTGCATTGTTGGGTCCTCTCTCCATGTGGTCTTGTGCCTTCCAGGAGGCTAGTCCGGGCTTGTTCACATGGTGGTGGAAGGGCCTGCAGAAGCAAGCAGGAGAGGACAAGCCTGGAAGCACAGGTGTTTCTTCATGTCTCTGCTTGAGTCAGACTTGCTATTTTCTCATGGACCAAAGCAAGTTGCAAGACCAAGCCAGAATCAGCATAGGTGGGGAGGACCCAAGGGCCATTCTGCACACAGTTTTTGCTTGATGTAATAGATACCAGATACATTCTGGAGGCTTGTTTCCACAAGGGGGCTGGCTGGCTAGAGGGAGGCCAACTGTGAAGGTGTCAAGGACATGGAGCTTGATAAGAAAAATGGTGAGGCCATTAAGAGCCAGGAAACCAGAAGGAAGAATAGATTTGACGAATGAGTTTTTTTTTTTCCCATGCAGATTGGGGTGCAGATGGGTCTCACACCAGTGCTATCTAACAGACTGCTTGAAGTCATTCAGCACATTTTTCCTGGGCTCCATCTATGTGCCAGTTTTGTGGATCCCCAGGGAACAGAGGCTGGGGTGGGGGTAGTAACATAGTAGAATCATATGAGTTCTTGACATGGACATGATGGGAGAAAAGATGAATTTACTACAGGAGAGATTCAAGACTGCTAGAAACTAGGGCCATGCATGTATGCACATGCACCACACACACACACGCACACATTCCTGCATGCACATACACATATAGACATGCATGTGCCCATACACATGTATGCTCTCTCACACACTTGTACACACATCTTCATGTGTACATGCTTGTACATGCCACATGTGTATATGCACCACATACATGCATGATCTTCCAGACAGCCTCAGAGGACTCACAGAAGCCCATCCTAGGGGATCTATGAATTGCAGAATAAAAGCTAGGCTGCAGAGAGAGGAAAAGGAAGAGGGCTGACAACAGGCCCCTGGGGGATGGCTGCCCCCCCTTGCTTTTAAGGTGAACGTTGAATCAAGACACCACCATGCTCTGTTCTGCATAATGATTCCTGAAGTACAATTTTGTAACGTCATACTTGTCCCTTTTTTTTAAGAACGGGGTTGACACATGTCTGTTTAAATTAATTTTCCCATCTCTATGGATGCATTTGGGGGAAACAAGTTTTCCTGCTTAAAAACAAAGAGGGTGGGGGTGGAGAGACTGGAAGAAAGGGAGGGGGAGACCTATTTGAAAAGGTTTCAAGATGAGTAGGCCCCTCATTAAAAAAAAAAAAAAAAGAAAGAAAATGAAAGCTAGGCTGCACATTAGCATCAGAAAAACAGCCCTCTTCAGTGTCTGCCAGGCCAGGCCAGGGCCAGGTCCTTTAGTGGCTGTGAATAACAGGCTTTTCTGGAAACTGTGGAAGGCAACAAGCACTGTCCTTGCCTTCCTGCCTGAAGGGCTGAGTTTTTCCTTTAAGTACTACTTTGGTGCTAACTGCCCCCGTTGTTCCTGGATCTCTTGGTCCCAGACACTCAGCAAAAATGTGGCCTCATCCCACCCTCCACCCTCCCCACTACCATGAAAAAGAGACAAGCTGTCAGATGCCCCTCCCTGCAAGCCCAGGGCTCTCCTCCTGTTTCTGTTTAGAGGTTTTCAGCTGACAAGAGTGTCAGCTTCCATCCCAGCACTCAATGGCATTACAGCCAGCTTTTCACAGCAGCGGTGGGTGTGAGGATGCGCTGACCACAGAAAAGCTCGTTTCTGTTTAGCAGAAGCGTGAGGGCGCAGGGTGCCAGCTGCTGCTACAGTCTCTTACAGAAATGGGCACCATTTATTCTCCAAGAGGAAGCTCAGGATGATCTTCTCAGAGGTAGAAGGGCAGCTGATATCAGCACCAGAGAAAACAGCTGGGGGATGAGGGACCGGAGGGAGCAGGAAGAGGGATGGGGAGAAAAAGAATTGGGGAAGCCTTTAGCCCTGGAAAAGGAACAAGTGTGTTTGAGTTGGGCCACATCTTTGGTCTGGATGGGGGGACTTGAACAGGCCCCTTGGGTCAAGAAGGGATGTCTTTTAGAGACAACGAGGGATTTGGAAGAAAGATTGAATTCATTATTACTAATGGGGAGCTCAAGTTCAAATGCAGGGCATTTAAACTGCTTACTGTAGGGTCATGATTTTTCTTAAGATGGTAAAAATAAATGTAAATGAACAGGTAAGGTGTTGATTTCTTGATACCCAAAGCCTTCAAAGACACAACTCTCACCATCTTGCTTATACATACAAGCATGCGCACGTGCACACACACAGCTGGCTGGCTTTGCGAGGCAGAAAGGAATTCACGTCACAGGGCAGTCTGAGCTTGTTCCTGACCACACACTTAGCTTTTCCTTTTTGAACATCTCAAACCTTCCTTGGACTTGGCATTGCCTCTCAGAGACACATCCTGGGGAGACGAATGTTTTATTGTTTGGGTGCTTTCAAGATTCTAACTCACTAAAGATAAGGCTGGTGGATGCCTGGGTCAGCCTCTAGTGGCACTATGGTGTTGCAGCAATGAGCAGTCAAAGGCAGGATGTAGCCAAGGGTGCCTGGATTTTGCTATTGCTTAGCCATGGGGTGGCCATTGGACACCAATGTCAGGGGCTGGTCTGCTGGCCTGGGGCTGAGCCGCGCAGGTCTGGCCTGGAGTCACAGAAGTGGTCTAGTTGGATGCCCATGGGGCTCCTCTCTTTGCTCCAGCCCTGCTAGGTACCCTGAATGTCTGGAGTTTAGGAGGGAGAGGACACCCAAGCCACTGTTGCCTGTCACCTGGATTACTGAGGCAGCCTCCTAATGGTCTTCCCACTTCCCCCTCTGCCCACCTCGAATCCATTTTGCATACAACTGCTAGGATAGTCATTTTAAAAGAGGTCATATCACGTCTCTCCACTGCTCAAAACCATTCAAAGGTTGCCGACTCACTCAGGGTATGAGCCAAAGTCCTGGCTTTGGAGTGGCCCACAAGACCCTATGTGATCTGGCCCACTGTATCTGCTACCATTCACCCCATCTGCACAGCTCTATGCAGCTGCACTGGCTTCCTGCTGGCCCTAGAACACACCAAGCCCATCCAACCCAGGGTTTTCTTTCTTGCTGTTCCTCTGCCTGGAACAGTCTTTCTCCAGATATCCACGTGGCTCCCTCCCTTATGTCCTTCAGAATTCACCTTTCCTGACTGCTCTATTAAAAATTGTCACCTGCTAGGCTCTCTGAACCCCCCTTCCTCACTTAATTTTTCTCCATAGCGTGTATCGCCTTAACTATGTATTTTGTGTATGAGTTTTGTTTAGTATCCACCTCCCCCACTAGAGTGTAGGTTCCATGGGGGCAAAGGTTTTTGCCTTATTTAACACTGTACCTGCAGGTCCTAGAACAGTAGGAGCTCAATAAATGTTCCTACAAAGAATGAAGGGATCTGGACCAGAGAATGTCTTTCTGGATGACACCCAAATCATCACTCAAGTCCTGGTGCTTCAACTGAGGTGCAGAAGCCAAATTCTTTTTCAGCCTTGAAGACTAGAGTAAGCGGGATGGATTGTCTCTGGAACCTGCCCCCTTCCCCAGCAGTCTTGATGTTGATGGCTGCACCTAGGCTGGCCAAAGCTGCCGTGTCAGATCTTCCTCCCGTAAACACAGCACTTGAAACAAAAAGAATGGCCTGTTTCCATGGCATCTGTTAGAGCTCCTTGGTCTGGTAATACTTGTATTTAAAGCTTCATCATGGTGGGGTGCGGGGGGGCCCCTTGATGAAGCTGCCGGTCCCATAAATGGTAGCATGCAGCAGGTGCACAAGTGCAGAGAATCAAATGAAGGAGGGTGGCCTCTCAGCGTGCTTCCCTGATGTACCCCTCTCCTCCCTGTGCCTGTTCGTTGCCCTGCCTGCACCCTTTCACAGATGTTCCCTGCAGTAGACTGGGCCTGCCACACTGCAGCTGTGGGAGGAGGAGACCCTTGTAATCACTGCAGCCGTTCAATGCAGGGTGCTCCAAACAGCCGCCAGCACAGATCATATGGGTTTTCTGTTATAGTATTTAGATGCTATTTATAGAGTATCTGCTCTGTGCCAGGTGTTTTACACATATCTTTAGTCTTTACAAGAATCCTCCCAAAGAGGCATTATCATTCCTCTTTAAAGGGAGGAAACCGAGGCTCAGAGAGGTTACTAACTGGTCCAGGACCAATTAGGCAAGTAAGTAATGGAACTGAGTTTTACCAAGGTCTGGCTTTAAAGATCACACTACCTCCATGGCTACCTTGCATCTTAATGCAGGTTTTGCACTACACAAGTCCAAAGGCATTCTGAATGGTGTCTCCCGGAGTGTGCAGTTTGCATAGCTGTACACAGCCAACCCTAACCATCTGCTGGGAATAGTATTTGGCTGAGGGATCAGTTATATCAGTTTGAAATGCATTCCACTGTAAGGAATAGAAAACCTGAACTCTCGGAGCAGGAGGGCATTAAACAAAATGGGGTTTTAGTTTTCTCACAGAGCACAAGGTCTAGAGATAGGAGGCTGTAGGGATTGGCTCAGCAGCTGAACAGTGCTGGGTTTGGTGACTCAGAAATTCTCTTGGCCTTTCCTCATGATTGCGAGATGGCTGCTATAGCTCCAAGCATCATGTCTGTGTTCTAGGGAGAAAGAAGATGAGGAAGGTGGCGTTAGTCACATCTGTTCCCTTTTTATCAAGAAAGTTAAACTTTCCCAGACTTCCATCCGGGATCTTTGAAAATTTGAATTTCAAGGCTTTAAGGGAGAGGGGGTGGGGAAAGAACTCTAGGCTAGTGCCTGCCACCCCAGTATTATCCGAAGAATCGGAAGGCAGAGCGATGCTCAGATATGGGTTGTGGCCTCCCTGAAATAGAGAGGAATTCTAGATCCTTCATGTTCAAAGCATCAGCGTCATCCAGGAGCTGTGAGAAATGCAGAATCTCAGGCCCCAGCCCAGACCTACTGGATTTGAGTCTGCATTTTGGCACAGTCCCCAGGTGATCCACGTGCACATTAGTGCTTGAGAAGCACTGTTTCCAGAAATTGACTGATAACACAGGACTTCTTTACTTCCACCAAAGTTCTCACAGCTTTCAGCTCTTGGGCGACCAACTCATCCTGGTTTGCCCAGGACTATCCCAGAGATAGTGCTGACAGTCCCATGTCCTGGGAGACTCCCCAGTCCTGGGCAGACCACCCTATCACTCTTATCTGTGGGGGTCCTACCCTCCTCCTCCCACCAAACTAAGGCAGAGCCTATAACCAAGAGGCAGAAAGCCTAGAAAACTTCCTTTGAGGAGTCAGGAAAGATAGATAGTGGTCTTTCCTTTGGGGTATGGAATTGAACAAGGCCTGAGCCAGGACTCACAAGAATAAGAACATGGCAAGGCCCTGCCCTCCCAGTGGGAGGTGTGGAGAGCTGGCAATGAGATGGTTAAGAGCCCTGAGGGCGTTTGATCCAGGTGGGTCTGAGGTATCATTACTGGACTTAATAATACATTAACAGCCAGCATGAATGGGTTTTGGATTAAGAACTTGGTAACAAAGCAGATTAACTCTTTCCTCACTTCTTTCTTTCATCCCTTCATGTTGCTTTCTTCCTTCTGCCAAGAAAATAGAAAAGAAATGCCCAAATCTCACACAGGAAGCATTTGTCATGAGTAGCACTGGTGACTCAAACTTATTTTTTAGCCCTGCCAGCCAAGAGCAACAGGAATGAACTCGAGTGATCTGATTTATTAGTGAAAAAAAACCAACTACAAACTTTTCCTGGCCTCATACCTCCTCCCAGACCTTCCCGTTCTGCCTCCCAGCTTCCTTCTTTCCTTATTCACGCCCTGGGCAGCCCATGTGGCTACCTGGAAACTCCTGTTTCGGGGGCGGGGTAGGGGGGCGGTGCTTGGGAGACTGCTTTCTCAGGCCTCAAGCTCCATTAACAAATATTTGCAATGGGCCTACTGGAGTTGGAAAGAGAAGACAGAGCCTGGCTATGGATGCCTGGGTGTCTGGGAGCCACTTGACAAGTAACACAGCACAACACAACAGAACTTCTGTGTGCCACCTACAGAATGGGGGCAAGACATTCTAGAACAGTGGGGACAACTTCCTTAAGAACTACAATTTGCTCCTTCATTTTGGCCATTCTGGTGGCTCAGCGGAGTTTTGGGAAAACTCTCCCACACTAAGGAGAAGAGCTAAGGAGCTAAGGAGAAGAGTGCCTTCCCCCAGGGCCTTTAGTCAGCTCTCTGCAGCGCAGCATGTCCATATTTGTCTCCCTCTTAACTACTGTGCAATTGTCTAAGAGATGTTTTGGATTCAAGGAAACTGTTGACCCAGGAGCCTTGCTGTAGACTTGGTGAGCTGCTCCAGACCCTTCTGCTGTCCGTAAGGACAGCTGTGAAGTGTCAGGGTGGAGTTCCTCATTGCAAGCTTCTGTGACTAAGTTTCGTCAGTGCCTTTCCTCAGAACACTGTGCAGAGACCTTTTAGACACTCCATATTATCATACACAGGCCAGAGCTGGAGGGGGGACACGGGTCATGAGGATGGTCAGGGATGAAAAGGTGATGATGACAAGGTCATCAAGGAAGATGTTCACGTTAGGCACCGTTTGCCAAAAACAGGCAAATAAGGGCAGTCCCTGCCTGGTCTCAGCTCTGGACTGTCAAAGCCTTCTGGGCCAGCCAGGTTTAAGTCAGCTCCTTCAACGGCTGGAGGTCTGTGAGTTTAAACAACAGCATGTTATGCAGAACAAGGAACTGTGTCGTGGTTGGCCCAACAGGACCATTCTAGTAGGAGCCATTGTTCACTGACCCGTATATGTTGAGACGCGTGTCTGTCTGTTGTCCCAACCAAATGATTCTTTATTGTACTGTATTTGTCTCCAAGAGTGTGAAGCCCAACTGGAAGACTCATGTTTATTTTGCAGTACTGTCAGGAATGGCTGTTTTCTTTTTTTTCTTTTTTTTTCTTTTTTAAAATTATACTTTAAGTTCTGGGATACATGTGCAGAATGTGCAGGTTTGTTACATAGCTATACATGTGCCATGGTGGTTTGCTGCACCCATCAACCCGTCATCTACGTTAAGCTATTTCTCCTAACGCTATCCCTCCCCTTCCCCTCCACTCCCCAACAGGCCCTGGTGTGTGATGTTCCCCTCCCTGTGTCCATGTGTTCTCATTGAGAAACAGCTGTTTTCTAAGGGACAGTGGCCATGTTTACAACTACAGTGACCGTTAATCTTTGAGTTAGAAGAATCTTCCTTTCAGGGAGTTCATTGTGTTGATGCTGAGGGGGACTGTGTGAGGGCTGTTCAGGAAGTGGGGTGGGGCTGGCAGCGGGTTATTTTTTTTTTTTTTTTCAAACCTTGGTTTGGATTTGTTTCCCATTCAGTAGTTTATCTGTCCCCTCACTAGACTGCAGTGATGATTTGAGCTCCAAGGCTGTGAATCTCTGTTGCGTGTGGCTGACTACCTAAAGCAGGGCTTCTCACAGTGGAGAATGCATAGCATCATCTGGAAAGCTTGACAGTGCCCAGATGCTGTGCCCTACTCTCAGGGATTCAGATTCCATAGGTCTGGAGTGGGGCCCAAGAATTGGCATTTCTCACAGGCTCCTAGATGGGGCTGATGCTGCTGGTCTGGGGACACACTCTGAGTAGCAGTGGGTCAAAAGAGGTGCCAAGTGCTGTTCCTCTCTCTAGCTCCTGCTTAGCACAGGTTGCATATGTTAGGATAAGAGGAAATCAGTGTGATCTCTACCTTTCCTTTTGAGCCTAGCTCTTAATTTCCACTCTTCCAATCCTCACTGATGGGGGAAGTTAAGATACCATCTTGGAGTGTGAAGCAGGAATCCTAGGTCCTAAGGGATTTGCCTGGATTGCCCCATACTCCCTCCTCCACCCACCCCCAGGAGGTTTTGGGGGCCTAGGAATTCCTGCTGGCACTGCAGTAGCAGGCGGCTTGCATCTGGAGTTACACCCTTCAAAGGTCTCTGGAGGAACAGGAACAAACCGGAGAGAAAATTACATTTGAAATAATTTATTTTCACATGCAGGGGAGAAATCACATTTGGTCTAGATTCATGTAAAGAAAACAGAGATTAGATTTTTTAAAATGTGTTGCTGGCAAGAGAGAAGAGCAGACGGGTTTGGATAAAATACACATTCTGTTGAAACTGGCCTTCAATCCCAGACTACATTTAAAGGGGTTTTGAGTTAGCCTATGGAGGGGAATCAAGTCTGGATTTTATTTTCAATTGTTTCTTTCTTTTGAAATACTTCCTAGGTTGGGACTGGGAGTGACAGAAACATCTGGACTGCAGGAAAGATTGTTCCTAGAATTCTGAGCTTTTTCTATCTGAGCAGGCTGATTTAGAAGTCTTATCCAAGATGAGAGAAGATTTTCTCTTGGAATTTCTGGCCAAAGCCAGAAGAAACAGGAGTCTGGGGAAGGCAAGGAGGGCAAGCTGGAGCAAGAAGCGAAGGCTGCACAGACCACGCAAATGGCCATGCCAGGAGGGCTCCTCTATAGAGCCTTAGTGTGGAAAAGGGTCAATGTCAGGTTTAAGTCCATCACAAAGATGATTAAAGAAACAACCACAGCAAGAGCTGATGCTTACTGGGTACTCACCATGTACCTGGCTGTATGTTCATCATCATATGAAATCCTTACTTAGCTCTATAAAGTAGTTACTAGCATCATCTCCACTTTATAGATGAAGAAAATGGAGAGAAGTTAAGTAATTTTCCCAAAGCTGTACTGGTAGGAAGTGGCAGCGTTGAGCTCTACAGCCAGGGCTGTCTGACTCAGATGCCCATTCCAAGAATCAGTTTAGATAATGATATAATAATTACCATCAGTAGCATTATCATTGTCAGTAAAGGGCCGTTGTTTGTGTGTATGAAAATCGGTTAGGTTGGATCATATGAAAGAGCTATTTTTGTAGGCAAAAAATGGCTGAACATTGGCAATTTCATATGACTTAACAAAATATCGTACCTTATGATTGGTGGGAGGAGGGATAAATTGTGTTGTAACTAAAAAATGGACTACTATACAGGAATGAAAGTTGACTGGCTTAAAACATGGATATATATATATATCTATATATATATAACGTACTGTTGAGGAAAATATCTCATTGCAGAAAGATACATGAAATATAATACCATTTATATATAGATAGGTAAATATATACAAAGCTATTTGTTGTTAAGGGGGATTTTGTGTGTGTGTGTGTGTGTGTGTGTGTGTGTGTGTGTGTGTGTATTCAAGCTTTCTCTAAAGACAGAGAAGACCCCTCTGATGGTTACCTTGGCAGTCCAGATGTGTGAGAGAGTTCAAATACCCTCCAAGAGCCATCCACTTAATGATGAGAGTCAGGGTGTAAATATCCCAGCTCCTTTGCCTCTGGGAGAATATTTAGTGACAGAGATTCTGTGATATATATATATATATATATATCTTGCATTTCAATTTCAGTCTGGTTCCAGAGAGCATCTGGAGAGGAAGGAGGGGAAAGTGATGAAGGTAGAATACAAGGAAGGGGCTTTAAGTATCTTTGTAATTTGTTTTTTTCTAAGGCTGCATGCTACATGGGCCATACACAAGTATTCACCAGGTTATTCTTTATACCTTTTTGCATTAGTTGTCTATCACTGCATAACCAATCACCCCAGAGCTTATCAGCTTAAAACAACACATATTTACGATCTCACAGTCTCTGTGGGCCAGGAGTTTGGGCACAGTCTAACTGGGTCCTCTGCTCCGGCTCTCACCGGCAGCATTAAGGTGTCAGCTGGGACTGTAGCATCTCAAGGCTCAACTGGGGTGGATTTGCTTGCAAGCTTGCTCATATAGCTGTTGGCAGGCCTCAGAAGGTCCACTTCGAAGTTTACACACATGGTTGTTGGCAGGATTTGGATTCTCATGGGCCATTGGACCAAGGCCTCAGTTCTTCACTGGGTGTTGCCCAAAGGCCTCCCTTAGTTTGTTGCAATGTGTCCCACCTCATAGGGCAACTCACAACCTGGCAGCCAGATTTATCAGGGTGAGGGTTTTGAGAGAGAGAGAATAGTCACAATATTTTATAACCTACTTACAAAAGTGACATCCCATCACTTTTGCTGTATTTTGTTCATTGGAAGTCAGTCACTAGGTACAGCCGACACTCAAGTGGAGGGATTTACACAACAACATGAATACCAGGAAGCAGGGATCATTGGGGGAGCCCTTAGAGGCTTGCCTAGTACAATATGTCTGAAATATCTTACAATAAATTTTTAAGAGAAAAAACATATTTAAAGGTGAATTAGAACTGATTCCTGGCGTTACAAACTCCTTAATCCTCAGTGGCAGCAGCCACATTTCTGGCTGCTACTAAATCTTTCCTGTGCCTCCTGCCCCCATCTCATTCTCCACAATGTACATCATAATCAATGACAAAATTAATTAAGGATATTTTCTCATTACTAGATTTAGAGAGATGTCAGTATCATATCAAAAGTGCTTTTATTTCTTCAACTATACCTTTGTGGAGTCAATGGTAACAGTACCTTTCAGAAGTCTGTTTTCCAAGAGTGCCCGTTGGCTAGAGTCGTAAAGAAGGCATTGTGGAACAGTAAGACGTACATGGGCTTCGTAGCCACAGAGCTAAGTTCTGACCCCTGCTCCACCTGTTACCAGCTGTGTGATTTGCTGACAGATACTTACAGTCTTAAAAAGCTAGTCTTCTGATCTGTCAAATGAGAGGAATGGTACCTATCTCAAAGCTTCCTGGAGGATTAAATATACAAGAAAACATGTGCTAGTCCTAGGGCAGTGATCAGCACAAAGTAGGCACCTGACAAGGTGAGGAAAGTTTCCTCCAGGTCTCTTACCTTCCAAAATGCTATGTACCCCTTCATGAGCAGGCTGTGCAAATTGTTTTGAAGGGTGACAGTTTTGGGATGCCATGAAAAGAATGGATCTTCATAATTTCTCATTTGACCCCAAGATTAATTTCCTATTATAAACTTAAAGTTTCATGCATTCATTGATTCATTTTTACATTCATATACACATTCATTCAACAAATAGAATTTCTTAAAGAAAGTAAAGACCAATCTTCTTCAAAACTCTAATGCCTTTTTATCTCCCAGGGGTGGATAGGATAATCCAAGTTATATATAAGCAGTTTCTCATGTCCAGGGTAGCAAAAGCATCAGATGTGGTGCAAATCTACCTGTTTTCTATGTGGCTCCCTGAGAGGGCTGTTCCATCAAGGGAAGATGCTCCAATGTATGCTAGCCTTTGAGATTTTGGCTTAGTAGAGGAGAGGAGCTAGTGCCTAGAAGGAAATACAACACCATGAGATAGAGGTCCATGTAAACATGTTCTTTGTGGAGGCCTGCCTGCCACTAGGATACACACCATCCCCACTGGTTGATTTACTGCTACATACTGGCCTTTGCATCCAAGAAAGATTGTAGTACTTGACTTCAGAGATCTTTAAGCAGAGGCTTGATTCAAGCCTCCTGAGTCAGCTGAGATGAGGCAGGGTGCTTTTAGCTGGAACCTGGGCTAAGGCATTGGCCTCCGTGCACCCCCATTGAAGAAAAAAAGTAGAGCAAAAATCCATACTGTTTATTTATGAATTATATGCACGTGTTGCTGTATTAATAAGTTACTTACTGTAACAGTTTCTAGGCCCCTGCCCATATCCCTAACCTTTCACATTTAGAGGAAGCCTTCTTTTGATAGCCAACTGCCAGATTCTTCATCTCTTTGCCTGCAGTCTTTCTCTAAAGATGGAGAAGACCCCTCTGCTGGCTCCCTGGGCAGTCCAGACATGCAAGGGAATTCAGACACCTCCCAAGAGCCCTCATCCACTTAATAATGGGAACCAAGGTGTAAATATCCCAGCTCCCTTGCCCCCGGGAGAATACTTAATAGCGGACATTCTGTGCTTCTTTTGCAGCTTCTCCCTGTGAGACTAAGCTCCAGTTACTCGCTAACTCTCTCTTTATTGACTTCCTTCTCTTCCCTGTTTTACTTCCCCATCGCCCTATCAGGGTTCCCTGCAGCTCTGAAGTAAACTCTTTACCCTGGAATCCTTGTATCTGAGTCTGCTAGAAAAACCCAATTTATATTTAAAAAAACATAAAAACAGACCGTTTAACAGTACATAAATATACATACATATACACATAGTCTAATGTTTTTCCTTACCCCTAGAGTGCACACTCTGCATTTTGAAGGCCGCTTGTTTAAGGAACTTAGAGGCTCCCATTTCAGTCTTGTAATCTGATATCTCGAGGTTGATATCAGAGCCAGCCCTCTCTCCTTTGGGCTGCCTGCTTCCAAGCCCTGTTTAACTTACTCAGGGTGGCTTGGCATACTTTCACGTTGATTCATGGTAGTGATTTCTGGGTCACAGGCTAGCCAACTGGAAGGAGATCTTCAGGATTGGATTTCCTGCACTCCTCTATTTGAAAGAATAATTTCTGTATCTTGGACTTCCAATGAGGAAAACAAAAACAAAAACAAAAACCTGCAAGTTCAGAGTTGGACAAAAGTTTCTCCACAGGCACTTTACCCCACTTTGGGACCTCATAGTTTCTCTCAGTTCAGCTCTCTGTGTATGGGAGACCAGGCAACAGGTACATCATTGCCACCTTGAATCATCCTGCTATTACATGATGGGCAGCCCCATGAGATCGGGATGGTATGAATATTCTGACTTGTTGTCATCTTTAACCCCAGCACATGGTTCAGCACTATGTGGACATATAAACACACTTCAAACAGCCTTTTGCTAGAAAACAGACTCTACTGGCCCCAGCATAAAGATTTGCAAGAACCGAATGCTCCCTTATTTTCTCTCTGCCTGGAACAAAGCCTCCTATTGTTTTTCAGGTGATCACATTCTTTAGACATTCAAGTTTAAGTTGTTCCTCAACAACTGAATTCAAAGCTAGAGGCTTACTCTGCTGGCTGTGCCTGCACAAGCAAACGGTCCCACCCAAAGGCCCTTTTCTCCAGGGCCTCCCAGTGGCCTTTAAATTATTTTGGTCTTCAACATCACAGTCTCCCAGAATGCTTATCAGAGGATAATGTCACCCCCTTTCATGCCTGCCCACCATTTCTACTCAAAAGCCACTCCTATTTCTCTACAGATAGCTCATTCTCTCAGAAACGAACCTACAGCAAATTAATGTCCAGTGAGGCCTGGCTTGTAGGGAAAGTCTTGGGTATCCCTATGCTCTTCCAGACTGGCCATCCAGGACATAAGGTCCATGAGCTTAATCTTGTTCTAAGTTCCCTCGAATTTCCCATTGACTCTATTTTCCTTGGCTGAATAGATGTTGTTGCTCTGTAATAGTGAGAAACAGTATCTGTGGTGATGGAACAGGCAGAAATAAAAATATTTCCCTAGCTCTTTCCTCAGTTCTAATCCCTACAAGTCTTGCCCCTTACCTTTGCCAGATCATCCACTTGGGAGGATTCAGAGGTGCTATCTCCATTCCAGCGTCTGGGAAGGAGAAGAGGATTGACACAAGTTTCAATTTTGTATTAAAAAGTCCCGTCTTGTAGGGTTTTGAAGGGAGGAGGAAGAGCCAAGAGGAGTCTACGTCTATACTCCTCAAGCCACTGGATAGAGTTACTTTGAGTTCTTCACACATGCAAGTGCATGCGCGCGCGCGCGCGCGCACACACACACACACACACACACACACACACACACACACACACACATCATGCCTTCCCAAGGTACTGGCTTGGCTTGGCAGGAATGCTGGATTTGGGCTTGGAGAGCCGTCCACTGCTTGGTGCCCACTTTTAGAAAATAAAGAAGTGACCCAGGTTCATGGGTGAAGTTTTAATGAGAAATAAGTCACTGAAGCAGTCAGGGAATAAACCCCAAGAACAGAAATCATGATGCTAATCTCCCAAAATAGGGCAATAAAATGTTGAAAGGTCTTAAGGGGTTGTGAGAGGGAAGATTAGGGAACTGGGGCACGTTTGTCTAATCTTGGAGGATGATATGAGGGATCTAAATTCATATGTTGGTCATGAATAGACTCCTACTCCACATGAACCAAGGTTTGGTGTTTCTGGCTTTCATCTTCCCTAATATTTGTTCTCACCCTTTTCCTTAGTACGTGTGTATGTGTGTGTACTGTAGAAAAACCCTATGCTACTGTTCTGAAATTGTAGATTCTATAAATGGGTTGGGAATGACCATCTTAGGTTGGGTTCCTCAGAAGCAAACCCTAAAACAAGACCTCAAGTGTAAGCAGTTTATTTGAGAGGTGGTGGAAAAACTGGTAGGAAGAGAGGAGAAGGGGGTTAGGAAAGGCAATGAAGCCAAGGAAGGGTTATTAAGTGAATTGCTACTGTGAGTAACTGGAGCTGAATCCCAAGGGAGACTCTGGGAGGCTATGCATAAAACTCAGAGTTATCCCACCTGAGGGGTGAGGCAGCTGGGATATTTATACTCCCAACTACTAAGAATCATTTGTTGAGAGATGCTCCTGGAAGTTGCTAATTCCCCAGAATTTCAGGCCAAACCTGTGGGTATAGTGGCCTTCATCAGTTATGGGAAAAAGCCAGGCACAGAGACACAGGTAGGGGTCTTTGGAAGTCAGGTGCAGTGAACTGAGGTGAGAGGTATAAGGGAGATGGGGAGGGCACAGATGGTGGCTGCTATAATCACAAAGGGGTGGGTATGTAGATTGTTGGGGAGGAAGACTTTCTCATAGTTATGGTCTTGATAAATATTTCTATCCTTTAATAAAATATAATGGAAGTTTTGGAATAATAAACAAAGAATCTTTAAAGAAAGAGAGTTTTACAAAAACCAGAGGATAGTGGTGTGGGATCCAAAAATTAATTATACTATACATTTGAAATCTGTTCATTTCACTGAAAACAAATGTTACCTAAATTTTAAAAGAAGCAGGTATGAGATTCCAGATTGTAACATCTTTCAATAGAATCCTAAGCTCCTGCATATTGAGATATACTTGCCTGAATCCCTAAAATTCTGCCTGGGTTGTGGACCAATAGTTGAAGCATTTTCTCTAGAACTTCAGTCAGAAAATGTTGAAATGTGCTCTGGGTAGTGACTCCCCAACAAGAAAGCAGGCTCCTTCAGCTGCTTCTGTGCCATGGTTTGTGCCCACGCTGCCTTTTCTAGGTTTTCCTTGTGACCATGGCTTGCATTTTCTAAGAGAAATGGCTAGGGATTTCATGTCTAGGGCCACAGGACAAACATCTGCAATGCAGAAGAAACTGACAGAGCCTGTTCTTACTAACTTAACCTGTTTGGTCAAGCTAGCTGAGTCCATCTGCCATGCCTAAATAGGGAAATGATGATGAGATGATGTCCTAGGATGGGCACTAGGTCAGGACTGACCTCAATGCCTGGCACATAGGGGGCATTCAGTTAATGTTTAATGGGCTGAGCAGATTTGCTTCAGCTCACTGACATCACCTATGACTAGCCTCACCTGAGACCAGAACAGGGTGGAGGTGGGCGAAGCACCAATAATGTGGAGGCCAACGGCCCTTCTGTTCCTTCTTGAAGGACCCAGATATGGAGCTGATGAGGTGGGCCTTCACAGCAGAGGAGCTTTCTAATGACTTTTCAATTAATTGACTTGAAGCTGGTGGGGAGAGTGCCAGAGTCTGAAAAAGATGAAAGGTATTGAAGAGGAAAAGCTTTGATGTCACTGCAATCCCATTCAGATTTGGAAAGGTTTTTTCAGGAACTTTATATTTTAACCACAAAAGCCTCATAGGGTCGATCAGTCACGCAAGAAGATTTTTGTCATTCTCTGGGATTGGTGGGTGATGAGAGGTTGAATGGAAAGCCAGAAAGGAAGGGCTGTGTGTGGTTTCTGTGGGTGGCAAACGTATGTGATGGAGTGGGTGGACGGGTGGGGGAGGTGGAGAGGAAAGGTACACAAGGAGGGAATGGGGATATGTAGGTGTGAATTACATTTTCAGGGCAGTGCTATGCCTATTCTACAAAGTTTGGCATGGATATGTTTTTTCAACAGGTTTCGTTCTTTTAGACTCAGTGACTTCTTACTGTGTTTGTTCCTAAAGCTAATCTAATCTAGGTATAGTAACCAATATAACCTGGCCATTTATATACATGCCCACTCCCATACAGCATATTTATGCAAAATTTAAATAGTCAGAAAACTTACAGAAGTACAATTACCTCGCAGATCAATAATGAATACAATTTTAGAAGTAGACAGACCCGAAACAGCAATTGTGCTGTTTTCTGCTAATGGTAAGACCATGGAGGTTTGGATGTGAAACTGATCTCTCATCCACCTAGACCAGGTCTTGGCCTTGGTACTCATGACATTTAGGGCCAGGTAATTCTTTGTTATTGGGACTGTCCTTTGCATTGTAGAATGTTTAACAGCATCCCTGGCCTCTACCCACTAGATGCCAGTTGCACTGTTCCCTAGTTGTGTCAACCAGAACTGTTTCCAAACATTGCCAAGTAGCTCCTGGGGGACACGATCATTGCTGATTGAGAACCACTGGCCTAGATAGAAGCCTGGTGGGTCCAGCACTTATTGTACTGTCCTGTGCAATTTGGGGGTTTCAAATGATGACGCTTATATGGCTTCAGAATCATGTACAAACATTGAAATGGAATGATTCTGTGTGTGGTGTGCATGCTACAATTGGCAATGTTCAAATGCCAACCAGGCTATTTGTCTTACCAGGACGCTCCATTCTCTAACAGCTCTAAATGAGGTGTTTCTTTTTCAGAATGTGTTAGGTTAGAGCATGTCAAATTGCCATTTTTTTGTGTATGGCCCTAACGGTCAAATACCAGCAATTTCATAGATTTAATGGGAACACACCAACTTTAGGAGATATGTCCTGAGCACCTTCTGAAACTCCCCCAAATTGTGAATGTGGAAATGTTTGTTTAGGCTCATGACTCTGTCCTGTCACATTTCAAAGGCGAGTCCAGTGTTTCCACACGGAGCCTTGCACCACAAACTAACTGCATTGCAAAATTCCCCTCAAGATTTCTTTCTCATCCTGTGGCAAATTGGGTACAGCCACATTTTTTTTTATTTATTTTTTTTTTTTGCAGCAACTCCCATTAAGAGGTGGAGCCTATTTCTCCACCTCCATTGAATCTGGGCTGACTTTGTGACTTGCTTTGAGCAACAGAATGTGGCGGAAGTGGTGGTGTTCAAGTTTCAGAACCCAGATCTTTAAGAGGCCTTGTGGCGTCCACCTTGTAGTGTCCCTCTTGGCCACTATCCTGAGACTGCCCTGCCAGGAAGCTGGTGTAGCTCACTGGAGGATGAGTGGCCATGTGGAGGACTGCCAAGGCACCCTGCTAACGGCCAGCACCACTAACCAGGCGTGTAAGTAGGGCCATCTCAGATCTTCCAGTCTGCTGACCCTCCAGCCAAATCCAGTCAAATGAGTGAGTCCAGATAAGACCAGCAGAAACACCACCAAGTGTATGCACATAATCATGAGAAATCATAAATCATTGTTGTTTTAAGTTACTAGATTTTGGAATGGCTTGTTATGCAGCAGTAGATAACTCATAAACATCCAATGGCAGCTTTACAGTTTTTAACAATTTCTTAGAGTTTGACTTCAAATAGAGAGCAGTGAACCCATGCTCCCCTGGGCTGCTGGATGGTGGCTAGCATCTCACTAGCTGAATGCCTCATGCCTTCACACCAGCCTTGCAGTGGGCACCATTCAATCACATTTTTCAGGAAAACTGCTGATTTCTATATTTGGAGGCTACGAGAGAGGGCCAAAAAGTTATAAGTAAAAGCTACACTAGGCCAAGTGGCTGCTTTACTTAATGACCACCTGCACAGCATTCATATGTAGTAGACACCTCATATGTTCTGCCCATGAATATACGCCACATACAAATGTCACACATATACACCCATTGCCTACTGAGTTTAACCATGATCCATATCTTAGGCATGGTTATGTGACTGAAAATATCTTAAGCCTACATTTCCTACAATTATAGTTTGGAAGGGGATATTTCAAACCAAGAATTTCTTCACAAATGGTGAGCCGTAATTGACTTTCTGTCTTTTTTTTTTTTTTTTACAGGGTCTTGCTCTGTTGCCCAGGCTGGAGTGCAGTGGTGTGATCACGGCTCACTGCAGCCTCGACCACTCTGGGCTGAAGCAATTCTCCCACCTCAGTCTCCTGAATAGCTGGGACTACAGGTGCGTGCCACCACACCCAGCTAATTTTTAATTTTTTTTTTGTAGAGACGGAATTTCACCATATTGCCCAGGCTGTTCTCTAACTCCTGGGCTCAAGCGATCCTCCTGTCTCGGCCTCCCAAAGAGCTGGGATTACGGGCATGAGCCACCGTATACTGCCTGAGTTTCCATGTTAATCACTGAACATCTCTTTTGATCTTCAGCAGATGCCTTAGGAAGCCCTTTCTCTATTATGTAAGGAAAACTGTACTTAGCATTCTCACTGTAGTTAGAACTCACAATTCTTTGTGATTTCTTTAATGTTGCACACACCAGCTCCCACTGGACTTTACCTACGTGAGAAGAGAAATTCTGTCTGTCTCTTTGCTCACAGCATCCCCAGCTCATAGCGCAGGGTTTGGTCCCTGTTTGTTCCTCAGTAAATTTATGGACCAATGAACGAATGAGTAAATGAATGAATTATGGAAGCTGAGAGCCGAGAGAGACCTTGGAATTCATTGTCTTCCATCTCCTGCTCTGCTTTGTAAGATAAGACACTGAGATTCAGAGAGGATTAGCATTTGTTTGTTTTTTTTTTTTTTTATTCCAGGATTTTTTTCCTTTCAAAAGCCACTTGACACACTTGCTTATCTGATCCGTTACAGCTTGTGATTATGGAAGAGGAAACTGAGAATTCCTTCTTGGACTCAATGGGATGTACTGTGAACATCCCTGACATTGGGCTAGCCTCGTGCCATTCAGGGCAGGCTTCTGTCCACCCCATTTAACCTTGTGACTCATTGAGGGGCTGTCAGACCCACCCGGGCACTGAGCAGGCACCAGATATACCTCTCAGAGTTACATTATAATCACTATTCATCTGCCTGTCAAGCTGAGCCCTTTTCTGTGCTCCAGAATGTGAAAGCAAAATGGCCTTTTCCGTTATGAAGCTAATAATAGTTCTCATCTTGATTCTACTTAACACTGAACTGGAGATTTGGCCTCTAGGGTGAAGCTCATAGTTAATTCATTTATTTTAAAAATAATTACAGAAACCGTAAAAGATACATCCCAATTGGGCCCATGAGTGGTCTGATTCTCAGTGTTTCTCAGTAACCAGTTGTGTGCTGGGTGCTTGAAGAAATACGAATGTGGCAACTGCGTTTGAAGCCTTAGGCAGAAGGTGAAGCCGGAATGGAATTCCTCTGCAGTCACTCTGGTTAGGAGCAGCGATGTCCAGCCTCCTGGCACCCACTCACATCATTCTCTGTGATGACCTAAATGAGAAAGACAGTTGGCTTCCTTCCCCCTCAGCTCAGTCCCCCATGCAGACAAACAGGCTGCATCCCTGGCAGACTGCACCGGGGTTATGCGCTGTCTCATCCATTCGAGAATGATCTATAGCTTCAAAGGAAAAAATTAACAAACAAGCAAAGTCGACCCCTGTCTAGGAGGAAATGGATGGGTTTTGGGGCTTCCACCTCCCCTCCACGTATTGCCTATGCCCCTGAGCCCCAGGGAAAGAACAGCTAGTGAAGAAAAGAAGCTGTTTCTAGTTGTTTGTGGAGCAGGGAGAAGAAGAGAGAGGGGGAGGAAGAGAGAGAAAAGAAAAAGAGAGGAGGGAGAAGGAGAAGAAGAGAGAGAAAGAGAGAAGGAGAGAGGGAAACAGGCAAGAAAGAGGAAGAGAAAAAATATCTAGACAGAGGGGAGGAGGGAGGAAGAAGGGAGAAAGGGAAAAAGAAAGAGGGAGAGAAAAGATAGGGACTAGTTTAAAAGAGGGCAGAGGAGTGATTCAAGTAGTGATTTCAAAACGTGAATAAAGCTATTTAAAGTATCTTTTCCCTCCCCAATTTCACTTTGTCCTTCCAGATATAGTTGTAAGTAGCCCCTCCCCCACCACCCAGTCCTCTTGTCTAATTCTGAAATATATTGGAGACTTGGCAGCACAGGCCTCAGGCAATTCATCCTCAGAACCAGTAAATAAATTCAACCTTTCCATGGTATCTGGCTACAAACGTCAAAGAGAACAGTTCCCACCCTCCTGGCCTCTTGGTCAGCTAGCATGAAAGCCATGGACTTGTTGCTGGGCACATCAGAAACAGCTGTCCATGTCTCAGCCTTTCCACTTCCAGAGTGCCATCCAGGTGAGCTGTCCCATGTAGAAGGCAGCCCCAGAGAGGGCCTTCCCCTCCACGTGTGCTGGATGTGATGTTCATGCTAGCGCAATGAAGAACCCATATGGTTTGCCATATGTAAGATCACTATTCAGGGTAAAAACTAAGTGAGATAATCTATATCAAGCATATGGCACATAGTAAATGATCAGAAAATAGTAGTTACTATAATCTGATGGCATAATAATAGCCAATAAGTTTTTTTCTCTTTAGCAGTATGTGCTGGGAACTATTCTAAGTAAATCTTTTTTTTTTTTTTGTATTAATGAAACGAAAGTTTATTTCTTGCTCATACAAAAGTCTATTTCAGTCCAGACAACTCCACAGGGAAATTGTCCTTCATGTAATAGATCAGTATTCCAGGTTACTTAGTTATTATTATTATTATTATTATTATTATTATTATTATGCTTTAAGTTCTGTGTTACATGTGCAGAACATGCAGTTTTGTTACATAGGTATACAGGTGCCATGGTGGTTTGCTGCACCCATCAACCCATCACCTACATTAGGTATTTCTCCTGATGTTATCGCTCCCCTAGCCCCCCACCCCACAGAGGCCCCAGTGTGTGATGTTCCCCTCCCTGTGACCATGTGTTCTCATAGTTCAACTCCCACTTATGAGTGAGAAAATGCGGTGTTTGGTTTTCTGACCTTGTGATAGTTTGCTGAGAATGATGGTTTCCAGCTTCATCCATGTCCCTTCAAAGGACAGGAACTCATCCTTTTTCATGGCTGCATATTATTCCATGGTGTATATGTGCCACATTTTCTTAATCCAGTCTATCATTGATGGAAATTTGGGTTGGTTCCAAGTCTTTGCTATTGTGAATAGTGCTGCAATAAACATACGTGTGCATGTGTCTTTATAGTAGAATGATTTGTAATCCTTTGAGTATATGCCCAGTAATGGGATTGCTGGGTCAAATGGTATTTCTAGTTCTAGATCCTTGAGGAATCGCCACACTGTCTTTCACAATGGTTGAACTAATTTACACTCCCACCAACAGTGTAAAAGTGTTCCTATTTCTCCACATCCTCTCCAGCACCTGTTGTTTCCTGACTTTTTAATGATCGCCATTCTAAAACTGGTGTGAGATGGTATCTCATTGTGGTTTTGATTTGCATTTCTCTGATGGCCAGTGATGATGAGCATTTTTTCATGTGTCTGTTGGCTGCATAAATGTCTTCTTTTGAGAAGTGTCTGTTCATATCCTTTGCCCATTTTTTGATGGGGTTGTTTGCTTTTTTCTTGTAAATTTGTTTAAGTTCTTTGTAGATTCTGGATATTAGCCCTTTGTCAGATGAATACATTGCAAAAATGTTCTCCCACTCTCTAGGTTGCCTGTTCACTCTGATGATAGTTTCTTTTGCTGGGCAGAAGCTCTTTAGTTTAATTAGATCCCATTTGTCAATTTTGGCTTTTGTTGCCATTGCTTTTGGTGTTTTAGACATGAAGTCCTTGCCCGTGCCTATGTCCTGAATGGTATTGCCCAGGTTTTCTTCTAGGATTAAAATGGTACTAGGTCTTACATTTAAGTCTTTGATCCATCTTGAGTTGATTTTTGTATAAGGTGTAAGGAAGGGGTCTAGTTTCAGTTTTCTGCATATGACTAGCCAGTTTTCCCAACACCTTTTATTAAATAGGGAATCATTTCCCCATTGCTTGTGTGTGTCAGGTTTGTCAAAGATCAGATGGTGGTACATGTATGGTGTTATTTCTGAGGCCTCTGTTCTGTTCCATTGGTCTATATATCTGTTTTGGTACCAGTAGCATGCTGTTTTGGTTACTGTGGCCTTGTAGCATACTTTGAAGTCAGGTAGCATGATGCCTCCAGCTTTGTTCTTCTTGCCCAGGATTGTCTTGGCTATGTGGGCTCTTTTTTGGTTCCATATGAACTTTAAAGTAGTTTTTTTCCAATTCTGTGAAGAAAGTCAGTGGTAGCTTGATGGGGATAAAATTGAATCTATAAATTACTTTGAGCAGTAAGGCCGTTTTCACAATATTGATTCTTCCTATCCATGAGCATGAAATGTTTTTCCATTGTTTGTGTCCTCTTTTATTTCCTTGAGCAGTGGTTTGTAGTTCTCATTGAAGACGTCCTTCACATTCCTTGTAAGTTGTATTCCTAGGTATTTTATTCTCTTTATAGCAATTGTGAATGGGAATTCACTCATGATTTGGCTCTCTGTTTGTCTGTTATTGGTGTATAGGAATGCTTGTGATTTTTGCACATTGATTTTGTATCCTGAGACTTTGCTGAAGTTGCTTATCAGCTTAAGGAGATTTTGGGCTGAGATGATGGGGTTTTCTAAATATACAATCATGTCATCTGCAAACAGAGACAATCTGACTTCCTCTCTTCCTATCTGAATACCCTTTATTGCTTTCTCTTGCCTGATTGCCCTGGCCAGAACTTCCAATACTATGTTGAATAGGAGCGGTGAGAGAGGGCATCCTTGTCTTGTGCTGGTTTTCAAAGGGAATGCTTCCAGTTTTTGCCCGTTCAGCATGATATTGGCTGTGGGTTTGTCATAAATAGCTCTTATTATGTTGAGATACATTCCACTGATACCTAGTTTACTGAGAGTTTTTACCATGAAAGGCTGATGAATTTTGTCGAAGGCCTTTTCTGAATCTATTGAGATAATCATGTGGTTTTTGTCATTGGTTCTGTTTATGTGACGGATTGCATTTATTGATTTGCATATGTTGAACCAGCCTTGCATCCCAGGGGTGAAGCCAACTTGATTGTGGTGGATAAGCTTTTTGATGCGCTGCTGGATTTGGTTTGCCAGTATTTTATTGAGGATTTTCCCATTGATGTTCATCGGGGATACTGGCCTAAAATTCTCTTTTTTGTTGTGTCTCCATCAGGCTTTGGTATCAGGATGATGCTGGCCTCATAAAATGAGTTAGGGAGGATTCCCTCTTTTTCTGTTGTTTGGAATAGTTTCAGAAGGAATGGCACCAGCTCCTCTTTGTACCTCTGGTAGAATTCGGCTGTGAATCCATCTGGTCCTGTATTTGTTTTGATTGGTAGGCTAGTAATTATTGCCTCAATTTCAGAACCTGTTATTGGTCTATTCAGAGATTCAACTTCTTCCTGGTTTAGTCTTGAGAGGGTGTATGTGTACAGGAATTTATCAATTTCTTCCAGATTTTCTAGTTTATTTGTGTAGAGGTGTTTATAGTATTGTCTGATGGTAGTTTGTATTTCTGTGGGATTGGTGGTGGTATCCCCTTTATCATTTTTTATTGCATCTATTTGATTCTTCTCTCTTTTCTTTATTAGTCTTGCTAGTGGTCTATCTGTTTTGTTGATCTTTTCAAAAAACCAGCTCCTGGATTCATTGATTTTTTGAAGGGGTTTTTGTGTCTCTATCTCCTTCAGTTCTGCTCTGATCTTAGTTATTTCTTGTCTTCTGCTAGCTTTTGAATGTGTTTGCTCTTGCTTCTCTAGTTCTTTTAATTGTGATGTTAGGGTGTTGATTTTAGATCATTCCTGCTTTCTCTTGTGGGCATTTAGTGCTATAAATTTTCCTCTACACACTGCTTAAATGTGTCCCAGAGGTTCTGGTACATTGTGTCTTTGTTCTTATTGGTTTCAAAGAACATCTTTATTTCTGCCTTGATTTCGTTATGTACCCAGTAGTCATTCAGGAGCAGGTTGTTCAGTTTCCATGTAGTTGTGTAGTTTTGAGTGAGTTTCTTAATCCTGAGTTCTAGTTCGATTGCACTGTGGTCTGAGAGACATTTTGTTGTGATTTCTGTTCTTTTACATTTGCTGAGGAGTGTTTTACTTCCAATTATGTGGTCAATTTTGGAATAAGTGTGATGTGTTGCTGAGAAGAATGTGTATTCTGTTGATTTGGGGTGGAGAGTTCTGTAGATGTCTATTAGGTCTGCTTGGTGCAGAGCTGAGTTCAAGTCCTGGATATCCTTGTTAACCTCCTGTCTTGTTGATCTGTCTAATATTGACAGTGGGGTGTTAAAGTCTCCCATTATTATTGTGTGGGAGTCTAAGTCTCTTTGTAGATCTCTAAGGACTTGCTTTATGAATCTTGGTGCTCCTGTATTGGGTGCATATATATTTAGGATAGTTAGCTCTTCTTGTTGAATTGATCCCTTTACCATTATATAATGGCCTTCTTTGTCTCTTTTGATCTTTATTTTAAAGTCTGTTTTATCAGAGACCAGGACTGCAACCCCTGCTTTTTTTTTTTTTTTTTTTTTTGCTTTCCATTTGCTTCATAGGTCTTCCTCCATCCCTTTATTTTGAGCCTTTGTGTGTCTTTGCATGTGAGATGGGTCTCCTGAATACAGCACACTGATGGGTCTTGGCTCTTTATCCAATTTGCCAGTCTGTGTCTTTTAATTGGGGGCATTTAGCCCGTTTACATTTAAGGTTAATATTGTTATGTGTGAATTTGATCCTGTCGCTATGATGCTAGCTGGTTATTTCACCCATTAGTTGATGCAGTTTCTTCATAGCGTCAATGGTCTTTGCAATTTGGCATGTTTTTGCAGTGGCTGGTACCGGTTGCTCCTTTCCATGTTTAGTGCTTCCTTCAGGAGCTCTTGTAAGGAAGGCCTGGTGGTGACAAAATCTCTCAGCATTTGCTTCTCTGTAAAGTATTTTATTTCTCCGTCACTTATGAAGCTTAGTTTGGCTGGATATGAAATTCTGGGTTGAAAATTCTTTTCTTTAGGAATGTTGAATATCGGCCCCCACTCTCTTCTGGCTTGTAGCATTTCTGCAGAGAGATCAGCTGTTAGTCTGATGGGCTTCCCTTTGTGGGTAACCCGACCTTTCTCTGGCTGCCCTTAATATTTTTTCCTTCATTTCAACCTTGGTGAATCTGACAATTATGTGTCTTGGGGTTGCTCTTCTCGAAGAGTGTCTTTGTCGTGTTCTCTGTTATTTACTGAATTTGAATGTTGGCCTGCCTTGCTAGGTTGGGGAAATTCTCCTGGATAATATCCTGAAGAGTGTTTTCTAACTTGGTTCCATTCTCCCCATCACTTTCAGGTACACCAATCAAAGGTAGATTTGGTGTTTTCACATAGTCCAATATTTCTTGGAAGCTTTGTTCATTTCTTTTCACTCTTTTTTCTGTAATCTTGTCTTCTCACTTTATTTCATTAATTTGATCTTCAATCACTGATATCCTTTCTTCTGCTTGATCGAGTCAGCTATTGAAGCTTATGTATGCTTCACGAAGTTCTCGTAATGTGGTTTTCAGCTCCATCAGATCATTTAAGCTCTTCTCTACACTGTTTATTCTAGTTAGCCATTCATCTAACCTTTTTTCAAGGTTTTTAGCTTCCTTGCAATGGGTTAGAACATGCTCCTTCAGCTCGGAAAAGTTTATTACCGACCTTCTGAAGCCTACTTCTGTCAACTCGTCAAACTCATTCTCCATCCAGTTTTGTTCCCTTGCTGGCGAGGAGTTGTGTTCCTTTGGAGGAGAAGCAGCATTCTGGTTTTTGGAATTTTCAGCCTTTCTGCTCTGGTTTCTCCCCATCTTTGTGGTTTTATCTAACTTTGGTCTTTGATGTTGGTGACCTACGGATGGGGTTTTGGTGTGGATGTCCTTTTTGTTGATGTTGATGCTATTCCTTTCTGTTTGTTAGTTTTTCTTCTAACAGACAGGCCTCTCAGCTGCAGGTCTGTTGGAGTTGGCTGGAGGTCCACTCCAGACCCTGTTTGCCTGGGTTTCACCAGCAGAAGCTGCAGAACAGTAAATACTGCTGCCCGATCCTTCCTCTGGAAGCTTCATTCCAGAGGGGCACCTGCCTATATGAGGTGTCTGTTGGCCTCTACTGGGAGGTGTCTCCCAGTCATGCTACACAGGGGTCAGGGACCCACTTGAGGCAGTCTGTCCATCATTAGAGCTCGAACGCCATGCTGGGAGAACCACTGCTCTCTTCAGAGCTGTCAGGCAGGGACGTTTAAGTCTGGAGAAGCTGTCTGCTGCCTTTTGTTCAGATATGCCCTGCCCCCAGAGGTGGAATCTAGAGAGACAGTCGGCCTTGCTGAGCTGCGGTGGGCTCTGCCCAGTTCGAGCTTCCCTGCCACTTTGTTTACACTGTGAGCATAGAACCATCTACTCAAGCCTCAGCCATGGTGGACTCCCCTCCCCCCACCAAGCTCCAGTGTCCCAGGTCTATCTCAGAATGCTGTGCTAGCAGCGAGCAAGGCTCCATGGGCATGGGACCCACCGAGCCAGACAGGAAGGAATCTCCTGGTCTGCTGGTTGCAAAGACAATGAGAAAAGCGCAGTATTTGGGCTGAAGTGTACCGCTCCTCCAGGTACAGTCACTCATGGCTTCCCTTGGCTAGGAGAGGGAAATCCCCCGACCCCTTGTGCTTCCTAGGTGAGGCGACACCCCATCCTGCTTCGGCTCACCCTCCATGGGCTGCACCCACTGTCCAACCAGTCCCAATGAGATGAACCAGCTACCTCAGTTGGAAATGCAGAAATCACCCGTCTTCTGCATCGATCTCGCTGGGAGCTGTAGATTGGAGCTGTTCCCATTTGGCCATCTTGGAACCAACCTCCCTGTTCTAAATACATCTTAAATCAATCCTATGATGTAGGTGCTGTTACCATTATAGATGGGGAAACTGAGGCACAGAATGGCTCCAGTTCCTAGGACCTAGACATGAGGGTCTGTTTTAACATGATGATATTGATCCTTCATGAGCAGAGACAGTGACAATGAAGGGAGAAGAGAATTCAGTAACATCCGCTGCCTCCTCTTCATCTCTGGCACCACTGCCTAAAACTACTACGTACTCCTACCTGGACCATAGCAGCTGCCTCCTTCCTGGCCTCCCTACGTCCACTAGTGTTTGCTGCAGTCCATTCTGCACACAACCATCAAAGTGATCCTTTAACTCATGGGTCACACACTGGCGTGCCCCTTTATAAACTCCTCCTTTCCTTCCCACTGCACTTAGGATGAAATCCAAGCTCCTGGCCATGGCCTGCAAGGCCCTGCATGACCTGGCAAGCTGTTCCCACCGGTCCAGCTTCATGCTGGGCCATACTCCCTTGGCACACTGGCCCATCACCAGTTTTTAAAATACATCACCAGTTTTTAAAATACATCACCAGTTTTTAAAATACATGCAAGCTCTTTCCTGCCTCAGAGCATTCATACCTGCTGTTTCCTCTGCTATTTTTCCCATCACTTCATCCTCCAGAACTCTGCTTAATGTTACCTCCTCATACTTGAGTATCCCTCCCCCTCCTCCATGTTTTCTGTATCTCAACACACTCATTATATCCTTCATCAATCTTCTCACAATTTATTAATAGAAGTCTTTTCATTTATTTGAGTAGGTCCTTGATTTCTCTTTACTTCCCCCACTAAACTGTAAGCTCCATGAAAGCAATAACCATGTCTACATTGTTTGCTGTTGTACCTCCAGCACTCAGCACAATGCTCCTCTCATGGTAGGTGTGCAATCAATATTTATTGACACACAAATGGCTCATGTATCTGGCATGTCTAGGATGTCTATTTGGAAGCATGAAGGGTTATGGCTGGGGCTCAGCTCCTCTGACTTCTCTCACTGCCCCAAATCTTCTTTATACCCCCTTGCCTGCCATTGTGTGCCCCAGACACGAGCAAAGGCCTGTCTCATTCCAGAGAGTGGTACCCTCCTTGGAATTTCAACACAAAGAGGCCACAGATCTGTTGCATAGCAAGAAAAGATAGTGTCTGTTGCAATTGGTTCTCTTGGCCTTGTGGCAGGATGCAGAGTGAAAAATAGAGGGATATTAGAAGTTCAATAGTTCTCTCGATGTCTAGAGTATCCAGGGAATGTTATTCCCTGAATAGCACTTATAGAATACCTAATATGTTATTCTCTCACTATCCTCAGCCACCCAAAATAGTTGAATCTCTGACTCACAGATAATCAGTCATGTATATATTCACCCTCCAATAATTTAATATTACAGAAAGTGAACCAGAATTCAGCTTTGCACCTTTGGAAGTTAATTTCTTCTTTGTATGATTACTAGAGATATTCTCTGATAAGGGTAACGAGATGTATAGATTTGGTCTCTTCCCACCTTGCTGACATTCCTTGAATTTTTCTCAGGAAGACTGATCCAAGGCAAATCACATTTTTTCTCATCACCCCACCTTTGTCCTGGCCAAAGGGTGAACTATGGGAAGATCTCATGGGTGGTGTTCTAAACAACTTTCCCTTGATTAAATAACCCTTCTCCCAAGGGCTACTTGTGTGGGTTAAATTACTTAAAAATAAAACAAACAATCCAGAGTAAGAGAATTAGTTTGAAAAACAGAAGGTTACCAACAGCCTTGCCCTGTACAGCTGGAAAAGATGTGAAACGCACAGGCTCTAAGCACCCAAGAGGATAAATAAACGTGTCGCAGGTGCCATTAAGAAAACACATCTGCACACTGTCAATGGTGAGGATAAACACACGATTGTTTTCCCTTTCATGAGAAGCAGTGATGGGGAAAGGCGACTTATGGACCCTATCCAGTTCTGTTCAATTTACAGCATCTCAAGGTTGAGGGATGGGCACTTATCCAGCCTTGATGCATTCCCAAAATCTCTCATCAGAAGCAAATCTTCAAAGAAAACAAATAGTATGTTCATTCTCCTCCCAGTGCACAGACAGGAGAACAAACAAGGAAAGAAAGAAAATGCCCTAAAGGTTATCTGGTGGACCTCAGTTGCCCGAGATTGTGATTTTAGACCCGACATCCTTCTCTGGTTTTCCTCCTTCTCCTAATCCCCCTGCCAGTAGGAAGATCAAATGGAACTGACATAAATATCCTTCCCAGCTGTTAAGTGTAGCCATTGTTTCTTCTTTTAACACTACACTACACTCCAAACTTCCAGGGTCCATCAACTTCCCTAGTGTCTTAATGAAGTAGATTATACATTTTTATGAACCATAATCAGAATTCATGAAAGATAACTAGGAGCCTAGGGAATTATGATGGATCCATTCAAATCCTCATGGACTTAATTTGAGAAAAGGTTCAAATGCACAAGAAAATAAAGGCGACTTTTGGAGATGCCAGGCACCTGGAACCTCTGTGCTTTGTATTTCTCGGGTTACTGATAGTTTGCTATAGAAGTCATGAGTTGAATCTTCTTCATTTTTATTAGATCAAATGCCTCTTATATTATGTGCCTAAATTGGAAAATGGAATATGATGAATGTCTTACACCAGGCTTAGAGTCAAACATCTATATGCCCTTAGCCACCTGAATTTTAACATTTGATCTAAAGTGGATTAAATATCCACTTTAAATTGAAATACCCACTTTAAATTGAAAACCTCAATTTTTCATACTAATAGAAGGTGGCCAAAAAAACCTGCCAACACCTCAGAAATCATTCACATTTGACTTTGGAAAGTGTTCCTGGTTTATTGGCTGACATGCTGAAAGTTGGCTCTAAAGATAATAATGAAGAAATATGGAAACTGACTCAGAGTTAGAAGCCTGTCTGTGTCTACCTCATTCTGTCTTGTCTCCCTTCCTCTACTTTCTGTACTTCATCAAACTCTTTCCATTTTCTCATCTTTAAAAAGGGATAGGAGTGTTTTGGCAGGGTGGTTAAATGAGAATGTTTCTAAGGACTCCTCCAGTACTATAGTTCTGCAGTTTAATAGAACATATATGCCCTGATATAACTTCCAGCTATTCATTCATTCATTCAACAAACTTGTTTGTGTGAGTGCCTGTTAGGTGTTACTGTGCTAGCCATGAAACTAGCACCATTCTTGTCCTAGAAATAATATAAAATATGTTTGTTAAATATGTAGTAAGCATTTCATAAATGCTCTTGAAGGGTGTACACAATAGAGGCTATAACAGCTTCTCTGAACAATCCTGTGGTTAATGATGTTCTTTAATTATGCCAACATCCAATACCTCATGTTAAAGACTTTTAGCATTTTCCAGATGTTGGAAATGATCAGAAAATTGTATATTCTCAGTAACTATGAAGAATAATCTGAGTTCTTAGTTGTGGGTGCTGAGGCCCAAGAGGTATATCCTTCATCAAGGTTACATGTGGGTAGAGGTAGATGCCTCCTGCATCCCAGCATTGGGTTAGTTAGCTAAGAAAGTAGGCTCGAGGCCCAACTGCCGGGGTTCCAATTCTGTCTCTGCCACCTATAGGTTAAGTGATCTTGAGGAAGTCATTTAACTTCTCTGTGTTTTAGTTTCCTTCTCTGTGAAGTGGGGCTGGAATAGTAACTGGCTGCATAGGGTGTATGGATTCAGTGAGTTCCTATATATCGAAATACTCAAGAGTGTAAACAGTATAGTTTCATGTGTAATAACAGCCATTAGCAACAAGAAGTAAGGCTGGACTGTTTTCTCACATATGGCAGAAATTCAATTGGTGTTATAAAATAATCAAAACTGGTAAATAGCCAGTTCTTAGATCTATCTGTCCAAGATATTTCATGAGCAGATTGTATTTCCACAAACAAAGAAAAACCTGTTTACAACTGTACCTGGCATATAGTAAGTGCTCAATAAGTGTTCGCTAGTATCTTGCGGCACTGCTCTCATCTCCTGCAGTGTTGGAGAGGGTGTTTGAAGCGCTTTATTGGAGTCAAAGGATAATGCTCCCACCCCCTGACTCTGTGCGCATGTGTGTGAGTGTGTGTGTATGTGTGTGAGTGTGTACCAGTGTACAAAAAGGTGTGTTGTAGTGGAAAATCAAGTAACTCACTCAGTAAATTATCTCAGCCAAAAGTTCAGTTGCAGGAAATCAAATTCGGATTTGTAAGCCTGGTGAAATTCAAATTCCTTTTAAACATTTATTGCCATTTCTAGGCAAGAAACATTTCCCCTGATCATATCATTCTGGCCGGGAAGTCTTGCGTTTTAAAGCAAGTAAAAAGTGAAAAAAATAATTCTCAGTACATGACACAATTTACAGTTAGCTCCTCAGGAATGTGTGTCATGTTTTAAACTTGAGTAGGTTGATGCTCTCCAAACATCCTAGTCCTTCGTATTTATAGAGTGCTTTATTTTAGTGTGTTAACAATGAATGAGAAAAAGCGGAACTTTCTGTAGGCATTTTTTCCTGATGCTATTTTGATTTGAATGCAGCCTTGCTTCTCCTGCCTTTTTCAAGCACTATAGGATTCCATTCTCTCTCTCTCTCTCCCCCTGCTCCCCCTCTCCCTCTCCTTTTTATCCCCAAAGGAAACACTTTAATTGCCTTTATTGATGAAGAGAGGAAAAATCTAAACATCAGGCAACCAGGCTAATGAGGGACAGGCGGACATGCCAACTAACAAAGAACAAAACCAATTACCCCCTCTTTACGCAGGCATAGCGGATCCAGACGGAAACAGTGAAGAACTGTAGCAGATACTATGAGTGCCCTGCCCCTATCCCCTTGGTCCAGTCGGTGGTCACCTGTAGCTCAGTGGAAATTGGCTACACACCTAGTTTCTCACCTCAAGAATTGCAGTCTCTCTGTCTGAAGGCTTTCTCTGGGCTTCAGGAAAGTATTCAACACCCACTCCACCCTGCTGCAGAGTAACTGGCAACCAAAGTTGGGTGAGGGGGATGATTTGGTGGGAGAATACCCTAGATTCCTCCCGGCCTTGGTGAGATGTGTTCTCTACTCTCCCTCAGAGGGTCCCCAGCAGGATGGAGTCCCAATTGCCCAAAGTGGCTTGTACTGGCATCCTTCCCTTCCCTGTCTCACATCCCCCCATTTCTTTCTGGCCTTCCTAGAATTACCCAAATCATGCACCTGAATCATCCTTTCAAGGTCTGCTCTTTTGGGGAACTCAAAATAAGACAAAGACCTAAAAATATTTCACCAATGATAGTCATTATCCTGCCCCTTTCCCCACTCTCTCCAAATGCCAGAAAAAAAAAAAAGAAGGGAAAAGATGGACTGTAGAGCTATCATAAAACCCTTCATTTGAGCATTCTTTAATGCCATACACTAGTTTGGGATGTACAGTTCTCTTTAGGTACTAAAAGCTAAGGTGTCTTCAGCTGCTAATTTTCATTAAGCTATTCAACAAGTATTAATTGAGCACCTACTACGTACCACACACTATCCTGGGTACTGGGATGATCTTAGTGAACAAAGCAGAGAAAGTCCCTTCCCTCTTTCTCTAGTGGGAGGGGGCAGAGAAGAAACAATAAATGTAATGAATAGATAAAGTAGATAGTATGTTAGAAATGGATAACTGCTATGAAATAAAGCAGTCTAGCCGAACACTGAGCACAGGAGCTCAGCAGTGGGAGGCGTGGGGAACTGGTTGCAGTGTTAACTAGGGTTAGCAGTAGCTTTTCTGTCTCCTGCGGAGGACAGAGTGTGGAGCTTGATGCTGTGATTTGTTGCTCCTGCAAGATAGCCACTCCCCCTTCTCATTTCCCAAGTCAGTCTCCAAGGAGAAGCTAATGCTATTAATAGTCACTAAGGACAGGAAACAAATGTCTGTCTTCTCTCCAGATGGAATTCTTTGCTCACATTGACTTCTTTACTCATAACTAGAGCTTGGCTAGCAGTATACATGAAGAAGTAAATGTTCAATGAATGAAGCATGCATGTCGGGAACTCTCTGATTGAAGTCCAGTTGAACTTTAATGGGCAACCTTGCTGTAGCCAGGACCACTGGGGCGGGGAGGGCAGTGAGGAAGTTGGAGAGTATGCCTCGTTCAAATTCCCCTGTAATTAAAAGTGAAGCTTAATCATTAGTTTCAAGGGCATGGGGTGGCTCTCGAGCACAGTGGGGAAATCTGAGTTTCACCTTCTCTTGCCTCCTGGGACCATGCAGATGTGATCTCAAGGCTGTGACTCTGGATGAGGTTACCAGGGAGACAGGAAGCAAGGGGTAACTCCAATATCCCTCTTCACAGGGTGACATCAGAATGTGAGAGGACAGGGCTCAGGTTAATTCTGGCAACATCTATTCCTCGTATTGTTCCTGGAGAGGAGTGAAAGTGTGGAGAGAGAACTGGGCCACGTCTATGACTGGGAAAGAAGGTGGAGAACTGATATTGAGGAAACAATGGAGGCTTGCACCCAAGAGTTGATGGTAGAGGGTCCCCCAGAAATGGGAAGAGAGACTGGAGGTGGGGGAGCCAAGCTAAAGAATCCAGCTGAGAAGACACAGGGGCCACTGCAGAGGGTGTTTTGGGCATTGGGACCACCAGCCATGAAGGGAACTGAAGGAAGGGAGAGAAGTCAAAGACACACAGGAGAAGTGTGTTGGAATTGGCTAATAATTCCAACAGAGTAAAATGAGGCCATCTGTAGCTGGCTAATAATTCCAACAGAGTAAAATAAGGCTGCTGCAGCTGGTTTATTCTCCACTCTGTGCTTTCTGTGGAATCGCTTGGAGGAAAGGCAGGCTGGCCTTTGGAATTAACAGGTTAATTAGGAAATTGGGATTTCCTGCTTTCTAGGGCTGCCTTTCACCTTCCCCTTCGTGGTGACTTGAAACTGATGAAGGCAAGATCTCCTGCGAACGTTTGGAATGAAACACTTTGTCAGGAAAACAAGCAAGGAAATTTGACAGCTGCTTGATGTAGGACAGTCATTAAACTTTCAAGAATGTAGGTCTTCTATTATTTAGTGACGTTAATCTCTCTTCCAAAAAAGAAACAAAAAAGATTCCAGAATTGCAGAGTGAGAAAGTTGTGCCATTGGCTCTGCTGAAAGTCACCAAGGGCCCTGCCTCCACACTCCCTTTCTTGATGGGGCTACTGAGCTGGTCCCGTCCGGCCATTGAATTAAAATCAGATAATTCAGTTGGGTTTTCGGGAGCTGTTATGGAGGCCTCAAATTTATTCAGTTTCCTCACTTACTTTCTCTTTTCTCTTCCATTACCTGCTTTTTAGCTATTTCCCTACTTTTAAAACCCAGCATTGGAGAAATGGGGCGAAGAAATAAAACTTCAATCAACCATTTGTTCTGTTGCCTGAGGGTGTTTCTGGGAGGAAGATTTGGTACAAAGGGAAGTTGAAATGCTGGCCAAAAGGAGATTTTACAAAATTCTGTAGCTTTCCTTGTTTCTTGTCACTGAAGAGGGATAACTAAGAATTGATATATTTATTTTCCAAGAAAGGCTGAAACACCATAGGGGGTAAAAGCAAGGTTGTGTAGCAGGGTTTTCTTCAACTCCATCCATACCTAGAAGTGAGAGGGGTTGTCCAGTTAGGAGGTGGATGAGGGAATGATAGGAACTGCTCCTCTGGTGGCTTTGAGAAGAGAGAGTCCTTGGCCTTTTCTTGGATATGCTAGAGCTCTTCAGACATGGAGGACAGTGCGCTCCCTGGGCCTGCTAGGATACAACCTGACTCTGCACAGAGAAGCCTTTTAGATGCATGGTGTGTTTCCCCACATTCTAGGTGGCTGCAATGGGGGCTAAGTGCTCAGGGGTGAATCCTGCCTCTGCAACCTTCCTGCAGCACGACCTAGGTCAAGTCACTTGGCCTTCGTGTGCCTCAGTTTCCTGTTCTTTAAAATAAAGATAATAAAACCCAGATTGTATAAGTGTGTGCTCACAGGCAGACATTCATACCCATACACATATGCACACAGGTATGTAAAATGGATGCCAAGTTAGGAGGGGCCATAGCCAGCTGTGAGTCTGAGTTAACTGGGTCAGGATGGTATGGGCATTGAAGCCCTGCCTTGGCTCCCACTGGGACCATATGCCAACCTACTGATTGAGTCATTGGTTTGGTCTTTCTATCATGAGTTGGAGTTTAACTGCTCTGGGAAGAATCTGGATGTTTTATAACTTTTGGGGTAGAACATTCCACCAGGCTGTTTCTACATGTCATTTGGAGTGCCACTTTCCAATGATCTTGCATAGCTAATCAACAAATATTTCTTGGCCACTGTGTACATAATTCTAGGTGCAGGAGATACAGGGGTTTGCAAGTCAGATAAGGTCCTTGAGCTCAGAGAGCTTATATCCTAGGGAAGAGAGGGAGATAATGAACTATGTCAGGTGGCGGTAAGTGCTATGGGAAGGATACTGCAAATCCATCCCATAACAAGTAATGCCTCCAACTCCATTCATTCATTTGGTATTGATGGATCCTCTGAGGATGATGTAACGAGCCTCCCAACTTCCAGGTGTTTACACAAATCAATCCTCTCTCCTTCCTCCCTAAACAAGGTATCTTGTGTTCAAGGGAATGATCTGGAGTAGTTAATCTTAAGCAAAACTAATTCAGCCTTGAAATGCCCACCAGACGTGGCCACCCAAACAAATTATTTCCGCCAAAGGAATGACACAGGTGAATTCGGAAGACCTAGATTTGGACTGGCTGTTGCGAGGAGGAATTCCCTCAGCAGATAAGCAACTCCCGAAGGAAACGAAGGAAAGTCAGTCTTCATGCCATCCCACCTTGCCTCACCCTGCCCCACTTCACGTTTAAGCCAGAGATGTCCACAAATTATTGTAGGATTTCCCTGTATACTTTCCTTTGTTAGGTTTGACTGGGGATAATATCATAGCTCTAGTGAAAGTTTTCTGCTATTTGGTGGGTTGTAAATTGAATCTTAATGAGGTTTTAGAACAATGTTCATGTAAAAATATATTTAGGCCATTTCCAAAATGGAGCTTATTAATCCAATTATGCAAATGGATGTGGCAACCAGCAGATGTCCCTGATTCTTCTTCCTCTCTCTCTGTCTCTTTTTCCTGCTCTGTTTTCTGAGAGGGTTGGGAGTTGGCATAGAGGAAGCCCTGATCGAAGTGGATAATTTGTTTGCTGAGACAGGCAGTCCTGTGTCTCTGTAAGAAGACCAGAAGCTTTCCTTATGGGGGTATGATGGGCAGTGAGGAGAGTTTGAGCTGCCGAGTTTTCTAGATTCTCTGATTTGAAAATTAGAGACTCTCAAAAGAAGTCTGTCCTTCCTGAGTAATTGCATCCTGACACTGTTGAACTTCCTCTGGGTTTCGACTTTCATACCCCTCAGAGGCTCTGAGGAGGGAGGACAAAGGAGAGGCCACCCCTTCCCTGGGGAGGGAGGGCAGGGTGGGGCACACAACCCAGCTACTCGGGTGGCTACTGCTCCTGCTTTCTGGGCAGAGAAGCTGGGTGTCTTGTTTCTCCTTTTCCTCTTGCCTGCTGCCTTGGTGGGCCTCCTATTGGTGTTTGTTCACCATCAGTGTCTCGTGGCAGCTGCCACACAAAGTTCTGTTTTTGCAAAAGGCGGTGGCATCAAAGATAAACGTTGGATTTGGCAGTAATTCATGAATTTTATTCAGCTACTCTGTTCTTGTGATATGAACAAACCTTGTTAGACCAGAGCCACTAGTGTGGAATTTGGGATGTTGATTCACCAAGGACTAGAAAATGAGTAATGCTGGGAAAGCTGGGAGAATATTTAAAATGCCTCAGAAGATGAAGCATTTTAAGCATCCCCAGTCACTTGAGGTCCCCTTTTTCAATACCTTTTCACAAACAAATAGTCTCCCTAGAAAACCTTACTGGGTGGTACTTGGTTGGCCTGGCTTCAACACTTAAAGACGAGAGCTATACTTTCTTTTAAAATATTGTTATCAATATAGGAACTTAGCTTTTTTTTTCATGTAGTCTGAATTAGGCTGACTTTATAGCTTGCAACATCCTTTTTAATTGCAGAAGTAATGCAGTTGCTTGTGGCTAAAAAAATAATAAACAGTAATGCATACAATTTTTATTTATTTTCGTGAGGATAGAGACAGGGTCTAGTTATGTTGCTCAGGCTGGTCTTGAACCCCTGGCCTCAAATGATCCTCCTGCCTGGGCCTCCCAAAGTGCAGGGATTATAGGCATGAGCCACCGTGCCTGGACTACAGTTTTTTAAAAGTGGAAAGTAGCCCGTCTCCAAACTGTTCCTTAGAGTTAATCATTATTTATTATTGCTCTAGCTGTGTGTCGTTGGACTGGTTACCTAACTTCTCTGTGCCTGTTTCCTCATCTGTAAAAGTGAGACAATATTAGCACTTACTTCATAGGGTGGTTGTGAGGATTTAGTGCAATATCTGACATTTTCTGGGCTAAACTACTATTAGCTATTGTTGTGAGTAGTATGTGCTTTTTCTGTATATCAGTGCTGAGTACATGTTTCTTAGATTCAGACCTTTAGGGGTATGGCAAACATCAATGAGCAGTGTTTTGCCAGCAGCATTTTCACCCAGGATGGGGCGATGTGAGTGAAGAAGCAGGGCCCTCTGTTTGGTTTTCTAAAGATCCATTGGGATCCAGTGTGGTTAGATTTTCTTCATGGTTGCTCTCTTCAATAAGAGAGGAGAATACCTGGAATGGGCCTTTTGCTCTGAGGAGGGGTCCCCCAGGTAAAGCTATTCCTTCCCTTGGAAGCACCTGCAGCCTTCCTACAGATGCCACCATCCAGAGGAGGCCCCACCTCCCAGGGATATCATGGGGGATTTATGACCAAAAATAATAGTAATAATAATAATAATAATAATAATAATAACTCAGACTGACTTAGAACAAAAATCACATTCTAGATGAGCTGATGGAAGATCGATTGAGGTTTTAGGGTTTTTTTTATGAAGTGAAAAAAAGAACTGTTTATTTTGCCAATTTCATTATAAAAAAATAATAAGAGTGTGTCTCTGTGGTTGTTTGTACACAGAAAGCAGAAGAAATGAGAAGAACCTCGAAGTCATCTGGCAAAAGGCGGGACCAGACTGGAGATGCTTTTTTTTCTCTTTTCAAAACCAGGAGTGTATTTGTTATCACACAATTTAATTCAAAAAGTCCAGTGGTAGAGTCAGAGCACCCATCTCCTTGTCTTGGTTCTGCCACCAACCAGCTCTGGGGCCTGGGACAAGTTACTTAACCTCTCTGTGCCCCCTCTTATCTATTTAAGAATATGGGTCTGGAAGTTCTTGTCTTACAGAACCATGTTGGTGGTCTGAGAGCAGTGACAATGAGGTGCTGTGGGTTGGGTGAGTGTGGGAGTGTCTGTCCTTTGTATACTGCAGACTCTCTTCTCTGGATGTGCCAACTGAGAATGGCTACAAGAACATCAGAAAACAAGCCACCGCCCTAAAGGTACTTAGATCCAAAGAAAACCCAAAGCACACATGTAAAAGCTGCTCAAACACATACAAAGGAAAGCATACAATTATAGTCACCACAGAGCATTTAATAATAATAAGATGCCTGAGAGAAAATGTAGCTGGGAACCCACATGGGATTGACAGAAGGACAGGACACTTTGTCACTTGCTTTTTCAATAAACAGATCAGATTCTCCTTTTTAACCACATGCTCCTTGGCCACCTTCTGTGAGCAAACACAGGATTTATCGAAGATCTGAGAATGTTGCTAATGTTGCTTGACCCCTGGTAGGACTAGAATCCATGACTTCCTTAGCCCAGCCCTCTAATCAACCCTGCCCATCCACCAGGTCTTGGGAAGCTGGGCAGAGATGCCATAAGCAAAGGACTGCTGGCTGAAGCACCATGGGAAGCATGGATGCTCCTTCTCTGTGGCCAAAATGGCAGAGCAGCCCTGAAAAAACTTTCTTGGCTGTGCTGTAGGCTTTACACAGGCTTGTTATTATTTTTTGAACCCTCTGAGATTGACAGGGCAGGAAATGGTATCACGATTTTCTCTTAACTTCTAAAGTGACTTGCTATAGTCACCTAGGTTTTTCATGAATTATAGAAGAGAAGAGGCCTAAAAACTGAATTTCCCAATACCTGGGACAATGCTGATTTAGTAAGTTGGGGTTTCTAGGAGAAGATAGAAATACATTGACATATATTAATCCATTGATTAATTAATTTATGAGGCAACTGCCATCTACATTAAAGAATACACATTTTTTTCACTTAATAAAAATGAGATCTCTCTCATGCACTTCTTAAGCTTCTTCCAAAAACAAACTACCAAACTGGTAACTGTCCAATTAGTTGGAATAAATTGAACAGGCGCCCTCAGTTAATTGTCAAACTGAGTAGTCTAAAAACCACGTAACACCACCAAGCACAGAGTGTTCCTTCCCTTCCTCACCAGGTCTGCTGCTCTGGGAACAGGGTTGAGAACCCCTTCCAGTTTCAGTCCAGCGAAGATGCGTTCTTTGGCCATGAACTAGAAGCCAGTCCTCCATGCAGTGCCTTTCGGGCTGAAGCCAGTTGTCCACTAAATCTGCTTGGGAACTGATTTGTTAATTATTCTTTTCCTTTTGTGACATTTTTCAAGATAAACTTACTTGGGCCAGCCTCCTAGAAAACCTTTTAAAATGCTAATTACGCAATTGTGCGAATAATGTAAAAATGAGTCCTGTGGTGCACTCAGCACTTGACTAATTAACAAGCAGTAAATGAATCCTAGCCTAGGAAATTCTGTACAGGGCTGTGTGAACGGCAGAGAGCTTCCTGGAGCCACAGTTGGAAGAGTGGTTTTAAGCAAATAGGTTCTTAGAGAAATTGACCAGTGAAAATCAAGAATTATTTGGTCATAGCATAATCTTTTACCAAAATTGAATATCATTGGTGGATTTGATTCAGCAAATGTTTGTTGAAGCCTTGTAAGGCTCTATAATAGACCTAGGGAACAAGGATACAAAGATGAATTAGATATGAAGGATGTCCTGAAAGCTAATGATCTTGTGAAAGACAGAGGCGAGTAATCAGAGACTACAGCGGGATGGCTTTTAACTTCAAGGACAGAATACCATAGTAATGGTGGCTCCAATGATAAAGATTGTCTTACAAAATATAATGCCTGAATGTAGATGGTTCTAGGGTTGTCTCTTCCCATTCTTTTGCTTGGTCATTCTCAGCATGTTGGCTTTGTGTTCTTAGGCTTGTCTTGTGATTGCAACATGGTTGCCTTGTTCTAAGCATCATATTCCAAAATAACACGGTTCAAAAGCAGTAAGCAAGTCAGGGTCTGGGGAGGGGTGCAGTATGGTAGGAGATCTATGCTCCCACATAGCATTCACAAAAATAAGTCACATGGCCACTCCTAGATGCCAGGGTTGGGGAGAGGGTGCCTGGAAATCCAGTCTGGCTCTGCAGCTACTTTCCATCAGCAGCTCAAGACTATGGAAGGGATTAAAAAATTTTGTTGGCCAGTTGGACATCTCTGCTACATAATACAGTAAGCGCTGTAGTACAGATGCATACAGAAGACAGAGACAGTCAATTCTGCCTTAAAAATAATGGGAGGTTTTGTAGAGGACCTGACAGCTTAGCTGAGTCATCAGGTGGATGACAGAGAGAAATGTGCAAAGCATAGACTCACGAAAGAGCTTATCAAGTTATTGTGCTGTTTGTGGGGGATTTTTTTTTTTTGCCCTTTTTCCCCATTTTTTGGTCAAACCTCACGACCTAGCAAGTCATTTAACTCATCAGGGTTTCAGGATCTTCATCTGTGAAAGTGAGGCAGTTGGACTCTGTAAACATAAAATGATCTCCATTGTTCTTTCATCCCTTTTTTGTTTAAACCTTCAGAGTAGAAGTTACATAGATATTAACAGTCTCAACATTTCTTGTACAGATATAGCAGGGTTCTTTAATCTTATCTCCTCTATAAAAATACATTTCAAAAATTTCTCAGGGAGGCAATGTGGTATTGTAGGCAGAGCATGAGATTGGGAATCACGGATCTGCATTTGAAGCCAAACTTTGTCATTTTCTTGCTGTGTGACCTTGAGAAGACACAACATCTTTAAGTCTCAGTTTCCTCACCTGCAAAATTGAGATTATAGTACCTGTCTTCCAGGTTTCTTGGAAGATTTAGTGATAATTGTTTTTCAACACATAGCACAGTGTTAGATACTTACTAGGTTCTCAATAATTCACAAAAGAAGAAATACAAATGGCCAATACATGAAGTTTTATTTTTATTTTTTAATTTTTTATTTCCATAGGTTTTTGGGGAACAGGTGGCATTTGGTTACACAAGTAAGTTCTTTAGTGGTGATTTGTGAGATTTTGGTACACCCATCACCTGAGCAGTATATACTGAACCCAATTTGAAGTCCTTTATCCCTCCCCACCTTCCCACTCTTTTTACTCCTGAGTCCCCAAAATCCATTGTGTCATTCTTATGCCTTTGCATCCTCATAGCTTAGCTCCCACTTATAAGTAAGAACATACGATGTTTGGTTTTCCATTCCTGAGTTACATCACTTAGAATAATAGTCTCCAATCTCATCCAGGTAGCTGCGAATGCCATCATTTTGTTCCTTTTTATGGCTGAGTAGCATTCCATGGTATTCCATGGTATGTATGTGTGTATGTGGGTAACATTTTCTTTCTCCACTCGTTGACTGATGGACATTTGGGTTGGTTCCCTATTTTTGCAATTGCGAATTGTGCTGCTATAAACATGCGTGAGTGAGTATCTTTTTCATATGACTTATTTTCTTCTGGGTACATACCCAGTAGTGGGATTGCTGTATCAAATGGTAGATCTACTTTTAGTTCTTTAAGGAATCTCCACACTGTTTTCCATAGTGGTTATACTAGTTTACATTCCCACCAGCAGTGTAGAAGTGTTCTGTTTTCACTGCATCCATGCCAATGTCTATTATTTTTTATATTTTTTTGATTATGCCCATTCTTGCAGGAGTAAGATGGTATTGGATTGTGGTTTTGATTTGCATTTCCCTGATCATCAGTGATGTTGAGCATTTTTTTCATGTGTTTGTTGGTCATTTGTATATCTTCTTTTGAGAATTGTCTATTCATGTCCTTGTTTGAGAGCAATACATGAAGTTTTAAATGTTCAATGAGAAATAACTCTCTGTGTGTGTGCAAGTGTGTATGTATCAAATGGGCAAACATTTTTTAAATTGGTGATCCCCAGCATGGGTGAGGGTGTGATGAGACAGAGATTCTCATATATTCCTAATGGGAATATGAAATGATACATTTCTGGGGGACTGTGTGGCAGTTGGAATCTGTCTTTTGAAAATGTTCGAACCCTTTGATCTGGTAATTCAAAATCTAAAAGCTTATGCTAGGTGGACCATCTATGATGATATGATAGGATACGATTAGTATAAAGTTGTTCATCTTGGTGCTATCTGGAATAAATAACATTGGATTCATCACAAATGATCAACAACAGACAATTTATTAAATGAATTAAGCTCCATTCATGGTTTTTAGTATTACCCAGATATTAAAAATCATGTTTTGGGAAGATATTTAATGATATGGAGGAAATGGTTGTTATATAAAATTATTTAAAAAGGGCAGTCTATAAAACAGTATATATAGTATAGTCCCAGTTTTATAAAAACAAACACCATAAATGGAAAAATGACTGGCAGTAAAATGCCAAAATGTGAAAATGATTATCTCTGGGTACTGAAAAAACAAGGGTTTTTTATTTTCTTCTGTGCCTCTGAATTCTCCAAGCTGTCTTGCATTGTGCATGTAATGATGTGGAAAACACTTATAAAATTAAGAGAAAATATCATATCAGGTTAGAAAAATTACCAAAAATGTCAGAATACAAATGGACTCCAACTATGTAAGAATACACACACATCCCCCCCAACACACACATACAAAGAAAAACCAAGAAGATGAAAGGAACTATGTCCAAATCTTAGTAATTTTCTCTGAGATGGTGGAATGATGGATTATCATCATTTTCTTCTTTATACTAGTTTATATTTTTCCACTTGAATAGAAAAAGAAAATCGCCACCAAATAAAACCTATAAAAAGAAGTTTTCTTGAGTACTGTGTTCCATATAGTCACTGGCTCTGGTAGCCATAAGCAACACATAAATCTGAAGGCCAGGACTTCTTTTACCCCACAGCTGGGGAATCATTTGTCCTATGTGGAACCTGGTACCCATGTTAATCCTCTGCCTCCTGAATACATCAAGTCCCACATTGTAAAAGGCAAAAGGACAAGGCCAGAGTTACTGTTGATGGAGAAAATGAGTGGATTTTGCTGGTGTAAGAGATAGCAATAGAATCTGTGCTCTAGGTCGTAGGGAGGGCACCCTGCATTTTGCAAACTTGTGCTTGCTGATCCAATAGGCACCCCTGGTTGGATGCAGGGAGCTCTCTGGTGGCCAAAGGGTGTCAACGCAGCAATTTTTGCACTTCCACAACCAAACCCAAGATCTACTAGCCGAGATCAGAAGCCGATGCATACTTGCAGATTACATTTTAAGCCCTTATAATGGGTAGGAAAACATCTGTCTCTATTATTTCCATGGTATTTGGTATGAAGACAGAATCCTCCACCCTGCCCTTAAAATTTCACATAGAATAGGTATGCTTTCTGCCTTCGTGCCCAGGTCAAACTCACTTGACACTGCGTAGTTTTAAACTGTGTAATAAATTGCCCGAGGTGCACCAACTAATGTGTGACCCCGGATCACACTGCTTGCCCCACAAATCCATACTGTGTGAAATTGACCTTGCTGGTTGTTTTTCAAGTGGGTCTTTATAGCATCATAGAATGGAAGGAGTCTTAAAAACAAAAAGACTGAGACAGAGCTTGCTGAAAGAAATGACTCATTACTGGCTGAACCGGGAATGGAATATATTTCCAATCTTGAGAATATTGTCCAGCAGGCTCCCTCATTTCCCTCCGGCTGCCTTTATCTGAGGTGGCCAACTTGAAACCAAAACTAAAGCTTCTGACTCTCGTGGTTCCTGGATAGTCTTGTGTTTCTGTGTGTTTGCATCATACTGCGACTGTGCATCTGAGATGGAGTGGTCCACTGATGTGTGTGTGTGTGTGTGTGTGT